>NC_000011.10:116869394-117172424 GCF_000001405.40 Homo sapiens | reverse complement strand
AAAAAAAAAAAAAAAAAAAATATATATATATATATATATATATATATATATATATATATATATATATATATATATAAAGCTAGAATGAACCAGCAAGTAGGCAAAAGGCATAGCATAATATCAGGCCACAAATATTATATGTTTAGCAAAACATTGAAGATCTTTGCTTTATAGCTATGTAAAAACATGTCATTGGGTTAAGATTTCATCTCTGCCATGGCTGGAAAATAAATTAGGGGACAGATTCTCATGTTGGTTTGTCCAGTTTTCCCCTCAAGTACAGATGCTGGTGAGGGAGCTTTTTCTTTCTTCCACATTACTACCACTTCCACTTGTTCTGGGCCATTTAAGAGGTTCACATGGGGTAATCCACATACAGTAAAGCAAAGCTTCAAGATCCAGGCTGCTTTCACTGCTGCTGTGTGGCCTGCAAGCAGCTGACAAAGGCCTCCAGGAGTGTGGGTGGAGAGGAACTTGGTGTGATGAGATACTGGGGAGGGGGGAAGGGCAGCTAGAAAAACAAAATGTCTCAATTTACCTCCAAATTTTTCCTCCTAAAGCAGCAAATCATTTTAATCCAACAGTATACCACTGAGGTGAACAGTGATAAAGCAAATGATACAAAGATCACAGAAACTTTTAGCTGCCAAGGAACATCATACCGGCATACCAACTCACTGTAATATTGCTGGCCTGGTAGTTGCTGGTGTGTCATCAGGATAGGTCCCGATCGACCAGTTAACCGACCCTTGTTCTAGTCTCACTATCTCTGAGATAGAGTATTTGGAGGCGGCTGCTTTACCCTGGGGACGTAAGGGTGATAAATGAGTCCGTGCTCAAGGTTCATGTCCTCTATGCTGTAGTAACACTGTATTTTTTTTTTTTTCCGAGACAAGAGTCTCGCTCTGTTGCCCAGGCTGGAGTGCAATGGCGCAATCTCGTCTCACGGTAACCTCCGCCTCCTGGGTTCAAGCAATTCTCCCACCTCAGCCTCCTGAGTAGCTGGGATTACAGGCGTGAGCCCGGCCAATAACACTGTATTATACTGACTGATGACATTCACCCAGTTCAGATGAGGTGGTCCACAGCCTATAATCCAGACTAACCTATCTGCAAAACTATTCCAATCTAATGGAAAAGAGTAGACTTCAAGGATGGCAGTTGTGCTTTCTGAGGGGTCCTTATACCTACTCATCCCACCCTACCAATCTACATGCCCGAGAAGGTAAGTGATGAGTCAGCCTGGTGCATTCAGTTCCACAGTAAAGAAGCAGGATCATCTAAGTATCCAATTTCCTTATGATAAGGCAGGGAAAAACCATCCCTTTTTTTCATTAGAATCCAAACTATGATAAAGGAGACAGAAAGACACCAGCAAATTGAGCAAAATGTTTACATTTATATTGAAATATACACTAAAACAGAATGAGTTCTACTAGTCAATGAAACTTTGCCAAAGCAAAATCACAAACTTCCAATGGGGAGGTCCAGTCAG
Source organism: Homo sapiens (assembly GCF_000001405.40). Classification (NCBI taxonomy): domain Eukaryota; kingdom Metazoa; phylum Chordata; class Mammalia; order Primates; family Hominidae; genus Homo; species Homo sapiens. Next base: position 117,170,929 of record NC_000011.10, on the reverse strand, counting down.
CTAGCAGCAGTGATCCCCAAGCAGGAACACCAAGAAACCTGGGGGACCCCTCTCCAAAAAGCCTCCTTTCAAGAGGCCCTAACTCACTTCTCCCACATGCACCCACACGGATTTAGGAGCTTGGACATGCTCCTCATTTCCATATATTTTTAGTTTCTTCTTCACTGCAATAAATATAAAGTTGGCAATGCTCATACACCACAGCACAGACAATATTTCAGGCTTTAGCATACAATTGTAAACAGTGACTAGGTTAAAAAAATAAAATAAAGTAAGTTGGACTTTTTTTTTTTTTTTTTTTTTAAACAGACAAAATTCCTAAGAGCCGGGCATGAGCTACTCAAGATTTGTTTTGTTGGGTTAAGGTTTCTGACAAAAGATTCTGGTTTAGGCAGATGCCCCTGACAGTTCAAGTAGCCTCACGGTGGTAGCCAGAGCGCTGTCTACGGCGACCGAGAACACATGGACTGGAAGACAGCCTGCCCTAGATCACCCGTGGCAGTACATCTTCAAGCTGCCACATTCAACATATGACCACAGACATCTTTATAGTTCCATCACTGGCTGCCATCTAGTATAGCAGGAATGCGTGGGCGAAGGAATACAAATTTGCTGGGAGAGGAAGAGAATAGTATCTCTGCTAGCTGCCTGGAAAGTTGGCCCCTTAATCACAATGACAACTAGGACATTTCACTTGGACAGTGCATTAAATTTATAGATTTTTTAAAAAGTACAAAGACTAAGCAGTAAGTTCTGTCACTGACGCAAACTAGGATGTCAAAGAAAAATAGATTAACTATTTTTACCTAAAGTAGTGCAAAGAAATCTGGCAAAAAATGAAAGTGAACTCAATATCTGCACATCAGTAATGGGGCAGAATTTTATTTAAAAGGCTAGTGGTTCAAATACTATTGCTTGAATAGCTCTGGTAGATATAAAATGTAGTAACATCTGAGGTTTGTACACATGAGCAAAGGAGCTGAGGGCCAGCTCACAAAGGGATATTTGATCCTCAGTCAAGAGAGAAGCTAAAAGCGCATGCTGCAGGAGTAACCTAATGGATTTATTTGGACCATACTCCCACCTTCTGACAAACAGAAAAAGACGTGGATAGAAAACTGTCTTTCCACACACAAAAATCTGGCTTAATTCTTCTTGCTATACAACTATACCTCAGCTAAGAAAAAAATCTCTTGTGAAAAACTCAACCTGGGCTACTAAAAATAAAAAGGAAATTTTTAATGTCGTAAACAAGTTTAGTAAACACCATGTGGATTTTCTGTTGTTAATGAAGACATGATACATTCAAAAAAGTATGTATTTTTTAAAAAGAACAAAACCAAAAAATTTTCTAGAAAGAGACTTCACAAGAAAAAAATGAGCCCAAGGTTCATCCCTCAATCAGAAATCGGTCTTAGCACGCATCAGTAAGCCCTCCTCCAACATACAAAAGCACTGAAATTTGCCTTTCAAGTACGTTACTGAATTTAAACATTAAGCGGAATCACTGCAGAGCATATTTTGATGGGTTACTTCAATACCCACCTGGTCCAGTTCAAAATATCTATAGATCCAGTTTGTACATATTCCACAGGTATACTGATAAAATCATCTATTATCCCATTTTTTTTAATGGCAGTTCTTATATAGCTCGAACATTAAGATCAACAAATTCTCAGATGAAGTACATTAATAAGACACCTCAGAAGTGAAACAAACCTAGTTTTTACTAAAATGATGGGATAAAGGTAGTGTCTATGCTGAAGAGCAGCTTCACTTGTTTCCCCACAGAAAAAGGCCCAAAATTTTTGGAGGATAATTTAAAAACTAAGCCAATAAGGCCAGGCACGGTGGCTCATGCCTGTAATCCCAGCACTTTGGGAGGCCAAGGCGGGCAGATCACCTGAGGTCAGGAGTTCGAGACCAGCCTGGTTAACATGGCGAAATCCCGTCTCTAATAAAAATATAAAAATTAGCCGGGCATGGTGGCATGCACCTGTAATCCCAGCTACTCAGGAAGCTGAGGCAGGAGAATCATTTGAACTCGGGAGGTGGAGGCTGCAGTGAGCCAAGATCACACCATTGCACCCCAGCCTGGGCAACAGTGAAACTCCATCTCAAACAAAACAAAACAAAAAACAACTAAGCCAATAAAAAAAATAAAATATACACCTTAAGATATTATAAAACTTGAAATAATGTCAGGTGCTATGGAATGGGAAACAAGAGTTCTGAATCCCCCCACCCCCAAAAAAAACTGTTAACAGGTTTTAAGGGAAAAACAAAACCAGAACTCCGAATATGAACAGCAATACACAGAATCTATAGCACAGAACACCACACAAGAATGAGTTTTATAGCAGTACTATCATGAGAGTAACTGGCTGGAGACTATACTTCCAGCAACAGGGCTCCTAGGTCAAAAATGTGTTAAAAGCTTGTAATGTCAACAAGAACCAAAAAAAAAAAAAAAAAAAAAAAAACGGGGTGGCGGGGGGAATGAAGGGGAAAGGGGGGCATGAAGGGGAATAAGGAGGAAAGGCTGCATGCACGGGTCTATTATAGACATGATATTCAGCAGCATAAAAAATAATACCCTCCAAAGAATCCCTCTACTGGGGCAAAACCTGTTTTTCACTGCTAAGCATGGAAAAGATTAAGAAAGCAGAACAAATTCACTTCTAACTATAGCATCTTCCATATATCAATGACAAGCATGTTCAACCTGATGCTACATGTTAATAAAATATTCAGTATACATAAGAATCTAAGCAACATAAAAACAAAAGGCTAAATTATGAACCTTAAAAAAATTGGAGAAAACATGTTTTAAAGCCAAGTAGAATGATTCTGATAATTATTATATATGACATAATCCACAGAAAGGCCAAGAAAAGAATCTTCATATTGTTCAGTATTTAGGCTTGATGTTGTCCCAAGAAAACAGTGATAATAATTCAATGAATGTGTTACACATACAACTAAAAAGTCCCCTTCTGGTTTCAAATGAATTTAAACAACAATCTTCCTTGGCTAATTTTTCTCCTCTGTCAAACAAACCTTCTATGTACAGGACCAGTTTAAATCCCTCCTCCCCTTCAAACACTAGATATGAACATCCAGGAACATTCTACAATGCAAAGTGCCTTAAGAAAGAGAAGGATTCTGTAGTGCCAGTGATAGAACTGATCTGAGGAAGCTGAGATGCTATTAACACTGATAAGAGCCAGTCAGGCAATGGTGGTTTGTTTCTCCTCAGGTGTTTCCTCCAACAACTGCATGATCAGTTCATGCAGGGGTTTGCAGATCTTTGCATAGCCCCCTCCTGTCAGATGCAGAAAATCAAACATGTCGTGGCAGGAGATGGCACCGTCCGAGTGCACAAAACCCCCGTCGGTATCCAGGAGCTGCACGTTGGCAAGCTTCGGCAGCGAAACCTTGAGGAGTTGGTTCACCTTGGCGTTCTTTTGCCTCAAAGGATTGGGTTTCTCACCTCGAGGTAACAAACCCTGGGGCACAGTGGAAAACATTAAATTAGAAGATTCACTTATTTTTCTCTACTTATTATTTATAACTTCAGATATTCCTGGAACATCTCCATTTGGCACTTTCTACACCTTTGAGTTGTGAAACATTGGAAAATACTGTTTTGAATGAAAGCTAACCATTTCTTCTTAGTTTTTTCATGGGTTCCCTTCCTCCTGTCCCTTAACTGTTGGTATTCTTCAAGGACCTGTCCTCTGGCCCACTACTCTAAATACTTTAGCCAGATCTCTTCCTAGAGCTTCAGAATTACATATGAAACTTCTAAGCTACAGAAAGAAATTTAAATGTTCCCAAGGCACTCCCAACTGATCCAAAAGCAATTCATTAAACTATGCTCTTCCTCTTTATCAACTGGTCATTCCAACATCTGCAAGTCTCACATCCCATATATCTTATCTATTTATCATTAAATTATTCAACTTTTGCATCCTAAATGTCATTTTCTTGTCTCCATCCTGATTATATACACTGCTATAGCTCAGGAACTTATCTCCAATCATCTTAATTACTATAAAACCTCCTGATTGGTCTTCCCACCTCCAACGTTGTCTACCCTTCAATCCATTCTCCATTTGGCTGTCAGAATAATCAAGCTCATAGATACACATCATCTATTAATGCCACATGGAACCCACACCATAATATACTATGAGAAAAAGAGGTGGAATGAATGCTGTCTTGATGAATCAGAGCTATTCACCCTGGAATAACCCTGGAATAACTGTTTTAATTTTGTCTTCTTGTAGCCCTTTTCCAATTGCATAGATACTAGGATTAGGCATGAGCTACCATGCCCAGCAAAGCAATTCAAAAACATTTTCACTTAAATACACCATAAAGTCTGTTTGCACACAGCCCTCATAATTGTAATGTGATTACTGCTATCATATTCAATGACTTATACAATCATTTCCATGATACTACTATTTAGGTTATTTCCAAAGTTTTAGTATTATGGACAACACCATAATTAACACTTTTGTATATCCAATTTAAAAACAAAGAATATGGAAGGCTTATTGAGCAACATTCATACAACAAATATTTCCTAAGCAAATACTATGTACTAGTCACTGTACTTAACAGGTGGACTCTTAACACAATCCTTTCTGGAATAAGGCAGGTATAAATAAGTACCTCAACAAGTAAATGAAATGCCTTGTAATAAAAAAGATCTGGCCCCCCAGCAACTGTGGATAAAATCCAAACATCCCAACAGCATATGAATTCCTACATGACCTGGTCTGGCGCAGTGGCTCACGCCTGTAATCCCAGCACTTTGGGAGGATGAGGCGGGCAGATCACGAACGAGGTCAGGAGTTCGAGACCAGCCTGGCCAATATGGTGAAACCCCGTTTCTACTAAAAACAAACAAAAATTAGCCGGGCATGGTGGCATGCACCTGTAGTTCCAGCTACTTGGGATTTGAGGCAGAAGAATCACTTGAACCCGGGAGGCGGAGGTTGCAGTGAGCTAAGATCACGCCACTGCACTCCAGCCTGGGCAGTAGAGCGAGACTCCATCTCAAATTAAAAAAAAAAAAAAAAAATCCTACATGACCTGGTTGTGGCCTCCTTCTCCTAACCATCCCAGGCTCAAACTTTATGCAGCCTCCTCTGCTCACCCAACAAACACATACATGTACAAGCCTTTGCTCAATTCTCTTTATTTTTCTATAATACCTTCCTTCTTTCCCTATTTGTCTGGAAACCAATGAAGTCTTTGAATGCAGATGTCAACTTTTGTTAAACACGTTTTCACCTTACTCTAAACAGCACACAGTATAATAATTCTGTGTTGCTGTCTCCATACACTAGACTGTGAGCTCCTTGAGACCGAAACTATGTCTTACTCATTTTTGTATGCTCAAGAACTAGGATAGTGCCTTGTACACAGTGATCCTCAGGTTTTTTGAGTAAATGACTATCTTCCTAACACCATCTCACTAAAGAACTAAATTTGTATCAGATTTTGCTAAAACATGTTTCAAACTGACTAAGAATATCTACAGCTAGACATTTTTTTTTTTTTTTTGAGACCGAGTTTTGCTCTGTTGCCCAGGCTGGAGTGCAGTGGCACGATCTCGGCTCACTGCAACCTCCACCTCCCAGGTTTAAGAAATTCTCTGCTTCAGCCAGGCGTGATGGCTCACGTCTGTAATCGCAGCACTTTGGGAGGCCAAGGCAGGCAGATCACGAGGTCAGGAGATCGAGACCATGGCTAACACGGTGAAACCCCATCTCTACTAAAAATACAAAAAATTAGCCGGGTGTGGTGGCGGGCGCCTGTAGTCCCAGCTACTCGGGAGGCTGAGGCAGGAGAATGGTGTGAACCTGGGAGGCCGAGCTTGCAGTGAGCCGAGATCATGCCACTGCACTCCAGCCTAGGCGACAGAGCGAGACTCTGTCTCAAAAAAAAAAAAAAAGAAAAAAGAAATTATCTGTTTCAGCCTCCCGAATAGCTGGGATTACAGGCACGTGCCACCACGCCCAGCTAATTTTTTTGTATTTTTAGTAGAGACGAAGTTTCACCATCTTGGCCAGGCTGGTCTTGAAATCCTGACCTTGTGATCCACCCGCCTCGGCCTCCCAAAGTGCTGGGATTACAGACGTGAGCCACCACACCCGGCCTACAGCTAGACTTTTATACTGAAACAGACAGCTGTTCACCTTTGAGACCATGAAGAGTTAATGCTTTAATTCTACAAAAGGGTAGCACCTTTCTGTTCAGGGTACAACTATAAAGTATCCATTTTCTTGCTGATGAAATTTTTTATGTTTTAGAGAAGATTAGAATGTCTAATATACCACCTTTAACATATTAGCAGTAAAACAGGACACTTACAAAGTAATCCAAATATAGGTCTAATAAAAAGACTCAGGATTCAGACAAATCTCATGTGCCATTGTGCAAAAAATTATGGAGGCCAAAAAAAGGAGTACTGAGGCACCAAACGGCTTCCATACTTTTTTTTTTTGAGACGGAGTCTCGCTCTGTCACCCAGGCTGGAGTGCAGTGGCACAATCTCTGCTCACTGTAAGCTCTGCCTCCCAAGTTCACGCCATTCTCCTGCCTCGGCCTCCCGAGTAGCTGGGACTACAGGCGCCTGCCACCACACCCGGCTAATTTTTTGTATTTTTATTAGAGACAGGGTTTCACCGTGTTAGCCAGGATGGACTTGATCTCCTGACCTCGTGATCCGCCCACCTTGGCCTCCCAAAGTGCTGGGATTACAGGCGTGAGCCACAGCGCCTGGCCACGGCTTCCATACTTCTAAACAAGGATGCGTGGATAAAAGATGGCCCCACAGCTGGTATGGGGAATGATGAAACCAGTAAGACAGTAAAATACATTAAAGAAGAGGTCAACGAAAGTATGATAAACTGCTTCCACCTCAAGGTTCTCTAATATTCATGAGCAATCACATTTCTAAAAAGATTCCTCAGCTGACCTAAAGATAACAAACTCTCTACCCACCAACGACTACATACCAATACAATGATTTTGGCCTGTGGCTGCCTTGTGTTGATAAGTTGTACAATGGCCTCGATCCCACCTGCTACTTCTTCTGCTGTATTTTCGTGGTTATTTGTTCCTACCCAGACAACAATGACCTGCAATTGAAGAAAAAAGGGGGGAAGGAGAAGATAAATACCCAGGAACAAAGGAACGTCCAACATTTAGATGAAAATCTTTTTTTTTTTTTTTTTTGAGATGGGGTCTCGCTCTATCACCCAGACTGGAGTGCAGTGGCACCATTTCGGCTCACTGCAACCTCCGCCTCCCAGGTTCAAGTGATTCTCCTGCCTCAGCCTCCCGAGTAGCTGGGACTACAGGCATGTGCCGCCACGCCCAGCTAATTTTTGTATTTTTAGTAGAGACCAGGGTTTCACCACGTTGCCCAGGCTGGTCTCAAACTCCTGACCTCAGGTAATCCACCCACCTTGGCATCCCAAAGTGCTGGGATTACAGGTGTGAGCCACCACGCCCGGCCGAAAATCTTATTTCAAAAAGCAAAGAAGGAAAGATAAACTTTTCAAATGGTGTTGGCTAACTTCAACTGGGCAGCTATCCTATTAAATTTTCTTTTAAGAGATAGAGGGTCATGCTATATTGCCCAGGCTGGTCTTAAACTCCTGGGCTCAATCCATCTTTCTTTGGCCTCCCAAAATGCTGGGACTACAAATGTTGAGCCAGGGCAGAAATCTTAATGCATCGATTTATGCCTCCTATCATATATCAGGATAAATTCCAAGGGGAATAATATTTAAGTGGTAAAATTGTACTAGGAGGAAACAAGAGAGAATTATATCATCATGCAGCAGGAAGCTGATTTCTCAAAATCCAAAAATTATACAAAAAAGATTAATAAACTGTATAAAAATAAAACCTGGCCAGGCACAGTGGGTCACATCTATAATCTCAATGCTTTGGGACACTGAGGTGGGAAGATTGATTCAGCCCAGGAGTTCAAGACTGCAAGTAAGCCATGATCATGCCACTGCACTCCAGCCTGGGTGACACAGCAAGAACCTGTCACGGTATAAATACACAGGTACACTCAAGGAAAAGAGTCACAGAGGTGGAGGCTGGATGCAACTTTAACAAATTTTTCTATTTATTTATTTTTGAAACGGAGTCTTCCTCTGTCACCCAGGCTGGAGTGCAGTGGTGTGATCCTGGCTCACTGCAACCTCCATCTCATGGGTTCAAGTGATTCTCCTGCCTCAGCTTCCTAAGGTGTGTGACACCATGCCTGGCTTTTTTTTTTTTTTTTTAAATCTAGAGACAGGGTTTCACCATGCTGGCCAGGGTGGTCGTGAACTCCTAGCCTCAAGTGATCTGCGTGCCTCAGCCTCCCAAAGTGCTAGGATTACAGGCATAACCCACCACGCTGATCCATCAAGTTTTTCTCTTTAGAGAAAAAAAAAAAAAATCACAGTCTCGCATGGTAGCTCAAGCCTATAATCCCAGTATTTTAGGAGGCCGGGGCGGGAGGATCATCATCTGAGGCCAGGAGTTTGACACCAGCCTAGGCAACATAACAAGACCAAGACCCTGTCTACAAAAAGAAATTTAAAAATTAGCTAAGCATGGTGGCACATGCCTGCAGTCCTAGCTATTTGGGAGGCTGAGGCCATAGGATCATCCGAGTCCAACAGTTTGAGGTTACAGTGAGCTATAATCATGCCACTGCATTCTAGTTTGGGCAACAGAGAGAACCTGTCTTAAAACAAACAACTTTCAATGAAAGCACGTTTTGTCAGGGCTCAGTTTTTGTTCTTTTTTGGGAGCTGAAACAATTATATACAGTGTGCCAACTCAGAGTATTTATGATATAAGATACTGGGTAGAAATGTTCATTTGTTCACATCTGCTTCTAATTTTCTTCAGATGAACTTGCAGGCCTCGATTACTGACCTGTTTATATGGTTAAACAGATCCAAAATTACTTCCTAAAGTTAATCATGGCCCTGCTCCCATGGCCCACCTCTGAGCAGTTTTCCCTCATACTGCCCGAGATCTATGCATTCCACAGAATAGCATACCTCGTTAGCATCAAATCTCTTCCTTCAGCCAGGCGCGGTGGCTCATGCTTGTAATTCTCCAGCACTTTTGGGAGGCCGAAGCGGGTGGATCACAAGGTCATGAGTTCAAGACCAGCCTGGCCAAGATGGTGAAACCCCATCTCTACCAAAAATACAAAAATTAGCTGGGCACAGTGGCGGCGCCTGTAATCCCAGCTACTCGGGAGGCTGAGGCAGGAGAATCGCTTGAACCCAGGAGGCGGAGGTTGCAGTGAGCTGAGATCACACCACTGCACTCTAGCCTGGGTGACAAAGCAAGACTCCATCTCAAAAAAAAAAAAAACTCTTCCTTCAACTTAAGAAAGTAATTATAACAACTATAAATACAACCCAATAGGCAAACAATTCACTAGTTTCTTAATTATATATTTTGGCATATTCTCAAGCAATGACAGTATCATTTACCTTAAAGAGGCACGAAAAAAATAGTGAAATAGGTCTTTAAAGAAGCAATTTTTTTTTACAGTTTCAGACAATTTAACTATCCAAAACAGACTTAAGATTAATGACATTGACAAGTAACTTTCATTTCACCTTAGGCTTAATATTCTCCAGTTCTCCATTCTTTAGTCTCCACAAAACATGTCTTGTTGTATCTCCCCCAATTCCAAAATTCAGTGCATGAAGTGGGGAAAAAAGCTCTCGCCATATCTAAAAAAAGAAAAACTTGATTTAGTGTACCTAAAACTAGGGGAAAGTTTAATCTTTCGACTGCAATGTGTTGCAAGGCATTAATTTCCTTTTTCTGTATTCAAAGATAACACTGTAATGGTGTGACACTGTTTAAGGGCTTTTAAGATACCATTGTGTAACTCAGTTCTTAATGCAGCCTTAGGTCTCAGCTCAAGAAATGAGTCACAACTCAATCTGATGCCCCCTAAAAGGTATCAACATTAATAATTAAGCTGTCAACTCAACAAACCCTCCTTTCCACTTATTGAACTACAGAAACAGGGTGAAGTAGAAACAAGAGATGAAGAAATTTAGAGTGCTAGAGCTTAAAAAAAAAAAAAAAAGCTATCTTTTAAATTTCCCTTGGGGCTGGGCACAGTGGCCCATGCCTATAATCCCAGCACTCTGTGAGGCCAAGGCACGTGGATCATTTGAGGCCAAGAGTTCGAGACCAGCCTGGCCAACATAGTGAAACCCCGTCTCCACTAAAAATACAAAAATCAGTCAGGCATGGTGGCACATGCCTATAATCCCAACTACTCAGGGGCTGAGGTATGAGAATCTCTTGAGCCTGAGATTGTGCCACTGCACTCCAGCCTCGACGATGGAGCGGGACTGTCTCAAAAAAATAAATTAAAAAATAAAAAAACTAATAAATTTCCCATGGAAGAATGCCTAAACCCTAAAAGAAGATTGGCAATAGCTTACTACAAAAATATATGAAATAGGAAAATGGCAAAATATAAGTAAGAATCATGACTAGGATAAATGTTATTAGCAAATACAAATAGGAAATACTAAGATACAAATAATAACTTGACAATCTGAGTAGAGCAAATATAAACAAATATAACATCAAGCCTCTTGGAAACCAGAGTAGAAGAGGAAGTTTCATTATAAACAATGCTTCAGATCAGAACATGGCCAAGTTAAAAGAAAGAAAAGAAAATCCCTTTAGGTAGCTTTGATTCTCTTATAACCTCAATTAGGGCTTCTCTAAGAGTCACAAATAAGTAAGTTCAGCTCAGAATGAAAGTCTGTTAGTAATGAATGGATATACATGAGTAGCCAAGAACCACGCTCATCCCTTCCACCTTTACCTCATATTGCTGCATTAACTGCACCATGGAGTCTCCCACGAACAGTACATCAGGCTCTTTGTCTTTACAGTCCAAAACAAATCTGTTGTGCTGGTTTGAAGAAGAAAAAAAAAAATTATTAACTGGCACTTCTGGCTGGGTGTGGTGGCCCATGCTTGAACTCTCAACATTTTGGGAGGCCAGGACAGGAGAATAACTTGAGGTCAGGAGTTTGAGATCAGCCTGGGTAATATATCAAGATCCCATCTCTACAAAAACAACTTTTTTCTTTCTTTTTTTTTTTTTTTCTAAGACAGCGTCTGGCTCTCTCACCCAGGCTGGAGTACAGTGGCGTGATCTTGGCTCACTGCAACTTCTGCTTCAGGGGCTCAAGTCATCTTCCCACCTCAGTCACCTGAATAGCTGGGATTATAGGCTCATGCCACCATGCCTGGCTAATTTTTTCTATTTTTTTGTAGAGACGAGGTTTTACCATGTTGCCCAGGCTGGTCTTGAACTCCTGAGCTCAAGCAATCTGCCCACCTTAGCCTTCCAAAGTGCTGGGATTACAGGTGTGAGCCACACATCTAGCCAAAAAAAAATTTTTTTAATAAAAAAAGAAACTGATATTTCTTTCCCTGTGAGACTTCTTGGCCTAGAAAGAACAGCTGTTCAACCAGTTACTGTTGTTGAACATTTTTTTTAGTCTATCCCCAAAGCTTATTCCTCTCATTCTATAAATTACTGTTTGAACTTTCTTCTCACCCTTACCATACAGAGCATTCTAGTACTCTCAAGAAACCCAGAATTCTACTGAAACCAGAATAGAAAAATACATGTAACATGCTGTTTAGAAGTTTATCTTTTCCTCAAACTTTTATTAAGAAAATTGTAGATACACAGAAAGTTGACATATTACAATGAACACATATACATCTGCCTCTTGTATTCAACAACTAATAGTATTTTCCCATGTTTGCTTTGTTTCTATGTATGTGTGCATGTTTGCTGGACCACTTGTGAAGTAGAATGCAAACATTATGATTCTTCACCCTAATCAGCAAGCATCTCCTAAGAGTAAGAACATCCTCTTATAAAACCAAATGGTGCGGTGGCTCACGCCGGTAATCCCAGCACTTTGGGAGGCCAGGGTGGGCAGATCACCTGAGGTTGGGAGTTCGAGACCAGCCCAGCCAACATGGTGAAACCCCGCCTCTAATAATAATACAAAAATTAGCCAGGTGTGGTGGCGGGTGCCTGTAGTCCCAGCTACTCAGGAGGCTAAGGGAGGAGAATCGCCTGAACCTGGGAGACGGAGGTTGCAGTGAGCCGGGATCATGCCATTACACTCCAGCCTAGGCGACAAGAGCGAAACTCCATCTTAAAAAAAAAAAAAAAAAAAAAGCCCACAAACTATTATCATAACTAGGAAAAGAAACAATCCCATAACATTCAATTTTTCAAATGGCTCCAAGAGTTCAATAAAGTATTATATCATTTTCTCAACTATGATCCAATGAGGATCCATGTATTTTATTTGAATGCAGACTTTGAAAATATCTGTTAACTTCCAAATGTGAGACACCGGCAAACTAGGACTCAATCCTTTTCAGTCAAATCCAAGTTTATAAACAGTGGTAATCTCCGCCCAGAGTGCCTCTTTCTGTTATAAAGGCACAAGACACTCTCTAAAATAGATTTTGGCCAGGTGTGGTGGCTCATGTCCATAATCTTAGCACTTTAGGAGGCCAAGGTGTGAAGGATAGCTTGAGCCCAGGCATTCGAGACCAGCCTGGGCAACATCATGAGACCCCTTCACTATGAAGAAAAGAAAGAAAGAAAAAAGAAAACAAATTTTACCCATCAATGCTAAAGAACATAGTTTAAACTTTTTATTTTACTTTTTGGAGATGGAATCTCACTTTATCACTCAGGCTGGAGTGTAGTGGCGCGATCTTAGCTCACTGCAACCTCCACCTCCCGGGTTCAACCAATTTTTGTGCCTCAGCCTCCCGAGTAGCTGGGATTACAGGCGCCCACCACCATGCCCAGCTAATTTTTGTATTTTTAGTAGAGATGGGGTTTCACCATGTTGGTCAGGCTGGTCTCGAACTCCTGACCTCAGGTGATCCACCCGCCTCAGCCTCCAAAAGTGCTGGGATTACAGGCGTGAACTACCGTGCCAGACCAGTTTAAACTTTTATATTCATCCCTTAAACAAATTTATACAGTGCTCTAGGTCTGTAATGTAGGTCTAGGAAAAGGCCTACTCTCTTTTTTTCCCAAAGATGGGGTCTCACTATGTTGCCCAGACTGGACTGAATTCCTGGGCTCAAGTGACCCTCCTGCCTTAGCCTCCCAACTAGCTAGGACTACAGGAATGCTCTATCATGCCTAGGTTTCCAATGCTGTTTCCTTTTCTCAAACTCTGCATTCAACTTTGTTTCCCTTAGGAATTAAGGAAGAGTTACTATTTAAGTATTTCTGTTGACAATACCAATGCAGATGAGGCTGTGGTAAAACTCAGATATTCATCCACAGGTGAAGTGTAAAGTGACAAAAATACTTCTGGAAATAATTTTACAGATTATGAAAACACCTCTGGTCAGGTGTGGCAGCTCACGCCTGTAATCCTAGGCCTCTGTGAAGCCAAAGTGAGCAGATCACATGAGCTCAGGAGTTCAAGACCAGCCTGGGCAACATGGCAAAACCCCATCTCTAATTAAACAAACAAACAAACTATATATATATATATATTCATTTATTTATTTAAAAAAGAAAACAAAACACTTCCTCTCTTAGGGTGACAGGATTAGGGACAGCTTTTTCCTTGCTTCCATATTTTGTGCAAACACGTATTTTAAAAATTACTATTGTTTCAGTAAATATTTTTAAACTGAGGAGATATGAGAAAGAATAAAAGTTTAGTGAATAGGTGCTTTTTCCTATCATGTCAACTCCCTATTGCAGGTACTGTAGTACCAACTACCTTTCTTTTTTTTTTTCTTTTTTGAGATTTTGAGACAGGGTTTCACTCTGTCACCCAGACTACTGGAGTACAGTGGCAGCTATGAGGGGCAGCTCACTGCAGCCCCAACCTCCCAGGCTCAGGCTGGGGAGGGCTTACGTGATCCTCCCTGCCTCAGCCTCAGGCGCATTTCACCATATCCGGCTTTTATTTTTGGCATTTTTTGTAAAGATGGGGTTTTGCTATGTTTCCCAGGCTGGTCTGGAACTCAAGCGATCCACTCACCTCTGCCTCCCAAGGTGCTGAGAGATCACAGGCCTGAGCCACCGTGCCCGGCCCCAACTACCTTTCAACACCAATAAAATAGCTTGCATTTGTAGAGTCGTGGAATTTAAGACTGCTATGCTAAAGGTTCTAGTACTTTTCTCCTAAAGTGTAATAGTTGTAATAAATTTGGAAAAATAGAAAGGACCAAAACAACACATCTATAATCCTACCACCTTAACCTAGTAACTATGACCATGCTTGAGTGTTTTCTCCTCATCTTTTTTCATGTCCTCTGTTACCCCTTTTACATAGTTTAAGCATCATGGACACCTCTTTCTGGCACTATATGTCTGGGGCCAGAAAAACCAACATTCAAATTCTAGCTTACCTACTTTCCAGTCCAGTGATCTTAAGAAAGTACATAATTTGTGTCTTGGTTTTAACATCTGCTGGCAACTCCATTTTAGAGTTGTTAAAGAGTCCCAGCTATTGACTGGCACCCACTAGGTACTTGATAAATGGTAGCCGTTATAGTTGCACTTAACATCATACTAGAACCATTTTTCTATGTAGCAATGCAGTTTTTATAATCATAACTTTTAATGGCCATATATTCTTTTCTAGAGACAGGGTCTTGCTCCGTCACCGAGGGTGGAGTGCAGTGCATGATCACAGCTTACTACAGTCTCAAACTCCCAGACTCAAGCAATCCTCCTGCCTTGGCCCCCCAGTAGCTGGGACTACAGGCACACACCACCATGCCCAGTGAATTTTTTTTTCTATTTTTTGTTGAATCAGGGTCTTGGTGTGTTTCCTAGGCTGCACTTCTGGCCTCAAACAATCTACTGGCCTCAGCCTCCCAAAGTGCTGGGACTACAGGTATGAGCCACTACACATAATATACTCTACTGAATGCACTCAACGACACATTTTTGTTTGCTATTTTGGGGGGTGAGGGGAATGAGGGTCTATGTTGCCGAGGCTGGTCTTGAACTCCTGTGCTTAAGCAATCCTCTTGCCTCAGCCTCCCAGGTCACACTCTTCTTCCTGTGGACAGACTTGCCAGTGGCCTCTTTTTGTGAATCTAGTAAGTGTGATAAAGGGATATATATATATATAATTTTTCCTACACTGGAAATTCTTAGTCAAAATAAATCAGTATTTTTATGGATTTTGGACATATTTCCAAATTCTCAACAAAAGGGCTATATGCTAATCTGTAAGGACTCCAGCAATATATTAGAACTGGTTTTACTGTACTTGAACCTGAATTAGATATTAACGTTTCTCTTTCTTTCTCTTCCTAATGTTTTAATTTACACTTTTTGGAAACAAAGTTACACTTCCTATCATGTCTACTGAAATACTTATATATTAGTTCCTTTAGGATATTTTTATTGATAATATAAGGTATCTATGCTTCATCTATAATATTTACTGCGTTTATTTTCCTTAGTCTGCTGCTGAGCCTTATTTTTCTGGTTAATATGTTTTGATACGATTTCTATTCTATTTGGCAAGTCTTTCAACACTACCCTTAAGAAAACCTTTTAGGCCAGGGATGTGGTGGCTCACGCCTGTAATCCCAGCATTTTGGGAGGCTAAGGTGCGTGGATCACCTGAGGTCAGGAGTTCAAGACCGGCTTGACCAACACGGGGAAACCTCGTCTCTACTAAAAAAACACAAAAATTAGCCGGGCATGGAGGTGGGTGCCTGTAATCCCAGCTATTCAGGAGGTAGAAGTTGCAGCGAGCCAAGATCACACCACTGCACTTCAGCCTGGGTAACACAGTGAGACTCCATCTCAAAAACAAAAACAAAACAAAACCTTTTTATTACGCAAAATATCAAATGTATACAAAAGCCGAGAGAATAACATCTCCATTCAGAGAGAATAAACCTCCATGTATCAATTACCAGCTACAGCAATCATTTATGGCCTGCATTATTTCAGTCATACTCCCAACTACTGCCCCACTCCATCCCCAGACTATTTTGAAGCAAACTGAGGATATATCATTCCAAGTATAAATATTTCAGTATGCAATGCTTAAAAGATTTTTAAAGTCAGGCACGGTGGCTCATGCCTGTAATCCCAACACTTTGGGAGGCTGAGGCAGGAGGATCACTTGAGGCCGAGAGTTCAAGATCATCAGCCTGGGCAATATAGTGAGACCCTATCTCCACAAAAAATAATAAAAAAAATTAGCCCGGCATGGTGGCATGCACCTGTGGTCCCAGCTACTTGAGAAGCGGTGGTGGATCACTTAAGCCCGGGAAGCCAAGGCTGCAGTAATGGTGCAAGCTGTAATGGTGCAAGCTGTAATGGTGCCACTGCACTCCAGCATGCTTGACAGAGCAAGATTCTGTCTCCAAAAAAATTTTTAAAATATTTGTGTTTTTCTTCCATTTGACTGATTTTTCTACAGCCAGAGCTCATTGAAGCCTATTAACTTAAGACAAGAATAATGAAGATATCTAGTTTAGTTACTACTTTTCTTTTCTTTTCCTTTCCTTCGTCTTGAACTCCTGGGCTCAAGCGATTCACCTGCCTCAGCTTCCCAAAGTGCTGAGATTACAGGTGTGAGTCACTACTCCTGGCCTAGTTACTATTCATAAAGGTATAAATGATCCAGATGTCCATGAAAGAAAAAATGGGCAAATCAACTGTGGTATACTTCTTTTTTTTCTTTTTGAGATAAGGTCTCAATCTGTCACCCAGGCTGGAGTGCAGTGGCACAATTATAGTTCATTGTAGCCTTAATATCCTGGGCTCAAGTGATCCTCCCGCCTTGACTTCCCAACCTGCCCTGGCCTCCTAACGTGCTGGGATTACAGGCATGAGCCACTGTATACTGCCCTGTCTTAAAAAAAAAAAAAGAAAAGAAAAAAATATTGGGACAACTGGAGAAATCTGAATATGGTCTTTGGATTAAGTAATAATAGTATTATATCAATATTACATCTCATGATTTTAATAACTATCCTATAGTTATTTAAGAAAAGTCCTTGTTTTTAAGAAAACATGCTGAAATATTCAGGGATAAGGGAAATGAGTGCAAATGCTTCAGAAAAACCCACTACGTTAGTATATACATATAGAAATAGATATAGACACAGCAGGGCATGGTGGCTCACGCCTGTAATCCCAGCACTTTGGGAGGCCTAGACAGGCAGATCACTTGAGGTCAGGAGTTTGAAACCAGCCTGGCCAACATGGCAGAACCCTGTCTCTACTAAAAATACAAAAATTAGCTGAGCGTGGTGGCGGGCGCCTGTAATCCCAGCTACTTGGGAGGCTAAGACACAAGAATATCTTGAACCCAGGGTGGCAGGGGGGTGGAGGCTGCAGTGAGCCAAGATTGCACCACTGCACTCCAGCCTGGGCAAGAGTGAGACTCCATCTCAAAAAACCAACAACAACAACAAAAAAAAAACTAAAACAAAATAGATACAGACACAATAATTAGGCAGATACGGTAAAATGTTAACAATTGGTGAGTCTAGATGAAGATACTTCTTTCTAAATTTCTGTAACATTTGTGTAGTTTTGAAATTACTGCAAAATAAAAAAACTTAAAATATTTCCCAGTTCCAACATCAGAATGGTGAAGAGGCAGGACATTTGTAACATTACATTTTTACTTACAGTAACAAATTCTTGTTGACTATTAAAATCCCCCTTTGTACAACCTGTCACGGGTCACAAGGTTACAGTTTTTTTGTTTGTTTTTTGTTTGTTTTGAGATGCAGTCTTGCTCTGTTGCCAGGCTGGAGTGCAGTGGCACAATCTCGGCTCACTGCAACCTCCGCCTCCTGGGTTCAAGCGATTCTCCTGCCTCAGCCTCCTCAGTAACTGGGACTATAGGCGCCTGCCACCACAACCGGCTAACTTATTTTTAGTAGAGACGGGTTTCACCATATTGGCCAGTCTGGTCTCAAACTCCTGACCTTGTGATCCGCCCACCTCGGCCTCCCCAAGTGTTGGGATTATAGGCGTGAGCCACCATGCCCAGCCTAGAGTTTTGTTTTGTTTTTTTTTTAATTGCCCCTTTGCAGTTTTGGTCAAAAGACCTTAAAATAATTGAAGAAGCCAGGCATACTGATATGTGCCACTAGTCCCAGCTATATGGGAGGCTGAAGTGGGAGGATCACTTGAGCCCTGCAGTTTGAGATCAGCCTGGGCAACACAGTGAGACCTTGTCTCAAAAACTAAAACAAAACAGACAAAAAACTGGAGACTCAACTCATGTGAATGATACACATGCACTTCCTTTTACCTGAGACATCCATCGGTCATCTCCTTGAATATCTTCTGCTGCATGCGGAATAGCTGCTGGGTTTGAGTCTCCTTGGCTCATTCTACACCTGAGAAAAAACGTCTATGTCATGTTTCATTTGTTAACAGGAAGGTTTGTTACCACTTAAATATTATACACATCAGGCTTTAAATAATAATTAAAGTTTTATGTGGTTTGCCTAGAAACAATTGGGAAACTAAACAGAAACAATTACTTTCTGTAGAGATGAATTGCAGAACATGACTAAGTCCCATAAAGATAGCACCACTAAACCGCCAGATAGCTTTGAATATGACTTAGTTGCAGTGCAGTACATTTAAAAAATCTCCTCCAAGTATATACTTTATACCTATATTAGTTTTTTGTGATTATATGTTACTGTAAGTACCAAGTGACACAAGGAGTTATTAGACACTTACAGTACAATTAAATCTACATCAGAGGCTTTTCAGCTGTTAAGAGTTACACACTTACTACTGTTAAGAGTTACAGAATTACTGGCCCTGCACAGTGGCTCACACCTGTAATCCCAGCACTTTGGGAGGCTAGGCGGCAGGTGGATCACGAGGTCAGGAGATCAAGACCATCCTGGCTAACATGGTGAAACCCTGCCTCTACTAAAAATACAAAAAAATTAGCCGGGTGAGGTGGCGGGCGCCTGTAGTCCCAGCTACTTGGGAGGCTGAGGCAGAAGAATGGCGTGAACCCAGGAGGTGCAGGTGGAGCTTGCAGTGAGCCGAGACTGTGCCAATGCACTCCAGCCTGGGCGACTGAGCAAGACTCTGTCTCAAAAAAAAAACACTTACAGAATTACTACTGCAATGATTATAATCCACTGGTTACTAAATAAACATCACACAAATAACTGTAGTACAGATTATGACAAAAGTAGTCATAGGCCTTGGCACTGGTTTTCGACAAATGTTTACTAGGTATTTTTATTTTTGTAAGTTTCCACTAAGAAAATTTTAGAAATGATGGCTGGGTGTGGTGGCTCACGCCTGTAATCCCAGCACTTTGGGAGGCCAAGGCAGGCAGGTCACAAGGTCAGGAGATTGAGACCATCCTGGCCAACATAGTGAAACCCCGTCTCTACTAAAAATACAAAAAATTAGCTGGGCATGGTGGCATGCACCTGTAGTCCCAGCTACTCAGGAGACTGAGGTAGGAGAATCACTTGAACCCGGGAGGCGGAGGTTGCAGTGAGCCGAAATCACACCACTGCACTCCAGCCTGGGTGACAGAGCCAGACTCCATCTCAAAAAAAAAAAAAAGAAAAAGAAAAAATTTTAGTAATGATGAGTCCAAATATGTCATCTAGCAAGTAAAATTCCGCAAAATTAGAACTGCTAATCTTCTATAAATAGAAAGACAAATAAGAAACCAGATTACTTTCAATCAATTCTGCAGAATATACAATAGAAACATTAAACTCCAAATGCAAAGGACTATGAAAAGGAAAAAAATCTGGGGTTTTGCGGTTTATAGAAAAGAAGGTCATCTTTTTTTTTTTTTTTTCTGAGATGGAGTCTTGCTCTGTCACCGAGGCTGGAGTGCAGTGGCGCAATCTCGGGTCACTGCAAGCTCCGCCTCCCGGGTTCACGCCATTCTCCTGCCTCAGCCTCCCAAGTAGCTGGGACTACAAGCGCCCGCCACCACGCCCAGCTAATTTTTTTGTATTTTTAGTAGAGACGGGGTTTCACCGTGTTAGCCAGGACGGTCTCGATCTCCTGAAGAAAAGGAGGTCATCTTCTATATAAGCAATCTTTTTCTTTCCCTTGCCATCCTCAAATACAGCTAAGCTTTCTCAGAAAGAAGATCGAGTTATATTCATTCAATATACATATTTACTGAGTACACAAAACACACTACATTGCCAAAGCAGTAGTTTTTTAGAATCACCAAGTACCAAGCCCCAAACGTGAAAGCATACCTTCACTCAAGAAAAATAAATTACAGAAGCAAATAATACTAACACTAATTATGCAAACAAATTAGCTCAGTTCTAAATGATACTAGAATATCATCATGATTTCAAAAAAAAAAAACAACATCATCGGCTGGGTGCAGTGGCTCATGCCTGTAATCCTAGCACTTTGGGAAGCCAAAGCAGGTGGATCGCTTGAGGTCAGGAGTTCAAGACCAGCCTGGCCAACATGGTGAAACCCCCGTCTCTACAAAAAATACAAAAATTAGCCGGGCATGGTGGAACACGCCTGTAAGCTGCAGCTACTCAGGAGACTGGGGCAGGAGAATCGCTGGAACCTGGCAGGCGGAAGTTGCAGCAACAGAGCAAGACTTCATCTCAAACAAACAACAACCAAAAAATTATTAATTTAAACAATGTGGGAGGTTTTGCTTTATTTTTAAACCAGTAAAACATTCTATACTTTCTACATAAAAGTTTATTTGGGTCTAAGTTCAATTCTAGGCTTAAATCAAATTAAAACTTACATGTTAGTTAATAAAAATTTTTTGAGACAAGGTCTTTTTTTTGTTTTTGAGGTGAAGTCCTGGCCTGTAGCCAGGACTACAGGCATGCACCGCCACACCCAGCTAACTTTTCTATTTTTCTTTTATACAGACAAGGTTTCTCCATGTTGCCCAGACTGGTCTCGAACTCCTGAGCTCGGCCTAGAATCCTGCCCAGCCTAGGGTATTTTTGAAATGCACCCCACTACCTACACATTTGTATATAAACATGCCAATTACTGTTCATGTGAATCTTAAATTATAGTGAAGCCTATTTTTTCTTTTTATAGATTAGAAAACTTTTGGCCGGGCACGGTGGCTCACACCTGTAATCCCAGCACTTTGGGAGGCCGAGGCAGGCAGATCACGAGGTCAGGAGATCGAGACCATCCTGGCTAACATGGTGAAACCCCGTATCTACTAAAAATACAAAAAAAAAAAATTAGCTGGGCGTGGTGGCGGGCACCTGTAGTCCCAGCTACTTGGGAGGCTGAGGCAGGAGAATGGCGTGAACCTGGGAGGCCGAGCTTGCAGTAAGCCGAGATCGTGCCACTGCACTCCAGCCTGGGGGACAGAGCGAGACTCCATCTCAAAAAAAAAAAAAACGATTAGAAAACTTTTTTTAAATTAAATTCTTTAAAAAGTTAGATTTTAGCCAGGTGTGGCGGCTCACACTTATAATCTCAGCACTTTGGGAGGCCGAGGCAGGAAGATGACTTGAATCCAGGAGTTTGAGACTATCCTGGGCAACATAATGAGACCCCGTCTCTACAAAAAAATTGAAGAAATTAGCCTGGCATGGTAGTGCCTGCAGTCTCAGCTACTCAGCAAGCTGAGTCAGGAGGATTGCTTGGGCTGGGCGCAGTGGCTCACGCCTGTAATCCTAACACTTTGGGAGCCCGAGGCAGGTAGATTACCTGAGGTCAGAAGTTCAAGACCAGCCTGACCAAAAAGGCGAAATCCATCTCTACTAAAAATACAAAAAAAAAAAAAAAAAAAAAATTGGCAGGTGTTGTGGTGCGTGCCTGTAATCCCAGCTACTTGGGAGGCTGAGGGAGGAGAATCGCTCGAGCCCAGGAGGTGGAGGCTGCAGTGAGCTGTGATCATGCTACTGCACTCCCGCCTGAGTGACAGTGAGACCTTGTCTCTAAGTAAATAAATGTTCTGAGATTTTTTTCCTATATTCCAATGGATCATCTTATGCATCCCCAGAGGTGCATACACACACTCTTTCAAGACCAATGATCTATATAAATTATACGATCTCTTTATTATTATAAGAGAAGGGTCTCACTATGTTGTCCAGGCTGGATTCAAACTCCTAGGCTTAAGTGATCCTCCTGCCTCAGCTTCCCAAGTAGCTGGGACTACAGGCACACACTACCACTCCCAGCTTAGAGCTACAATTCAATAAACAGGCATGGATTTTCAGAGTTCATCCAACAGACAAACAACTGATCTAAAATAACATTTATTAAGAACTTACTATTTACCAGACCCTGTGCTAGGAGCTTTGTTATTTAAATAAACATGATGCTCAAAGAGACCTAAGGAAACTTCTCCATGACAGCAGAGCTGGTAAACAACACAGGACAGGTGGGATTTGAAACCAGAGTGACAGACTTCCAAAGCCTACTCTTGAGCAAATGATATTATGTTCTGATTAGAAAAGACTACATAGAGGCCGGGCATGGTGGCTCACACCTGTAATCCCAGCATTTTGGGGGGGCCGAGGCAGGAGGATCACCTGAGGTCAGGAGTTCGAGACCAGCCTGGCCAACATGGTGAAATCCTGTCTCCACTAAAAATACAAAAGATTAGCCAGGTTGGGTGGCACATACTTGTAATCCCAGCTACTCAGGAGGCTGAGGCATGAGAATCTCTTGAACCCAGGAGGTGGAGGTTGCAGTGAGCAGAGATCACACCACTGCACCCCACTCTGGGTGACAGAGCAAGACTCCATCTAAAAAAAAAAAAAAGAAAAAAAAAAGAAAAAAGATAAATTCTAATTCTAATTTACTAAGTTGTTTCACTTATACTTTCTACTACCCAAATTTAATGGCATTCTGATACCCTGAGCAAAACACTTCCATCTCAACCCTAAATTTCTTCATGGGAAAATAAAAAAAGCATACACATAGAGAAACCGAGGAACAAAATGTCACTTATCTGAAGCTACAAGGCAGGAAGAACTGGGAGGTCACAAAATATTCCTAATTACACAGTCTTTTTGTCTATAGCTATGAATACAAGGTGATCCTTCTTCCCCTACAATGGCAAAGTATCTGAGCAGAAATGTGTTTCTTTGTGTCTTCTGACTCTGATTTTGTATTATTTTGTCAATCAAAATCTTATTACAAAGCAGCTTTCAGTTTTACTGATGCCCATGGCTTGGTAACATTTTTAAACACCAGGAAAAGAAAAACTGAGCCACAAACTCACACAATCTCCTCTTTAAGAACAAAGCTGGAAATGCACAACCTAGAAGACTATGCATATAGAGGATTAAAACAATTTGGAAATCAGAGAAACTGTTGTGGCTGGGTACAGTGTCTCATGCCTGTAATCCCAGCACTTTGGGACACTAAGGCAGGTGGACTGCTTGAGCCCAGGAGTTTGAGACCAGCCTGGGTAACATGGTGAAACTGTGTCTCTACAAAAACCACAACAATTAGCTGGGGGTGGTGGTGCGCCACTGCACTCCAGCCTCAGGGACAGAGCAAGACCCTGTCTCAAAAATAAAAATTAAACTGGCTTTTCTTTTTTTGAGACAGAGTTTCGCTCCCGTTGCCCAGACTGGAGTACAACGGCGCGACCTTGGCTCACTGCAACCTCCGCCTCTCGGGTTCAAGCAATTCTCCCGTCTCAGCATCCCGAGTACTGGGATTACAGGTGCCTGCCACCATGCCCAGCTAATTTTTGTATTTTTAGTGAAGACGGGGTTTCATCATATTGGTCAGGGTGGTCTCGAACTCCTGACATCAGGTGATCCGCCCACCTTGGCTTCCCAAAGTGCTGGGATTACAGGCGTGAGCCACCACGCCCGGCCGGCTTTTTTTTTGTTTTTTTTGAGATAGGGCTTCACTCTGATGCCCAGACTGAAGCACAGTGGAGAAATCATGGCTCACTGCAGTTTCCGCCTCCTGCACTCAAGCGATCCTCCCGAATAGCTGCCTGACCTTTTTTTTTTTTTTTTCCAATAGATGGGGATCTCACCATATTGTTCAGGCTGATCTTGAACTCCTAGGCTCAAGTGATCCTGCTGCCTTGGCCTCCCAAAGTGCTGGAATTACAGGAATGAGTCACAGCACCCAGCCGGCTGTGTTTTGTTTTTTGTTTTTTACCCCGACAGGGTCTCAGTCAGTCGTTAGCTGGAGTGAAGTGGCGTAACACAGCTCACTGCAGCCTTGATCTCCTGGGCTCAAGTGATCCTCCCATTTCTTCCTTCCAGAGTAACTGGTACTGCAGGCCCACGCCACCACACATGGCTAATTTTTAAATTTCGTAGAGACGAGGTCTTGCCATGTTGCTCAGGCTCCAGCTGTTGTATTCTTTCCAATTGAAACGAAGAATTATCTGCTCTTATGGACACATAAAATAAGAACGAACTAAGAGCTACCCAGTGGTAAGACGCAAACTTCTGAGTGACTTTGGGTTTCCTGCGCCTGTTATCCCAGCACTTTGGGAGGCCGAGGCGGGTGGATCACTTGAGGTCGGGAGTTCAAGACCTGCCTGGCCAACGTGGCGAAACCCCGTCTCTACTAAAAAAAAAAAATACAAAATTAGCTGGGTGTGGTGGCACATGCCTATAAGCTTGAACCGGGAGGCAGAGGTTGTAGTGAGTAGAGATCGCGCCACTGCACTCCAGCCTGGGCGACAGACTGAGACTCCGTCACACACACAAAAAAAAAAAAAAAAAAAGAAAGAAAGACCAAGCAGAATGCAAATAAAAGGTCTGAAGAACAAGTTTTGTTAATTTGCCACAACAGACTGTACTCCAGGGGAAGCTTTGTTGTCCATTAAAGTGAGTTCTCTGGGAAGACGAGGAGTAACCGACTTGCACGATTTTCCTGCCTTTTCTATATTCTCTACTTACTATGACAATACAGCACTAGAATTTCCAAGTGCTTATACCAGCATAGTGCAATGTATTTAATGAGAAACCACGTCCAACAACAAAGCGTTATAACTTCTCCAGCTGAGTTAGATGTTTTAGTCTGAACCAGGAAAACAGATGAAGAAAGTTGAACCAAGAATTAAAAGATTTAGAGTTTCCACTCAGACCTAAGACTCTCCACTTTGTTTCAGAGGGAGTGGGTATGGTTATTCTGAAGAAGAAGGCGGCCCTTATCCTGAATGCCCGGTAGCCTCCGTGGGCTGGTGGGTGGTTCCTCCGGTCCAGCACCTCCATAATTTATGATCAAATGCCCAAGCCAACAAACTAATCCTCCCCTTCTCCCCCACAAGGAGGCAACCTTTATGTCAGAACAATGTGCCCAGAAGAAGCCAAAGACACAAGGCACATCCAAGGCAAAGACAATCTTAATTAAGCACTTTCTCCTTCCACTTTCTCCACACCTTTACCCCCGGCCCAACCCCTTCCCATAATTTCAAGCTGTACAAAATGAGGTCCTAGGGTGGATCCGGGTGGTCTTTCCTTTCTCTACGGGTAAGCTCTACAAAGAGGCGAAAGCTCCGAGTGTTAGTTCTTGTTTGTGTATAAATTCTGAAAAGCAACGCTGGCCTGCGAGCTATGAAAAGCAGAAGCATGAGTCACCACGCAACGGGTCAATCAAACCTGTAGACCAGAAGGCACGGATCTGGCAAACGGACGGTGAGCCAGGAAAAAAACATCCCCCCAAACCTCTCCGCTGACAGGTTTATCTAGCTGGCTGACCTTGGGCAGGTCACCAGCCGCTCCGAGCACATTCATGTCTAAGATGAGATGGGGGCTGGAAAGCCTTCCAAGAAATAATCCCTTCCGAGTGGTGACGGTCTATGCAACTTTTGAATAAACACATCCTAAGAGGCAACGGAGAAGTTTCTAAAGAGTTGAAATTTTTCAACAAAAGGAGGAGGGAAAAGTGCTCGGTAAAAACACAACGGAGTAACTGGTTTTGGCCTCCGACCAGACGCGAGGGGAGAGAAGAGTGAGAAGTTAGACCCCTGTGATAAAGGGAAAAGGCAGCAGCGGAGACCCGGGCAGGAGCTGCAGCGCCCAGCCGGGGCGAGCTGGGGTGCGCAAGGCCTACCGCGGGTGGGCCCGGCAGGGCAGGGCAGGGCAGGGCGGGGCGGGGCGCCCGCCGCGCTACCCTCCTGGGAAAGGCCGTGGAGGCGCCGGCCGGCGGCTGAGGAGAAACGCCAGCTTTCGGTATGGAATATCGGGAAAGGGCTCTCAGAGCGAAAACTAGCTGCGCCGGCTGCTGGGAAGCCGACGCTGGGCCCGCAGAGAAGGCGCGCGCTCGCGAGGCCCCCCCCAAGTGGATGGGGCGGCGTGGGGGGAGGGGCCGCAAGGGTGGGGGAGGGGAGGTCGCGGGCCTCTCACAATAACACCTCGCAGCCCCTTCCGACCCCCGCCTCTAAGCCACCGGTTCCCTGCGACCCTGGATGCACTCACTGAAGTAGAGGGTCCGTGCGGGCCCCAAGCGGCTGAGGCGTCGGCGGGTGGCGCGTCGGTCGCTCGCTCGGTCCCGTCGGTCCCGCTCCGGCGCGTCCCTCCTCCGGCCCCAGCACCAGCAGCAGCTCCTCCACTTCCGGTTCCCCTGCCACTCAGCCAAATGGCTTCCGGAAGTCCCGCCCCCATCCTGCCACGCCTCAGCGTGGTTCCTCTCTCCCCGCCTTCGCTCTCCCGGGCGCTGGCGGCGTGCGCCCAGGTGTCCCGCCACACCCCGTTGGGTACCCTGCTTTGTTCTCGCGGTTACCCCCATTTTGTGTGGCGTCTGAGGGACATGGGCTTCTCTCTTTACTCCAGCTGCATCTCTCAATCCTGCGTTCGTGCCACCGCAGTGTGGAGCTGGCATTCGGGACGATGTGGCGTGAAGTCACACTGACGCCATTCCCTTCACACTCAGCCAACTTGGCTTCCTCTTCCACCCATGGAATAAACCAGACTGCTGAAAGTGGGAGGGAAATAGCGGACCAAGGTTAAGGAGGCAGTACCTGACATTTATTAGTGGAATTTCTGTTTCTATGATGAATGTGGAGATTTTGGGTGACCGCCTGTAAAGGTGATACATAGGGGGATGACGAACCCCAGGCTTTTCCTTAAAAGATACATCCAGTTTAGGGGAAGACATACATATACAAAGTCAATATTGAAAAGATTATATGCTAAATAAATGCAGGATCTATAAAAGTAGAGAGGAGGGGCAAGAGATGTGCTCAAGCTTATAGCAGCGCAACGGTTGCTGGAGCAGTGCCCTGAACTGGCCCTTTAAGGATCTCAGCTCTATGCTGGTGAATAGGCAGAGCCTTCCAGGGCTCTTAAACTGATGCGGGGGTGGGGGTTGATTTTGCTGACAAAACCTGTTAAGAATACTGTAAAATCCTGGGAGCCTAAAATGTCAAGATATGTCAAGTAATTTTTCTTTTTTTTTTTTTTTTTTATTCAAGTTCTAGGGTACATGTGCACAACGTGCAGGTTTGTTACATAGGTATACGTGTGCCATGTTGGTTTGCTGCACCCATCAACTCGTCATTTACATTCCGTATTTCTCCTAATGCTATCCCTCCCCCAGCCCCGCAGTCCCCGACAGGCCCCCGTGTGTGATGTTCCCCGCCCTTTGTCCAAGTGTTCTCAGTGTTCAATTCCCACCTATGAGAACATGCGGTGTTTGGTTTTCTGTCCTTGTGATAGTTTGCTGAGAATGATGGTTTCCAGTTTCGTCCATGTCCCTGCAAAGGATATGAACTCATCCTTTTTACAGCTGCATAGTATTTCGTGGTGTATATGTGCCACATTTTCTTAATCCAGTCTATCATTGATGGACATTTGGGTTGGTTCCAAGTCTTTGCTATTGTGAATAGTGCCACAATAAACATACGTGTGCATGTATCTTTATAGCAGCATGATTTATAATCCTTTGGGTATATACCCAGTAATGGGATGGCTGGGTCAAATGGTATTTCTAGTTCTAGATCCTTGAGGAATCGCCACACTGTCTTTCACAATGGTTGAATTAATTTACACTCCCTCCAACAGTGTAAAAGTGTTCCTCTTTCTCCACATCCTCTCCAGCATCTGTTGTTTCCTGACTTTTTAATGATCGCCATTCTAACTGGCATGAGATGGTATCTCATTGTGGTTTTGATTTGCATTTCTCTGATGACCAGTGATGATGAGCATTTTTTCATGTGTCTGTTGGTTGCATAAATGTCTTCTTTTGAGAAGTGTCTGTTCATATCCTTTGCCCACTTTTTGATGGGGTTGTTTGTTTTTTTTCTTGTAAATTTGTTTAAGTTCTTTGTAGATTCTGGATATTAGCCCTTTGTCAGATGGGTAGATTGCAAAAATTTTCTCCCATTCTGTAGGTTGCCTGTTCGCTCTGATGGTAGTTTCTTTTGCCATGCAGAAGCTCTTTAGTTTAATTATATCCCATTTGTCTATTCTGGCTTTTGTTGCCATTGCTTGTGGTGTTTTAGTCAGGAAGTCTTTGCCCATGCCTATGTCCTGAATGGTATTGCCTATGTTTTCTTCTAGGGTTTTTATGGTTTTAGGTCTAACATTTAAGTCTTTACTCCATCTTGAATTAATTTTTGTATAAGGTGTAAGGAAGGGATCCAGTTTCAGCTTTCTACATATGGCTAGCCAGTTTTCCTGGCACCATTTATTAAATAGGGAATCCTTTCCCCATTTCTTGTTTTTGTCAATTTGTCAAAGAGCAGATGGTTGTAGATGTGTGGTGTTATTTCTGAGGCCTCTGTTCTGTTCTGTTGGTCTATATATCTGTTTTGGTGCTAGTACCATGCCGTTTTGGTTACTGTAGCCTTGTAGTATAGTTTGAAGTCAGGTAGCGTGGTGCCTCCAGCTTTGTTCTTTTTGCTTAGGATTGTCTTGGCAATGCGGGCTCTTTTTTGGTTCCATATGAAGTTTAAAGTAGTTTTTTCCAATTCTGTGAAGAAAGTCTTTGGTAGCTTGATGGGGATGGCATTGAATCTATAAATTACCTTGGGCAGTATGGCCATTTTCACAATACTGATTCTTCCTATCCATGAGCATGGAATGTTCTTCCATTTGTTTGTGTCCTCTTTTATTTCACTGAGCAGTGGTTTGTAGTTCTCCTTGACGAGGTCCTTCACATCCCTTGTAAGTTGGATTCCTAGGTATTTTATTCTCTTTGTAGCAATTGTGAATGGGAGTTCACTCATGATTTGGCTCTCTGTTATTGTCTGTTATTGGTGTATAGGAGTGCTTGTGATTTTTGCACATTGATTTTGTATCCTGAGACTTTGCTGAAGTTGCTTATCAGCTTAAGGAGATCTTGGGCTGAGACAATGGGGTTTTCTAAATATACAATCATGTCATCTGCAAACAGGGAAAATTTGACTTCCTCTTTTCCTAATTGAATACCCTTTATTTCTTTCTCTTGCCTGATTGCCCTGGCCAGAACCTCCAACACTATGTTGAATAGGAGTGGTGAGAGAGGGCATCCTTGTCTTGTGCTGGTTTTCAAAGGGAATGCTTCCCGTTTTTGCCCATTCAGTATGATATTGGCTGTGGGTTTGTCATAAATAGCTCTTACTATTTTGAGATACGTTCCATCAATACCTAGTTTATTGCGAGCTTTTAGCATGAAGGGCTGCTGAATTTTGTCGAAGGCCTTTTCTGCATTGATATAATCATGTGGTTTTTGTCATTGGTTTTGTTTATGTGATGGATTACGTTTATCAATTTGTGTATGTTGAACCAGCCTTGCATCCCAGGGATGAACCCAACTTGATTGTGGTGGATAAGCTTTTTGATGTGCCACTGGATTCGGTTTGCCAGTATTTTATTGAGAATTTTCACATCAATGTTCATCAGGCGTATTGGCCTAAAATTCTCTTTTTTGTTATGTCTCTGCCGGGCATTAGTATCAGGATGATGCTGGCCTCATAAAATGAGTTAGGGAGTCTCTTTTTTTCTATTGATTGGAATAGTTTCAGAAGGAATGGTACCAGCTCCTCTTTGTAGCTCTAATAGAATTCGGCTGTGAATCTGTCTGGTCCTGGATTTTTTTTTGGTTGGTAGGCTATTAATTATTGTCTCAATTTCAGAGCCTGTTATTGGTCTATTCAGAGATTCAACTTCTTCCTGGTTTAGTCTTGGGAAGGTGTATGTGTCCAGGAATTTATCCATTTCTTCTAGATTTTCTAGTTTATTTGCGTAGAGGTGTTTATATCATTCTCTGGCGGTAGTTTGTATTTTTGTGGGATTGGTGGTGATATCCCCTTTATCATCTTTTATTGCATCTATTTGATTATTCTCTCTTTTCTTCTTTATTAGTCTTGCCAGCGGTCTATCAATTTTGTTGATCTTTTCAAAACACCAGCTCCTGGATTCATTGATTTTTTGAAGGGTTTTTTGTGTCTCTATCTCCTTCAGTTCTGCTCTGATCTTAGTTATTTCTTGCCTTCTGCTAGCTTTTGAATGTATTTGCTCTTGCTTCTCTAGTTCTTTTAATTGTGATGTTAGGGTGTTGATTTTAGATCTTTCCTGCCTTCTCTTGTGGGCATTTAGTGCTGTAAATTTCCCTCTATGCACTGCTTTAAATATGTCCCAGAGATTCTGGTACGTTGTGTCTTTGTTCTCATTGCTTTCAAAGAACATCATTATTTCTGCCTTCATTTTATTATTTACCCAGTAGTCATTCAGGAGCAGGTTGTTCAGTTTCCATGTAATTGTGCGGTTTTGAGTGAGTTTCTTAATCCTGAGTTCTAATTTGATTGCACTGTGGTCTGAGAGACAGTTTGTTGTGATTTATGTTATTTTACATTTGCTGAAGAGTGCTTTACTTCCAATTATGTGGTCCATTTTAGAATAAGTGTGATGTGGTGCTGAGAAGAGTGTATATTCTGTTGATTTGGGGTGGAGAGTTCTGTAGATGTCTATTAGGTCTGCTTGGTGCAGAGCTGAGTTCAAGTCCTGGATATCCTTGTTAACCTTCTGTCTTGTTGATCTGTTTAATATTGTATGTCAAGTAATTTTTCAAGTAACTTGTGCTGTCAAGTGGCACTAAGTGTGTATTACTTTAGGCATATATAATCCAAGATAATTTTGTCCTCATATAAAATGATGTTTACATTGCGAATTTACCTTGGAATTCTCTTGGAGCTGCTCACACAGTATACGGCATACCTGTAGGTGCTCAGTAAATATTTGTTGTTCTGAGGGTTTTCTTAGAAAGAATTCACGTTTAGAGAACTCAAATGATGGTATTAAAGAGGCAGCCCAGCCAGGAGCGGTGGCTCACACCTGTAATCCCAGCACTTTGGGAGGCCAAGGCTGGCGGATCACCTGAGGTCCAGAGTTTGAGACCAGCCTGACCAACATGGAGAAACTACGTCTGTTCTAAAAATACAACATTAGCTGGGCGTGGTGGCACATGCCTGTAATCCCAGCTACTTCGGAGGTTGAGGCAGGAGAATCGTTTGAACCTGGAAGGCAAAAGTTGCAGTGAGCCGAGATCCACCATTGCTCTCCAGCCTAAGCAAGAAGAGCGAAACTTCACCTCAAAAAAAAAGAGGCGCCCGGGCGCAGTGGCTCACGCAAGTAATTCCAGCACTTTGGGAGGCCAAGGTGGGCAGATCAAGAGGTCAGATCAAGAGGAGATTGAGACTGTCCTGGCTAACACGGTGAAACCCCGTCTCTACTAAAAAATACAAAAAATTAGCCAGGCGTTGTGGCGGGTGCCTGTAGTCCCAGCTACTCTGGAGGCTGAGGCAGGAGAATGGCACGAACCCGGGAGGCGGAGCTTGCAGTAAGCCGAGATCACGCCACTGCACTCCAGCCTGGGCGACAGAGTGAGACTCCATCTCAAAAAAAAAAAAAAAAATGACACAGAACACAAAAGCTTGCCCAAGATCACGCCACTGCACTCCAGCCTGGGGGACAGATCGAGACTATGTCTCAAAAAAAAAAAAAAAAAAAAAGAGAGGCAGCCCATTTCCAGGCGGATAGTGTTAAGGGGAAAAAAAAAGAGGATGGAGGCCAACCCAAAGGGGGCGCCAATCCCCTGTCCAACACCTTCTCACCAAAAGCTCCCGTTTGGCTGGAGGCAGACCCTGTGGCTCTGACCAGACTTCTCTGGCAGCAATCCTCCGCCATTTGTATCTTAAGAAGGCCCTCACCCTCTTTGAGTGGAGTCAGAGGATGCCTCAGATTCCAGATGTAAGCATCAGAACTGCTTTCTGTCAAGAGCTCCCTAATTTTGGGAAAGAAGAGCCTGTCCCACACTGTCAGGCCCTGAGGTCAGCAGATCTGCTCCTCCTTCCCGTGCGGTACGTCTAGGTGCTGATGAGGGCAGTCCAGGGCGCTCTTGTTCTGGGACAGGCTCCAGTCCCCTTGCTCCAGCAGGTCTGGGGCAAGGAGGTCAGAGGTGGTGGGAGGGCCCCTGCTCTCTGTTTCCACTTCGTCTGGATCCTTGCTGCTGCAAAGTGGCACTGATTCTAGCTCTGTCCCTTCCTCCTTGGCTTTCTGGCTTCGATAGGGCCAGTGGCAGGGTCCACTCATACAAACTTGATTGGAAGCCACATTCCTCTGGTTCACATATACTTCCAGCATGTAGTAAACGGTCCAGAAGACGGTGAAACAGCCTACCAGCACCAAGGTCTGGGGCCGAGGCAAGCACCTACGTGAGGCACTGTTTCCCGAAGCCTACAGCCTTTCTCAGTCCAGGACAATGAGCTCAGAAAGTCTTTTTCCTTCTAGGGACTGCCTTTTTCACCCAAACTGTTCCCTCTGCCCCCTCCCCCGACAAGGCCTGTCCTGTAAGAGTTAGGCTAGCAGGGTAGGAGCAATGCTATGAAACCACTGCTGGGACCCAGGTCTTCCCAGTCCTTCACCCCGCAGGTCACCCTGAGAAACACACTAAGAACTCCATCCCCCAGACAGGACAGTCCCATCTACCCGCAGCTTGAGTCTTGGCCCTAGTACCTTGAGGGTGTTGGGGGTGATGGTGTAACCATCTTCCTCAGGAATTTTCAGCCCCGGTGGGCAGGGCAGGGCGAAGTCATCGTGCAGGTATTTTCCACTCATGGCACTCTCTAACAGCCTGTGGAGAAGAAAAGAGGTGAGGATGCCCCACTGACTATGGTTCCTATACCATCTGCCCTCACCCATTTTCCTGCCTTACAGGTGAAGACAGGGAAGCCCCACAGCAAAAAGGAGAGGCCCAGACTGTGAGTTCCCAGCCCGGGGCTCCATCTACCAGCTTGACGCTGGAACTGGGAAGCACAGCTGGGGTTCAGAGGGCGATGGGCTCCCTAGGCAGCCCTTCCCCTGTGACTGGCCTTCCCTCTGACACATGCGGCTTTACCCACCTTTGTCTGTCCCTGATGTCTACTGCACTCCACACAGAGCCATATAGGGTCAGCTGCCATTGCCGGAGGATGCCGACCTGGAATGACTCATCCCCTAGGGCAGCAAGGGGCAGCTCGTGAGCCACGCCCCTCTGTCAGCCATGCCAGACAGCAGAGGCCCTGCCCGCCCTGCCACCCAAAGGGGCTCAGGCCACATGGTCTGCTCCAGGAGCTGCCTCACTGTGTCCCACTGACCCCAGGTTCTGCAGAAGGGCCTCACTGGGTGCCCTTAGGGATGGAAAGGGTTGAAAGGCTGTACTCCAAAGCAGAGTCTTGCTTTTCTCTCCCGTATTTTGGGGGTTCAGCTGGGATTAGAAAAAAATGTCTTTCCACCAAATTAAAGAAAGCTTTGAAAACCACTGGCCTAGAGAATACCTAACTGACTGGAGGATGGGAGGGTGGAGCTCAATTTCCAGTCTATAGGCTGATACTAAAGATATTCACAATTCATGGATATTGTGGCCTTCACTGATATGGTGACCTTCCACAAGTCACCTCAAACCTCTGGGCCAGTTTAAAAAAAATGGTGAAATGAGTCCTGCCCTTACCTGCCTACCGGGGCTTGCCGAAGGATGGTTATACGTAAAAGGACTTGAAATGTGGTTTCGACAAGGACTTTTTGTTGCTATCCTGAGGAAAGATGGATGGGTCACTCCTCCAGGGAATATGAGAGGTAGTATAAATGAACAGTTTCAGAGAGCAATGCCCATTTCACGGATGGGCACACTCTTGGCATCAACTCTCTTGGTCCAATGGCAACCCTATATATTGCACACGGGACACTTTCTGTGGGGACTCTGAGATGCAGAGGGACCAGATAACAAGCAGGAAAGGTAGGGCCTGGTGTGAGGGCACGAGACTCACCGACATCCCTGATGACAAGCCTGTAGGTCCCTCGGGCTCTCTCCCCCCAGCATCGCACAGTGGAGAAGGTCCAGTCATTGAAGCCGTTGGGATCCCTGAGGAAAGAACACAGCAGAAACAGGTGGAAGGCGTGGGCCAGAGAGCTGACCTTCCCCCAGCAACACTTTCTTACTGTAGTAGCCGTGGAAACAACCTGGGAGGGTGCCACGAGGGCTTCTCAGGTGCCCCTTTCCCCTGGGGTCTCATGGAAGGAGGAAATTGTGTTAACGTGGTGTGGTGGAAAAAGCAAGCATGGAGCGCGCACAGGCTTGGAGTCCCACGGATCTAGGTTTATTCTTGTTCTCTTGGGCACTTACTAGCTCCATGACTTGTTTTCTTTTTCTTTCTTTTTTTTTTTGGAGACAGGGTCTCACTCTGTTATCCAAGCTGGAGTGCAGTGGCATGATCACAGCTCACTGCAGCCTTGACTTCCTGGGTTCAAGTGATCCTCCCACCTCAGTCTCCTGAGTAGCTGGGACTACAGGCATGTACCACCATGCTCGGCTAATCTTTAAATTTTTTGTAGAGACAGGGTCTCACTTTGTTGCCCAGGCTGGTCTTGAACTCCTGAGTTCAAGTGATTCTCCTGCCTTGACCTCCCAAAGTGCTGGGATTACAGGTGTGAGCCACCACACCCAGCCAGTTTCCTCATTTGTAAAAGGAGGTTACAAAGTCTAATCTAGGGGGTTCTTAGAAGGATTAGAGAACATGTATGTGAGGTGCAGGGCCTAGCGCTTGAAGAAGGTATGTGACGAAAGGCTTCCAGCCGCCAGGGATAGCCAGTGCCACAGTAGTTTAGGACAGTGCCAGGATCCACTTCTTCCATTTCTTTTCCCTGGAAAGGCCCTTGCTGAAAAGGTTGCTCAGGCCTCGGGCAGGTGTACATACGAGTCCATGCTGCCGGGGGTGCCGATGAGGGACATCATGCCTCTGGGGCAGAACAGCTTCAGCTCCAAGCTGCCGCGCCGTGGGTGAGTGATGGAGACTGTCACTGCCACATGCTCCAGGGTCTTCAGCCCTGACATCTCCAGGTCCATCCTGCTGACTGTAGAAAGTCAGGCTGGGCAGCTGGGAAACCAGCCCACAAACACGCCTTCACTTCACCCCCACGTACACAAAGACACACGCTCACTGAAGCCACATACAAACATCTACGGCAACCCTAACTGGGACCTCGCCTATACTAGTAAATGGAATGGAGCTGCTGCTCTCAAGTTTACAACGTAGCTTCGAGTGCAGTTGGGAAGACGACACATACCCAAGACACAATATAAGAATCCAGCAGAGCAACTTCAATCATTCATTCATCCAAAACATTATTTACTGGGTACCTCCTCCATTTCAGGCACTGTACTAGATGCTGGGAATATAAAGATAAGATGGGCGTGGTCCCTGTCTCCTACCTGCAAGTGGAAAATGATATGGTATGGGAAATATACATAATTGATAAGGGAAGAGAAATAAGTCAGATGGGTTTAGGCACACAGCAGTGAGACACACTGAAGGAAATGAATACAGATTGGTAGAGAGGGTTGGTAGAGGGCATTCTAGGCAGTGGAAAAGGCATGAACAAAGACAAAATGCACACATCTCACTGAAGATGATGCACAATTAATTTTTTTTTAATGCTGGTGGATAAATTTCAAGCAAATTATGTGAGTGAAAAAAGCAATCTCAAAAGAAGCATATAGCCAGGCGAGATGGTGTGCACCTGTGGTCCCAGGTACCCAGGAGGGTGAGGTGGGAGGATTGCTTGTGCCTGGGAGGTGGAGATTGCAGTGAGCCATGCTCATGCCTCTACACTCCAGCCTGGGTGACAGAACAAGACTCTGTCTCAAAAAAAAAAAAGAAAGAAAGAAAAAGAAAAAGAATGTATAGTGCACAATTCCATTTACATGACGTTCATTGAAATAACATACCTGCAGAGATGCATAAAAGATAAATGGGTGCCAAGGGCCAGGGACACAGGGAGGGGATGGGTGTGGCCAGACAGGGGTAACACAAAGGAGTCTTGTGATAATGGAATTGTTCTGGATCTTGGTTGTGGTGGTCGTTATGCAAGGCTACATGTGGTACAATTGCATACAGCTACACACACGCAAACAAAAATATTGACAGCATGTATATCTGGTGAACTCTGAATAAGCTCTATGGATTGGACCAATGTCAATTTCTTGTTTTTTATATTATACTTTAATTGTGTGAAACATTAAGATTGGGAGAAGGGTGCATGGGACTTCCCTTGTACATTTCTTTGCAATGTCCTGTAAATCTACAATTATTAAAAAAAAAAATACTGAAGTGGAAGACTCAACTGGGGACTACTAAGAAATTAGGTTGCAATGAGAACAATTCTTTTTAAAGCACCCTTTCTTCCATTAATTTATTCCAGTCCAGGCATGGTGGCTCACTCCTGTAATCCCAGCACTTTGGGAGGCTGAGGCAGGAGGATAACTTCAGCCTGGGAGACATCATCTTTACAAAAAATTTAAAAATTAGCTGGATATAGTGGTAAGTACCTGTGGTCCCAGCTACTCAGGAGGTTGAGGGTTGGAGGATGGTTTGATCCCAGGAAGTTGAGGCTGCAGTGAACCATGATTGTGCCTCTGCACTCTAGCCTGGGCAACAGAGTGAAATCCTGTCTCAAAAAAAAAAATTATTCCAGTATACAAGGCAGAGTACAATATGTTCATTTTACAGATGCAGCAGCTCAGAGAGGTACTGAAAGTAGGAGCTGGGTAACCCAGGATGGGATGGGAAGGGCTTTAAAGATTTTTATTTTAAATAAGCAGCTGAGACCTATTATAGATGACTGAGCAAGGACAGAGTTGTTTTTTTTTTTTTTTTTGGTTGCTCTTTTTTTTTTTTTCTTTTTTTTTGATACAGAGTCTAGCTCTGTCACCCAGGCTGGAGTGCAGTGGTGCGATCTCGGCCCACTGCGACCTCTGTCTCCTGGGTTCAAGCAATTCTCCTGCCTCAGCCTCCTGAGTAGCTGGGATTACAGGTGCCTGCCACCACACCCAGCTAATTTTTGCATTTTTAGTAGAGACGGGGTTTCACTGTGTTGGCCAGGCTGGTCTTCAACTCTACCCTTGTGATCCGCAGCCACCCCTCGGCCTCCCAAAGTGCTGAGATTACATGCTGGAGCCATGCAACCAGCCAGGACAGAGTTTTTTTTTAAAAGTGCTGAAAGGGCCAGGAGCCGTGGCTCACGCCTGTAATCCCAGCACTTTGGGAGGCTGAGGCGGGCAGATCACGAGGTCAGGCGATCGAGACCATCCTGGTTAACACGGTGAAACCCCGTCTCTCCTAAAAATACAAAAAAATTAGCCGGGCGTGGTGGCGGGTGCCTGTAGTCCCAGCTACTCGGGAGGCTGAGGCAGGAGAATGGTGTGAACCCAGGAGGCGGAGCTTGCAGTGAGCCAAGGTCGCGCCACTGCACTCCAGCCTGGGCGACAGAACGAGACTCCGTCTCAAAAAAAAAAAAAAAAAGTGCTGAAAGAAGGCTACTCTAACAGCTGTGGGTAGGATGAACTAGAGACAGGAAGAGACAGGTGACAGAAGACCAGCTAAGATGCCACCGCCTCCTTCTAGGGAGGTGGCTTGTGTGTGGGTAACAGAGACTGAGGAGGAGGAAAGGAAAGGCTCCAGGCTTTCTATGACACCACTTTCTGTCCTCCCTAGTCCCTGTCCTTACTGACCTTCTGCTCAGTCCCCTCTCACTGCACTCACTGAAGAGTGCCACCTCCCATTATCCACCACCACACCATTGTCAGAACTTCACAGTGCTTTACCTCCTTAACTCTAGACCTTTCTCCACGCTATGCCGGCTACCCACATCCTGGCCATACTCTGGACTTGTCTTTATTGGGGGTTGCTTTGCTTTTGAATGGTTTAGTTACATTCCTTGTGGGTTTTCTTATTAGATAAACAATACAAATTAACTGAAGGTAAACTGGAAAAGCAGATGAATGAAAATGAAAACAAAAAAGCACCCAGATGTTATGTTGTTCCATAACACGTTGGTAAATATCCACCCAGACCCTTTCTGTGTTTGTGTGGATGTGTGCATCTGTACATTTTCTTTTTCTTTTTTTTTTGGGACAGAATTTTACTCTTGTTACACAGGCTGGAGTGCAGTGGTGCGATCTTGGCTCACCGCAACCTCCGCCTCCTGGGTTCAAGCGATTCTCCTGCCTCAGCCTCCTGAGTAGCGGGGATTATAGGCGCGTGCCACCGCGCCTGACTGATTTTTGTATTTTTAGAAGAGATGGGTTTTCACCATGTTGGCCAGGCTGGTCTCGAACTCCTGACCTCATGTGATCCACCCCCCTCGGCCTCCCAAAGTGCTGGGATTACAGGCGTGAGCCACCACGTCCAGCCAAGAAAATTTTCTTGAGATCTTTGAGAACTTCTCATTTTTGAGAACCCCACTATACCACGTAATTTTCCAATGAAACGTGCCTGAATATTTTAAGTCATCACTTCAGATATGTAATAAGTGTAAAAGTGTGCTTCAGAAAGAGTAAAGAATTAATTCCATGCCAGGCCAAAATATACACCCTTTTCCTGGGCATGGTGGCTCGTTCCTGTAATCCCAGCACTTTGACAGAGTTTGAGACCAGCCTGGCCAACTTGGTGAGACCCCATCTCTACTAAAAATACGAAAAATTAGCCAGGTGTGGTGGCACGCACCTATAATCCCAGCTACTCAGGAGGCTAAGGCAGCAGAATCTCTAGAACCTGGGAGGCGAGGTTGCAGTGAGCCGAGATCACCCCACTGTACTCCAGCCTGGGCAACAGAGCAAGACTCTGTCTCAAAAATAAAAACAAAAACAAAACATACAACCGTTGTAGTTATCTGGGTCTCTCTTACTGGTTAAGTGCTTTGCTTTTGTTGTACAACAACCTTGAAGATAGTTTCATTCAAATTTGTGCCTCATTAAACAAACAAATCCTGTCTGGGTGCGGTGGCTCATGCCTGTAATCCCAGCACTTTGGGAGGCTGAGGCGGGTGGATCACAAGGTCAGGAGTTCGAGACCAGCCTGGCCAACATAGTGAAACCCCCGTCTCTACTAAAAAAAAAAAAAAAAATTAGCTGGGCATGGTGGCGGGTGCCTGTAATCCCAGCCACTCAGGAGGCTGAGGCAGGAGAATCGCTTGAACCCTGGAGGCAGAGATTGCAGGGAGCCAAGATTGCGCCACTGCACTCCAGCCCAGGTGACAGTGCGAGACTCCGTCTCAAAAAAAAAAAAATCATACAAATCCATTTAATAAGCCTTTTCAGGGTCTTTCTCAAGATAAAAATCCTGATTTCTGAATTCCAAGAGTCCACTGGTGTTTCTATTATAATGTCCATCTCTCTCTTTGAATTAATTACAAGTCTCTTTCCCTGACTAAATATGAATTATTCTATGGCAAGCGTCTTATACCTCTTCGTAGCCTCAGTGCCAGGGAATGCCTGGCACAACAAATATTTCTTGGTAAATGTTTAATGGATGAGTAAAGTCAAGGTTAATTTTTTTTTTTTTGAGACAGAATTTTGCTTTTGTCGCCCAGGCTGGAGGACAATGACGCCATCTCAGCTCCCCGCAACCTCTCCCTCCCGGGTTCAAGCAATTCTCCTGCTTCAGCCTCCTGAATAGCTGGGGTTACAGGCGCCTGCCACCACACCCAGCTAATTTTTGTATTTTTAGTAGAGACGGGGTTTCACTATGTTGGCCAGGCTGGTCTCCAACTCCTGACCTCAGGTGATCCACCCGCCTCGGCCTCCCAAAGTGCTAGGATAACAGGTGTGAGCCACTGCGCCCGGCTTTTTTTTTTTTTTTTTTTTTTTGAGACAGAGTCATGCTCTGTCACTCAGGCTGGAGTGTAGTGGTGTGATCTCAGCTCACTGCAACCTCTGCCTCCCAGTCTCAAGCGATTCTCCTGCCTCAGCATCCGAGTAGCTGGGATTACAGGTGTGTGCCACTACGCCTGGCTGATTTTGGTATTTTTAATAGAGACAGCATTTCACTGTGTTGGCCAGGCTGGTCTCGAACTCCTGACCTCAAGTGGTCTACTCACCTCAGCCTCTTAAAGTGCTGGGATTGCAGGCCTGAGCCATTATGCCCTGCCTAGCCGTCTTCTTTCAGAAGAGATTTGCTCACATTGGCATTTCTTTTTTTTCTTTTTCTTTTTCTTTTTTTTTTGAGACAGAGTTTCAGCTTTGTCACCCAGGCTGGAGCGCAGTGCCACGATCTAGGCTCACTGCAACCTCCACCTCCCGGGTTCAAGTGATTCTCCTGCCTCAGCCTCCCGAGTAGCTGGGACTACAGGTGCCTGCCACCACGCCCGGCTAATTTTTTGTATTTTTAGTAGAGAGAGAGTTTCACCATGTTAGCCAGGGTGGTCTCGATCTCCTGACCTCGTGATCCACCTGCCTCGGCCCCCCAAAGTGCTGGGATTACAGGCATGAGCCACCACGCCCAGCCAGGAGGATCTCTTAAGGCCAAGAGTTTGAGACCATCCTGGGCAACATAGAAAGACCCTATCTCTACAAAAAAACAAACAAATAAAAATTATCCAGGCATAGTGGTGCAGGCTTGTCATCGCAACTAATGGAGAGGCTGAAGCAGGAGAGTTGCTTGAGCCCAGGAGTTCGAGGTTACAAATAATCTTGCCACCACACTCCAGTTTGGGCGAAAGAGCAGGACCTTGTCTCTGAAAAATAATAATAAAAAGAATAAGAAAAAAAAGAGATGTTGGTTAATGGATACAAAAATACAGTAAAATACAGTTAGAATAAGTTCTAGTGTTTGATAGCAAAGTAGGGTGACTATAGTAAACAATAACTTATTGCATATTTCAAAATAGCTGGAAGATTTGGAATATTCCCAACACAAAGAAATGATAAGTATTTGTGGTGATGGATACCCGAATTACCCTGATTTGATTATTACATATTGTATGCATGTATCAAAATGTCAGATGTATCCCATAAATATGTGCAATTGTTATGTGCCAATAAAACAAGAATTGGCCGCTGGGCACCATGACTCACACCTGTAATCCCAGCACACTGGGAGGCCGAGGCAGGCGGATCACGAGGTCAGGAGTTCGAGACCAGCATGGCCAATATGGTGAAACTCTGTCTCTACTAAAAATACAAAAATTAGCCGGGCATGGTGGTGCATGCCTGTAGTCCCAGCTACTCAGGAGGCTGAGGCAGAAGAATCGCTCCAACCCATGAGGCGGAGGTTGCAGTGAGTTGATATCGTGCCGCTGCACTCCAGCCTGGGTGACGGAGCGAGACTCCATCTCAAAAAAAAAAAAAAAAAAAGAATTGGCCTTATAATTAGATCAAAGCCTTTATGATTTGAAGGGCATTAAGGCAGTATCTACAGCACTCAGAAGCCTGCCATTCACCTTTATAGGTGTAGAGGAGGGTTGGTACTTGAAGCCCAGGTGGGACTCTGATTTTTCCTTCTTCACTGTTTCTAGAGTCTCTAGCCCAGAGTGTAGCTAAATCATAGCAACAGATAGAATGCACTAACATCCTGCCAATAACTGCTTTTTTTTTTTTTTTAAGACGGAGTTTCACTCTTGTTACCCAGGCTGGAGTGTATTGGTACTATCTTGGCTCACTGCAACCTCTGCCTCCCAGGTTCAAGTGATTCTCCTGCCTCAGCCTCCCAAGCAGCTGGGATTGCAGGCACCCGCTGCCATGCCTGGCTAATTTTTGTATTTTTGGTAGAGATGGGGTTTCGCCATGTTGGCCAGGCTGGTCTTGAACTCCTGACTCAGGTGATCCACCCACCTCAGCCTCCCAAAGTACTGGGGGTGTGAGCCACCACACCTGGCCGATGCTGCTTTTTCACTCTTGCTCTAGCTATAGTCAAATCTTCCCCCAATCTTAGAAGTGGTGGATGGGAATGACACGTTGGGAATAGGAAAGGAGTTTATCAGTGAAAGGACTGGCATTCCAGGGGACAGTCACATCTTCAGGCTCCTTCTTTTTATGAATTTCCAAGCTTTCTTTCAATCATTTCAGTCAGGGTGACATAGGCTCTAAAGGTGAGGTTGAATAAGTTGCTTGCAGACTCTTGATAGTAGTGGAAAGAAGAGTAAATAAGGCTGCTGTTGCCCATGCCTCAACTCAGGCGTATTGAATTAGAATGCCTCAGGCAATGTCTCCAGATGATGACTATGGCCACTAAAGATTAAGAACTGGGCCAGGCACGGTGGCTCATGCCTGTAATCTCAGCACCTTGGGAGGCCAAGGTAGGCGGATCACAAGGTCAGGAGATCGAGACCATCCTGGACAAGAAGGTGAAACCCTGTCTCTGTTAAAAATACAAAAATTAGCTGAGCGTGGCAGCGCATGCCTGTAATCCCATCTACTCTAGAGGCTGAGGCAGGAGAATCGCTTAAACCCAGGAGGCGGAGGTTGCAGTGAGCCGAGATCATGCCACTGCACTCCAGCCTGGCTACAGAGCGAGACTCCGTCTCAAAAAAAAAAAAAAAAAAAAAAATTAAGAACTGATTTATACCAACTCTCTTTGCTTACATTCATGGAGCAAGCTTATAGACCTGGCAACTTTTGCCTTCGTTAAATTTCATTTGATTTATTTATCACTTAGCTAGATTGCTGATGATGTTTCTCTCTCAAAACAGGAGCGTGAAATGCTTTACACCTTAGGAAATATTAAGGGACATTCCGTTTACAGTTCATTGAGTAGTCATCTTTAAAATGAATTCAGAATAAGGAACAGTCAGTCTTTCTCCCTACCCCCTACCTTCATCCCCAATATATTAAAGAGGCAAAAAGCACACCTGTCCCTTGTTTTCAGGGAAGCTAGAGTGTTGCCAATGGCAACCACCAGACCACTTGAGATTTACTGCTGCAGATTCCCTAAGCAACTTTGGAAACCATCTTTGCAGGTAATCTTCAGTGAGAAAAGGCTATGGATAAACTAGTTCTCTTGCATCCCCAGCTACCACCCGTTTCTGACTTTTCCTGTGTGGCATAGGAGACTCTGAACAGCCTGTTCACCAGGGGAAGAGTTAAGGATTCTGTCTCCACTGTGTCTCTGGGGAAAGGCAGAATATAGAGAAAGCTTTCTTTGGGAAAAGCAGAAGCAGCATCTGCTCTGGGTATAGGCAAATTGCAAGAACTACTTGCCAGGAAGAATTGCTGCCCAGCTCGTAGCCTGGCACGCTGGTGTTAAAAAGACTCTTTTCAAGCTCCATTGGCACTTCTGGGTATTACAGAA
This sequence comes from Homo sapiens, assembly GCF_000001405.40. Classification (NCBI taxonomy): domain Eukaryota; kingdom Metazoa; phylum Chordata; class Mammalia; order Primates; family Hominidae; genus Homo; species Homo sapiens. The sequence continues at coordinate 117,127,319 of NC_000011.10, read as the reverse complement.
TTCATAGTTGAATGTTCTCTGAGATCTGTGGAATAAGAAGCACCTTTCGACATTCAGACACACATGGCAAACGTATTAGGGTTCTCCAGAAAAACAGAACCAATAGGATATATGTAGATATATAGAAAGAATTTTATTGTGAGGCATTGGCTCATAAGATTATGAAGGCTGAGAAATCGACCATCTGCTATCTGCAAGTTGGAGGCCTAGGAAAGACAATGATGTAGCTCCACTCTAGGCCTGAAGGTCTGAGAACCAGGAGCATTGATGTCTGAGGGCAGGAGAAGATGAATGTCCTTGCTCAAGCAGAGAGAGCAAATTTGCCCTTCCTCTGCTTTTTTGGTTCTATTTGCCCCCTCGACCGGTTGGATGATGCCTGCCCACATTGGTGAAGATGGATTTTCTTTGTTCGGTCTACTGATTCCATTGCTAATCTCATCTGTAAACACCCTCACAGACACACCCAGAAGTCACATTTTACCAGCTATCTGGACATCCCTTAGCCCAATCAAGGTGACACATAAAATTAACCATCACAGAAAGCAACAAGAAATCAACTCCATGGTCCAGTTACCACTTCCTCTGTGACGTCAGTGATTTCAGTCTGCTGATATTTTTGTTATCTGAAATAACTCTGTCTTACATGAATATTTGCTGGCTTTTTAGGGTCCATCTTCTAATAGGAGCCTCCTTCCTCAATGTTCCTATCAAGTCCATGGGATATCCAACATCCTTCAGTCCCAAAATATCCACAGTGCTCTATCAAGAGCTGTGGATGCTCTGAGCTGTTAACACCGCCTCCCACCATACTAGCTGGCGTGGCAGTTTCTGCTGGGGATTGTCACAGCTCTGATGGGGACAATGCACACTGCTGTATTCGGTTATTGTGCTGTTGTCCTTGCTGGATACTGACAACTCTGTAGGCTGGCACTGCCATGACTCTGTTCCCTCTTGTGGGCACTCTGAGTCTTTTCAACTGCTCCATTGAGAGCCTTCTGGGTATTAAAGGAGTACCTGGGCTGTAGCATAAAATAATTTCCCTTGCTCTTTTGGATATACACTCAGAGAGAGGTCCCAAAACATGTTATTTGAGCCCTAGTGTGTTACAGAGACAGAGAAACAGCTCTTTCTGTTTTTGTTTTGAGACAGCGTCTCAATCTGTTGCCCAGGCTGGAGTGCAGTGGCGTGATCTCTGCTCACTGCAACCTCCACCTCCCGGGTTCAAGTGATTCTCGTGCCTCAGCGTCCCAAGTAGCTGGGACTACAGGCGCATGCCACCATGCCCAGCTAATTTTTGTATTTTTAGTAGAGATGATGTTTCACCGTGTTGGCCAGGCTGGTCTTGAACTACTGATATCAAGAGATCCGCCTGCCTTGGCCTCCCAAAGTGCTGGGATTACAGGCGTGAGCCACAGCACCTGATCCAAGAAACAGCTCTTTCAATGTCTAGACGAGACTTGTCTTTTCCACGTGCCCTGGATTTTCAGCTAAGGGGTCGAACTAGAGTTGCGTTTGAGTAACAATGACCACACCTCATTCTGATGACCAAGGCACTGGCTCTTGAAAAAGGCTATCATGCTTGGCTCCTTATTTCTCTAGAAGGAAGACTCTCAAATGAAGTGCCCAGCCTTCCTGCCAATAAACTTCCTTAGACCCATCCCACCAGCTAGCCAGACACACCTAGCCATACCTGAGTCATCTTCAACAGACAAGATGAGAGCTCTGATCCAACCCTGTGCAGCCATGTGCTATCTTAAAGGTTTTTCATGTTTGTAAACTTTATTTATCCTATAGGATCATAAGACACTTGAGATCCGAGGCCATGTTTTCCACTTCTTTTATATCTGTAACATTAGTGTAGCCCCAGAACTATCCTACCGTGAAGCAAAACAAACCTAAGTAACCCTTTATAATTTAAAAAGTACTTTTGTAAGTATTGTCTCATTTAGTTTTTATAACAACTTTATTAGTTAGGTTATTATTATCTTCACCTTGCAGATGAGATCATTCAAGCTGTCCAAGGTCACCAACCACTTGGTTGCGGAGCTGAGCCTTGAATCACCATTAACTCACTCAATGTTCAGGTCTCTTTCCATTACTCCACTGCTGTCAGCTTCAGGAACCAGCTATAATGCTTATACTCTAAAGCTAGCTGCTACCTTCCCTCTCTTCCCTCCTCATCTCCCAGATCTCAGCAGGAAATGTGAAAGACGACTGAGAACAATTCATTTTTATTTCTTTTCTTTTTTTTTTTTTTAAGACGGAGTCTCACTCTGCTGCCCAGGCTGGAGAGCAATGGCATGATCTCTGCTCATTGCAACCTCTACCTCCTGGGTTCAACAATTCTCCTGCCTCAGCCTCCCCAGTAGCTGGGATTATAGGTGCCCACCACCATGCCCAGCCAATTTTTATATTTTTAGTGGAGACGGGGTTTTGCCATTTTGGCCAGGCTGCTCTCGAACTCCTGACCTCAGGTGATCCACCTGCCGTGGCCTCCCAAAGTGCTGGGATTACAGGCATAAGCCACTGCGCCCAGCCAATTCATTTTTATTTCATCCTCATTCTTTCCTTTTTCAACTTGCCCTCTTGTATGTGGTGCCTTTTCCTGCTTGTACCTGAGATTGTCTTATGGTCTAAATATTTGTGACATCCCATGCCACCCAAAATTCATATATTGAAGCCTTAACCCTCAATGTAATGGTATAAGGAGATGGGGCTTTTCTTGGAGAGGTACTTAGGTTTAGATGAGGTCTTGAGAGTGGGGCCTTTATGATGTGATTAGTGTCCTTATAAGAAGAAGAGGAGAAACAAGAGCTCTTTTTCTCTGCCATGTGAAGATACAGCAAGATGCCTGTTGAGGGCCATCTGCAAGTCAGCAAGAAGGCCCTCACCAGGTAACTGAATTGGCCAGAACCATGACCTTGGACATCCCAGCTTCCAGAACTGTGAGAAATAAATTCCTGTTGTTTAAGTCCCCCCGTCTGTTGTATTTTGTTTTGGCCACCTCAGCTGACTAAGGCCTTGTTGCCCCTTCTTTTTTTTGCCTTGACTCCCAGATCTTTAGCCTGTCATAGTCAAAAAAAGGAGAGGATTCCTTGTTGCTGCTTTGATCATCTGGTTTCTAGGCATTTTTTTCCCACTTCCTTCTGGAAGGAAACAGTATAAAGGTAAGAGTGCTGAATTCATAAAGAGAAAGTTAGCTGATATAACTTCAGATTCCAACTCTGCTCTTTTTTGTGTGAGCTCAGAGAAGTCCTTTAATATCTGCAGCCTTCAGACTGGTAGTTTCATCTCTCTGAGGCTGTTTTCTCATCTGCAACGTAAAGGGATTGCAAAACATGATCCAGAACCTTTTCAGGTATAAAATGTTCTGGTTTTATTATTTTTATTTATTATCATCCTCATTATTATTATTATTATTTGAGATGGAGTCTCACTGTGTCACCAGGCTGCAGTGCAGTGCTGCCATCTCGGCTCACTGCAACCTCCACCTCTTGGGTTCAGGCAATTCTCCTGCCTCAGCCTCTCAAGTAGCTGGGATTACAGACACACCACCACACCCAGCTAATTTTTTTTGTATTTTTTAGTAGAGACAGGATTTCACCATGTTGGCCAGGCTGGTCTTGAACTCCTGACCTCAGGTGATCCACCTGCCTCTGCCCCCCAAACTGCTGGGGTTACAAGTGTGAGCTACCGCGCCCGGCCATGATTTTATTGTTTTTAATTGACATCCTGGGTTCCTCCTCTCTTGCTTTCAGTCTCTTAGCTACCTAACATCCCTCCTTATCAGCCACCAATTCATGTATTCAGTCTGTCTGTCTTCCTAAGTTTTGGTCGTATATTTCATATTCTCAGATACTAAAGCTAGGCACCCTAAAATACACAAAGCCTCCCTGGGAAAGGAAATTTTTGCTACAGAATCAGCTACAGCACAATATTGTCTTGGTAAGGTTTTTCTTTGGTGGTGGTTGTTTTTTAAGACTAACTTCTCAAAGACAGGGAGTTTATTTCAGTGACTCTAGTTCATTTACACAGTGTAGGAGGTACTTATGGCTTGTTGGTCTATGTAACTTGAAGTCAAGCAGTCTGTTTTGTTTTGTTTTAGGTCTTTCCTTTATTCCACTATTTTTGGTGCACTGTGCACAGCCATGCTGTACTGTCTTCTATGGAAACCCTACTAACCATTTGCCGTTATTATTTTAGCTTGGCTCCACCAGGGGTGGGAAGGTAAGGACAAACATATCATTCTAGGTTCTTCCCCAACTCATACTTCAAACCCCATTCTAGAAGAGATGTAATTAATCACCTCCCCTTAGGTCTGTCAGATACTCTGAACAGGTGATCTTGTAGCTGCATCTCTGAAGCTGTGAAACAGAGGCTTTAGCTGTATACATATTCAACTCTCCCTCTCCAAGTCAACAGAGTACGAAGTAAACACACAGTTGCTGAAAATAACTCAGCCCATGAGACCAGCTCCAAAATGCAACTGCAATTGACAAGCCTTGAGGTCTATCAACAAGGGATAGACAAGGAATAAACATACATGGCTACTGCCACAGAACCAGCTGGGCTGTTTATAACCACGAGGGATTCTTCAGGGACTCCAGGCTAGGACTGCAAGTGTTTTCAGGAATAAGTGGGATCAGCTGTATGGGCTATTTAAAGTATTGGATATGGGCTGGGCACATTGGCTCACTCCCGTAATCCCAGCACTTTGGGAGGCCGGGGTTGGGGCAGTGGGATGAAGGGTGGGGGGCGAGTGTGGATCACCTGAGGTCAGGAGTTTGAGACCAGCCTGGCCAACATGGCAAAACCCTGTCTCTACTAAAAATACAAAAAAAATTAGCTGGGTGTAGTGGTGCGCTCCTGTAGTCCCAGTGACTCAGGAGGCTGAGGCGGGAGAATCGCTTGAACCCGGGAGTCGGACATTGCAGTGAGCCAAGATTGCACCACTACACTCCAGCCTGGGTGACACAGTGAGGCTCCATCTCAAAAAATAAAAATAAAAATAAAATAAAATAAAATATTGAATATGGAGTGAGGCATGTATCTTTGAGTGCTCTTGCTCAGTAAAATTGCTAAATGGGGAGGAATTTTCTTTCTTTCTCCTGGAAAACCAACCTCGGATGGTTTCTAATACACTCCTCCATCCCTGTATTCTATGCTCTGTAAATGAAACTGATTCTACATGTCAGACAGTAGTGCAGATTTTAATTCTCCTCACTGGCTTCCCTTGGTGCTAGGATGAAACACTTGATTATATATATACATATATGTTGCCTAGGCTGGAGTGTGGTGACTGTTCACAGATGCTATTGTAGTGCACTGTGGCTTCAAGTGATCCGCCTGCCTCAGCATTTTGCGTAGCTGGGACTATAGGTGCACCACCATGCCTGGCTTTTTGCTCCCGCTTTATTGAACTCCCTTTAGCTGGGTTTCCATAGGTAAGGCAGAGAATTTCTTTTCTTTTTTTTTTTTTTTTAAAGAGCGTCTCGCTCTGTCACCAGGCTGGAGTGCAGTGGCGTGATCTCGGATCACTGCAACCTCTGCCTCCCGGGTTCAAACGATTCTCCTACCTCAGTCTCCTGAGTAGCTGGGACTACAGGTGCGTGCCACCACACCTGGCTAATTTTTTTTTTGTATTTTTAGTAGAGACTGGGTTTCACCATCTTGGCCAGGCTGGTCTCGAACTCCTGGCCTCAAGCAATTCACCCACCTCAGCCTTTCAAAGTGCTGGGATCACAGGCATTAAGCCATGGTGCCTGGCCTAAAGGAGAGAATTTCTTCCTGATGAATTTTTTAAATAAAAAATGTTAATACCTTTATTGAGATAGAATTCACATACCATAAAATTCATCCACTTAAGTGTACAATGTAATGGTTTTAGTATATTCCCAAACTGTGTAGTCATCACTATGTTCTAAATTTCCAACATTTTCATCACCCTAAATGAAATGCTATATCCATTAGTAATCATTCCCCATCCTCCCCTAGCCTTCAATCCTTCCAGCCCTAGGCAAACCCTAATCTACTTTCTGTTTTTATAGATTTGCCTATTCTGAACATGTCATATAAATAAAATCATACAAAATATGACTTTTGCATCAGGTTTCAGTCAACTGCAGTAACATTTTTAAGGTTCAGCCACATTATAGCATCAGTATTCATTTCTTTTTTCTTTTCTTTTTTTTTTTGGGACAGAGTCTCACTCTGTCACCCAGGCTGGAGTGCAGCAGCACGATCTCAGCTCACTGCAACCTCCACCTCCAGAGTTCAGGCGATTCTCCTGCCTCAGCCTCCCGAGTAGCTGGGATTACAGGTGTGCACCACCACACCCGGCTAATTTTTGCATTTTTGGTAGAGACAGGGTTTCACCATGTTGGCCAGGCTGGTCTCCAACTCCTGATCCACCTGCCTCGGCCTCTCAAAGTGCTGGGATTGCAGGCATGAGCCACTGCACCCAGCCCCCAGCATCGGTAATCATTTCTTTATTTTTTTTATTTATTATTTTTTTTTGGAAACAGAGTCTTGCTCTGTTGCCCAGGCTGGAGTGCAATGGCATGACCTCGGCTCAGTGCAACCTCTGCCTCCCATGTTCAAGCAATTCTCGTGCCTCAGCCTCCCAAGTAGCTGGGACTACAGGCACATGCCGCCTTGCCCAGATACTTTTTTGTGTTTTAGTAGAGACAGGGTTTCACCGTGTTGCCCAGGCTGGTTTTGAACTTTTGACCTCAGGTGATCCACCCGCCTTGGCCTCCCAAAGTGCTGGGATTACAGGCATGAGCCACGGCGCCTGGCCTTTTAAATTTTTTTGTTAGAGATAGTCTTACTTTGTTGTCCAGGTTGGTCTCAAACTCCTGGCCTCAAGCAATCCTCCGCCTTGGCCTCCCAAAATGCTAGGATTATAGGAGTAAGCCACCACACCTGGCCTTTGTTCTTCTTTTTTTTTTAATCTTTGTTTTATTTATTTATTTTTTTTAGATGGAGTTTCACTCTTGTTGCCCAGACTGGAATGCAATAGTGTGATCTTGGCTCACTGCAACCTCCATCTCCCAGGTTCAAGCGATTCTCCTGCCTCAGGCTCCTGAGTAGCTGGGATAACAGGCATGTGCCACCACACCAAGCCAATTTTTTGTTTAGTAGAGACAGAATTTCACCAGGTTGGCCAGGCTGGTCTCGAACTCTTGACCTCAGGTGATCCACCTGCCTCGGCCTCCCAAAGTGCTGGGATTACAGGTGTGAGCCACCGTGCCTGGCCTAATTTTTTGTTTGTTTCTTTTTTAAAGATTGTTTGAGCTAGTGTGGGTCCTTTATGTTTTCATATGATTTTTAGGATCAACTGGTCAATTTCTGCAAAAAAAGCCAATTAGAATTTTGCTAGGGATTGCATTGAATTTGTAGATCTATTTGAGGAGTACTGCCATATTAATATTATGTCTTTCAACCATGAACACAGGGTGTTTTTCCATTTATCTCGATCTTCTTTATTTAACAATGGTTTGTTCTGTTCAGTGTACAAGTTTTTTTTGTTTGTTTGTTTGTTTGTTTTGTTTTTGAGAGAGTCTCGCTCTTATTGTCCAGGCTGGAGTGCAATGGTGTGATCTCACTGTAACCTCCACCTCCCGGGTTCAAGTGATTCTCCCACCTCAGCCTCCCGAGTAGCTGGGATTACAGGCACACATCACCATGCCCAGCTAATTTTTGTATTTTTGGTAGAGACAGGGTTTCACCATGTTGGCCAGGATGGTCTCAATCTCTTGACCTCATGATCCTCCCGCCTCAGCCTCCCAAAGTGCTGGGATTACAGGCATGAGCCATTGTACCCAGCTGGACTTGTTTTCTTAATTTCATTCTCAGAATTTTCATTGCTTGCATATAGAAATTTTCATTGCTTGTATATAAAAATATAATTAATTTTTGTTACATTGGTCTTATAGCTTACAACTCTGCTGAACTTACTTATTAGTTCAAGTGGGTTTTTTTAGTGTATTCCTTAGGGTTTTTCACATATCAGATCACACAGGTTAAGGACGTGCATTGGCTGTGGCTGAGCGGGTTGCAGAAAACTGCTGCCTGCATGAAGAAAGTCTCCTCTGCCTTCCCTTTTCAGCTCATCACCAGCCCTGGAGCTCACCAGCATGTCTGTGGTACCTACCACCTAATCACTCGCAGACTAGCTGACCGCAGAGGGAGAGCCCGATCAGTTCAGCAACAAGTACAACCAGCAGACCAAGCCCCTCATCCTGGAGCACACCATCAAATTGTATCCTATTATCAATTATAGTTTTTTTGTTTTGTTTTGTTTTTTTGTTTTTTTTTTTTTTTGAGATAAAGTCTTGCTCTGTTGCCCAGGCTGGAATGCAGCGGCACAATTTCGGCTCACTACAACCTCCGCCTCCTGGGTTCAAGCGATTGTCCTGCCTCAGCCTTCCACCTAGCTGGAACTACAGGTGTGTGCCACCACACTCAGCTAATTTTTGTATTTTAGTAGAGATGGGGTTTCACCATGTTGACCAGGCTGGTCTTAAACTCCTGACCTCAAGTGGCCTCCCCACCTCCGCCTCCCAAAGTGCTGGGATTACAGGCGTGTGCCACTGTGCCTGGCCATCAATTATACTTTTGGTACAAAAGAGCCCCTCTATGAGAAAGACAGCTCTGTCTCATCCAGATTTCAGCAAATGAGGGAAGAATTGGATAAAATTGGAATGAGGAGTAACATAGCAGGGGATTCTGATTGTTTACAAGCACTGGTGTGGCTACTCTATGTATTACTGCTACTGCTGGGAGCAACTTTCTTCAAGTTGGTGAAGGCCAGGCGGTAGGTGAAGGCCAGGTTGGTGAAGGCCCTGGTGGTAGGCCAGGCACCGTGGCTCACATCTGTAATCCCAGCACTTTGGGAGGCCGGGGCAGGTGGATAGCTTGAGGTCAAGAGTTCGAGACCAGCCTGGCCAACATGGTGAAATCCCATCTCTAGTAAAAATACAAAATTAGCCGGGCGTGGTGGCATGTCCCTGTAATTCCAGCTACTCGGGAGGCTGAGGCAGCAGAATCGCTTGAACCTGGGAGGCAGAGGTTGCAGTGGCGGAGATTGCACAAATGCACTCCCTGGGTGACAGAGCGAGACTCTGTCTCAAAAAAAAAAGAAAAGAAAAAAAAAAAATATATATATATATATAACCTGATGGTGAACTTAGCCCAGGAAAAGGTGAAGTTGAAGGACTAAAATGCTTAATGACTGGGATACTGAGTCATCAAGATGGAGTTCTGAAAGATGCAAGACTGGGTCATACTGCATTGGTAACTGGTGGAGACCAAATATCCATATATTCCTGCATATATTACAAAGCCTAAGGAACATAAGAAGTTGTTTCTGGCTCAACTTCAAGAAAAAGCCTTGTTTGCAATCTCTAAAAATTACAAGCTCATAGCTACACCATTGTTTGAATTGTATAACAATGCACTAGGGTATGGACCTATTGTTTGCAGTCTCCCTCAGCTGTTGAGCAGTTTCAAATTTATATACAATGGAATTCCTGTGCAGTGGAGAAGTAAAAGAAGCCATTTCTGTGAACATAGCTATACAGTGTAGAAGAATAAATGTGATAGAAAAGATTTTTGGGCTGGGATCACACCTGTAGTCCCAGCACTTTGGGAGGCTGGGGCAGGATAACTGCTTGAGCCCAGGAGTTCTAGACCAGCCTGGGCAACAAAGTGAGACTCTGTCTCTACACACACCACACACACACACATTAGCCAAGTGTGGTGGTATGCACCTGTGGTCCCAGCTATTCAGGAGGCTGAGGCAGGAGAATTGATTGAACCCAGGTAGTTGAGGTTACAGTGAGCCATGTTCGTGCCACTGCACTCTAGCCTGGGTGACAGAGAGAGATGGTGTCTCAAAATAAGGTTTTTTGTTTTATTTCTTTCCTGATCCCTAAATTGACACCTATTTCCCTCCCTCCCTTCCTCCCTCTCTCTCTTTCTTTCTTTCCTTCTTTTTTTTTTAGACGGGGTCTTGCTCTGTCACCTAGGCTGGAGTGCAGTGGCACGATCTCAGCTCACTGCAACCCCCGCCTCCCGGGTTCAAGCGATTCTCGTGTCTCAGCCTCCCGAGTAGCTGGGACTACAGGCATCTGCCACCACACCCGGCCTGCCACCTATTCTCTATTGTTTAAATAGTAAAATTAATATAAAGAACTAGATAGTGGGGTAAAGAAATATGATAATGCTTATGTACTTTTGGTTCTACTTATACTTTTTTTGTACAACATTCAAGAAAATGGACTTCAATAATAATAGAAAGATCATGTCATATACAAATAGAGATAGTTTTATTTTTTTAGCTCCCATTTTGAATGCTTTTTTTTTTTTTTTGAGAGGTGGCTCACTGCCACCTCTGCTTCCTGGGCTCAAGGGATCCTCCCACCTCAGTTTCCCAAGTAGCTGGGACAACAGGCACATGCCACCATGCCTGGCTAATTTTTTGCATTTTTGGTGGAGACGGGGTTTCTCCATGTTGCCCAGGCTGGTCTTAAACTCCTGGGCTCAAGCTATCCACCCGCCTTGGCCTCCTGAAGTACTGGGATTACAGGCAAGAGCCACTGCGCCCGGCCAACTTCATCTATTTTTCTTGCCTAATTGCCCTTTCTAAAACCTCCAGGACCATGTTGAATACAACTGGCAAGAGCGGGCACACAAGTTTTGTTGTTGTTGTTGTTGCTGTTGTTTCTTGAGATGGAGTCTCACTCTGTCACCCAGGCTGGAGTGCAGTGGTGCAATCTCAACTCACTGCAACCTCCGCCTCCTGGGTTCAAGTGATTATCTGCCTCAGCCTCCCAAGTAGCTGGAATTATAGGCACCTGCCCCCATGCCTGGCTAATTTTTGTATTTTTAATAAAGATGGGGTTTCACCATATTGGCCAGGCTGGTTTTGAACTCCTGACCTTGTGATCCATCTGCCTCGGCCTCCCAAAGTGCTGGGATTACAGGCGTGAGCCACCATGCCCGGCCCAGACACTTTTTAAGAGGCCTGCACTCCAGCCTGGGTGACAGAGCGAGACTCCGTCTCAAAAAAAAAAAAAAAAAAAAAAAAAGGCTTTATTTTACCTAGACCTGTTAGAAAGGATCTAATAAACAATGGCAGAGAAAAAAATAAAGCTTCCTACCTGTCTTGGGGACAGAAAGAGATTCAACTACCTTTTTGGGGAAATTATTATTATTTTGAGACAGAGTCTCCCTCTGTCACTCAGGCTGGAGTGCAATGGCATAATCTTGGCTCACCACAACCTCTGTCTCCTGAGTTAGTTATTCTCCCATCTCAGCCTCCCGAGTAGCTGGGATTACAGGCACGCGCCACCATGCCCAGCTAATTTTTTAATTTTTAGTAGAGACGTGGTTTCACCATATGGGTGAGGCTGGTCTCTAACTCCTGACCTCAGGTGATCCACCTGCCTCAGGCTCCCAATGTGCTGGGATTACAGGCGTGAGCCACCTCGCCCAGCCAGGGAAATTATTTTTAGCTTTTATGCAGCTTAAGTGTCTTCTTTTTTTTTTTTTTTTTTGAGACGGAGTCTCACACTATGGCCCAGGCTGGAGTGCAGTGGCACGATCTCGGCTCATTGCAAGCTCCGCCTCCCGGGTTCATGCCATTCTCCTGCCTCAGCCTCCCAAGTACCTGGGACTACAGGCACCTGCCACCACGCCCGGGTAATTTTTTGTATTTTTAGTAGAGACAGGGCTTCACCGTGTTAGCCAGAGTGGTCTCGATCTCCTGACCTCGTGATCCGCCTGTCTCAGCCTCCCAAAGTGCTGGGATTACAGACGTGAGCCACCGCGCCCAACCCTTTTTTTTTTTTTGAGACAGGTTTTTTTCAATATTAGGTTCATTGACACACATGGCATATGTCTTCTTTTAGGTTTTTCAGTGATGTTTTGTATTCTCCATAAAACTTTTACATTTATATAATTTTTTTTTCAGGCACAATGTTATGTGCTGGATATAGAGTTGTGAACTAAACAGATATGGTTCCTGACTCTGGGGATTGCAGTCTAGTTAGACTGACAGCCATACACGAAATGCAAGTTCCACTTAAAAATGCTACAATAGGCCGGGCGTGGTGGGCTGACGCCTGTAATCCCAGCACTTTGTGAGGCAGAGGTGGGCGCATCACCTGAGGTCGGGAGTTTGAGGCCAGCCTGACCAACACGGAGAAACCCCGTCTCTACTAAAAATACAAAATTAGCCGGGCATGGTGGCACACACCTGTAATCCCAGCTACTCGGGAGGCTGAGGCAGGAGAATCACTTGAATCTGGGAGGTGGAGGTTGCGGTTAGCCAAGATTGCACCATTGCACTCCAGCCTGGGCAACAAGAGTGAAACTTCATCTCAAAAAAAAAAAGCTACAGTAGATTAATAATTATAATAATTGTAGTCATTTTACAGAGCACCAATTTTGTACCAAGCACTATTTTAAGTACTTCATATATAGTAATTTATTTAATCCTTCCAACATTCCTATGATATAGGTTTTATTATTATTATTTTTGAGATGGAGTCTCGCTCTGTTGCCCAGGCTAGAATGCAATGGCACAATCTTGGTTCACTATGCCTCCGCCTCCCAGGTTCAAATGATTCTCCTGCCTCAGCCTCCCAAGTAGCTGGGATTACAGACTCCAGCCACCACCCCCAGCTAATTTTTGTATTTTTAGTAGAGACGGGGTTTCACCATGTTGGCTAGGCTGACTTCGAACTCCTGACCTCAAGTGATCCACCCACCTCTGCCTCCCACAAGTGCTGGGATACAGGCATGAGCCACGGCGCCTGGACAGGTTTTATTATTTTATCTATTTTGCAGTTGAAGAACAGAGGCCTGGAGTGGTTATTTTCTCAAGATCACACAGCTAATAAGTTATGGAGCCAGGATTTGAACCCAGGGACTTCATCTCCAAAGCCTGTGTTTTTTTTTTGAGACAGAGTCTCACTCTGTCACCCAGGCTGGAGTGCAGTGGTGTGATCTCAGTTCACTGCAACCTCTGCCTCCCGGTTTCAAGTGATTCTCCTGCCTCAGCCTCCCGAGTAGCTGGGATTACAGGCATGCACTGCCACGCCTGGCTATTTTTTTTGTACTTTAGTAGAGACGAGGTATCACCATATTGTCCAGGCTAGTCTCGAACTCCTGAGCTCAGGCAATCCTCTATGTTCTGAATGGGCAAAATGTTTGGAGACCCAGAAACATTTTTACGGATTGTAAAAATCCTGAGTTTAGCTGTACCTTAAAGGAGTAGTGGATTTTTTTTTTTTTTTTTTTTGAGACAAAGTCTCACTCTGTCGCCCAGGCTGGAGTGCAGTGGTGCGATCTTGGCTCACTGCAACCTCTGCCTCCCGGGTTCAAGCGAGTCTCCTGCCTTAGCTCCTGAGTAGCTGGGATTACAGGCAGGTGCCAGCACGCCCGGCTAATATGTATTTTTAGTAGAGACGGGGTTTCACCATGTTGGTCAGGCTGGTCTCGAACTCCTGATCTCGTGATCCACCTGCCTCAGCCTCCCAAAGTACTGGGATTACACGCATGAGCCACCGTGCCTGGCCAAGGAGTAGTAGAATTTTAAATAACAGATGGAAAAGCTTCCAAGGTATTCCAAATACAAGGAAAAGCTGAGTAGAAGTTAAGGAGTAAGCACACAACCTGCAGTCGTCCTGGGTGGGGAAAGGTGGGTGGGAAAGTAAATGAAACGTGACAGGCTGAAAAAGTAGGTTGAGGCCAGGTTGCAAAGGAGTTTGAATACCCTGCTCTGAGAGTTTAAATTCTACCAAACAATGAATCCATAAATACCTGGTGTTTGGAAGTTATTTATTATACTTTAAGTTCCAGGGTACATGTGCACAACGTGCAGGTTTGTTACATATGTACACATGTGCCATGTTGGTGTGCTGCACCCATTAACTCGTCATTTACATTAGGTATATCTCCTAATGCTATCCCTCCCCACTCCCCCTACCCCATGACAGGCCCCAGTGTGTGATGTTCCCCTTCCTGTGTCCAAGTGTTCTCATTGTTCAATTCCCACCTGTGAGTGAGAACATGTGGTGTTTGGTTTTTTGTCCTTGCAATAGTTTGCTGAGAATGATGGTTCCAGCTTCATCCATGTCCCTACAAAAGACATGAATTCATCCTTTTTTATGGCTGTATAGTATTCCATGGTGTATATGTGCCACATTTTCTTAATCCAGTCTATCATTGATGGACATTTGGGTTGGTTCCAAGTCTTTGCTATTGTGAATAGTGCCACACTAAATATACGTGTGCATGTATCTTTATAGCAGCATGATTTATAATCCTTTGGGTATATACCCAGTAATGGGATGGCTGGGTCAAATGGTATTTCTAGTTCTAGATCCTTGAGGAATCACCACACTGTCTTCCACATGGTTGCACTAGTTTACAGTCCCACCAACAGTGTAAAAGTGTTCCTCTTTCTCCACATCCTTTCCAGCACCTGTTGTTTCCTGACTTTGTAATGATCGCCATTCTAACTGGTGTGAGATGGTATCTCATTGTGGTTTTGATTTGCATTTCTCTGATGGCCAGTGACGATGAGCAGTTTTTCACGTGTCTGTTGGCTGCATAAATGTCTTCTTTTGAGAAGTGTCTGTTCATATCCTTTGCCCACTTTTTGATGGGGTTGTTTTTTTCTTGTAAGTTTGTTTGAGTTCTTTGTAGATTCTGGATATTAGCCCTTTTGTCAGATGAGCAGATTGCAAAAATTTTCTCCCATTTTGTAGGTTGCCTGTTCACTCTGATGGTAGTTTTTTGTTTTGTTTTGTTTTGTTTTGAGAGTGTTTCGCTCTGTCACCCAGGCTGGAGTGCAGTGGCATGATCTCTGCTCACTGCAAGCTCCACCTCCTTGGTTCACGCCATTCTCCTGCCTCAGCCTCCTGAATAGCTGGGACTACAGGCGCCCGCGACCACGCCCGGCTAATGTTTTGTATTTTTAGTAGAGACGGGGTTTCACCGTGTTAGCCAGGATGGTCTCAATCTCCCTACCTCGTGATCCACCCGCCTCGGCCTCCCAAAGTGCTGGGATTACGGGTGTGAGCCACTGCGCCCAGCCTCTGATGGTAGTTTCTTTTCCTGTGCAGAAGCTCTTTAGTTTAATTAGATCCCATTTGTCAATTTTGGCTTTGACTTCTTTAAGGAGAACTACAAACCACTGCTCGACAAAATAAAAGAGGACACAAACAAATGGAAGAACATTCCATGCTCATGGATAGGAAGAATCAATGTCGTGAAAATGGCCACAATGCCCAAGGTAATTTATAGATTCAATGCCATTCCCATCAAGCTACGAATGACTTTCTTCACAGAATTGGAAGAAACTACTTTAAAGTTCATATGGAACCAAAAAAGAGCCCGCATTGCCAAGACAATCCTAAGCTAAAAGAACAAAGCTGGGGGCATCACACTACCTGACTTTAAACTATACTACAAGGCTACAGTAACCAAAACAGCATGGTACTGGTACCAAAACAGAGATATAGACCAATGGAACAGAACAGAGCCCTCAAAAATAATACCACACATCTACAACCATCTGATTTTTGACGAACCTGACAAAAACAAGAAATGGGGAAAGATTCCCTATTTAATAAATAGTGCTGGGAAGACTGGCTAGCCATACATAGAAAGCTGAAACTGGATCCCTTCCTTACACCTTATGCAAAAATTAATTCAAGATGGATTAAAGACTTAAATGTTAGACCTAAAACCATAAAAACCCTAGAAGAAAACCTGGGCAATACCATTCAGGACACAGGCATGGGCAAGCACTTCATGTCAGTTTATTTTTTGAGATGGAATTTCACTCTTGTTGCCCAGGCTGGATTGTAATGGCGCGATCTCAGCTCACCGCAACCTCCACCTCCCGGTTCAAGCAATTCTCCTGCCTCAGCCTCCTGAGTAGCTGGGATTACAAGGATGCGCCACCACACCTGGCTAATTTTGTGTTTTTAGTAGACGGGGTTTCTCCATGTTGGTTAGGCTGGTCTTGAACTCCTGAACTCAAGTGATCTGTCCGCCTAGACCTCCCAAAGTGCTGGGAATACAGGCGTGAACCACCATGCCCAGCCCGTGCTTGGAAGTTATCAGAAAAAAAATCTTAGGGAACTCAAAACTGTTTCTAAAGTTGGTATGAACTGTAAGGGAAGAATATCTATAACTACTCTGGTTTCCACATCCAGCTTTGGTAGAAATTGGCTCTACTGTGTAGGGGATTTAGAATTGGGTGGGAGGCCCACACCACATGGCTCAAATGCTATTGAGAGGTGACAGTGTTCTGACAGCCCTCGCTCGCTCTCCGAGCCTCCTTGGCCTCAGCGCCCACTCTGGCCACACTTGAGGAGCCCTTCAGCCCGCCACCGCACTGTGGGAGCCCCTTTCTGGGCAGGCCGAGGCCGGAGCTGGCTCCCTCAGCTTGCAGGGAGGTGTGGATGGAGAGGTACTAGCGGGAACCGGGGCTGCCTGCCGTACTTGTGGGCCAGCTTGAGTTCTGGTGGGCGTGGGCTTGGTGGGCCCGCACTCAGAGCAGCCGGCCGGCGCCTCCCGCCCCGGGCAGTGAGGGGCTTAGCACTCGGGCCAGCAGCGGAGGAGGGTGCGCCAGGTCCCCCAGCAGTGCCGGCCCGCCGGCGCTGCACTTCAATTCTCCCCGGGCCTCAGCTGCCTCCCTGTGGGGCAAGGCTCGGTCTGCAGCTGCAGCTGCAGTCTGCGATGCCTGAGCCTCCCCGTCGCCGCCGTGTGCTCCTGGGCAGCCCCAGCCTCCCCCGACGAGTGCCGCCCCCTGCTCCGCAGCGCCTGGTCCCATGGACCGCCCAAGGGCTGAGGAGTGGGGGCACAGGGCGCAGGACTGGTGGGCAGCTCCCCCTGCGGATGCAGTGGAGTATCCACTAGGTGAAGCCAGCTGGGTTCCTGCGTCTATTGGGGACTTGGAGAACCTTTATGTCTAGCCAAGGGATTGTAAATACACCAATCGGGACTCTGTATTTAGCTCAAGGTTTGTAAGTGCACCAATCAGCACCCTGTGTCTAGCTCAAGGTTTGTAAATGCACCAATCTGCACTCTGTGTCTAGCTGATCTGGTGGGGACTTGGAGAACCTTTATGTCTAGCTAAGGGATTGTGAATACACAAATCGGCACCTGTCAAAACGGACCAATCAGCTCTCTGTAAAACAGACCAATCGGCTCTCTGTAAAATGGACCAATCAGGGTAGGGGGGGTGCGGTGGGGCAGATAAGAGAATAAAAGCAGGCTGCCGGAATAGGCAGTGGCAATCCGTTTGGGTAGTCTTCCTTGCTGTGGAGGTTTTGTTTTTTCACTCTCTGTAGTAAATCTTGTTGCTGATCACTTTTTGGGTGCATGCTGGCTTTATGAGCTGTAACGCTCACTGCGAAGGTCTGCAGCTTCACTCCTGAAGCCAGCGAGACCAGGAATCCACCGGGAGGAACGAATAAGTCCAGGCGTGCTGCCTTAAGAGCTGTAACACTCATGGCAAAGGCCTGCAGCTTCACTCCTGAAGCCAGCGAGACCGTCAACCCACCAGAAGGAAGAAACTCTGGACACGCCGCCTTTAAGAACTGTGACACTCACCGCGAGGGTCTGCGGCTTCATTCTTGAAGTCAGTGAGACCAAGAATCCACCAATTCCGAACACATTATTACCCTTCGTCATCATGTCCTGCCCACTCATTTTTTTTTTTAAGAGATGGTGTCTCTGAGTAGGCAAAGTGGCTTACTCCTGTAATCTTAGCATTTTGGGAGGCCGAGGTTGGAGGTTTGCCTGAGCTCAGTAATTCCAGATCAGCCTGGGCAATATGGTGAAACCCCATGTCTACTAAAACACGAAAAATTACCCAGGCGTGGTGGTGCACACCTTGTAGCCTCAGCTATGCAGGAGGCTGAGGTGGGAGAATCACTTGAACTCAAGAGGTGAAGGTTGCAGTGAGCCAAGATTGTGCCCTTGCACGCGAGCCTGCCTGGCAGAGCAAGACTCCATCTCAAAAAAAAAAAAAAAAAGATGGTGTCTAGCTCTGTTATCCAGGCTAAAGCACAGCACAGTGGCTATTAAGAGGTGTGATCATAGCGTACTGCAGCGCTGATCTCCTGAGCTCAAGCAATCCTCCTGTGTCAGCCTGCCAAGTAGCTGGGACTATAGTTGGCACTACTCTCCCGGCTCCTGCCCTTATTTTTAACTTAAAAACTAAATGGGGCCAGGCGTGGTGGCTCATGCCTGTAATCCCAGCACTTTGGAAGGCCAAGGTGGGCGGATCACTTTAGTTCTGGAGTTTAAGGCCAGCCCCACCAACATGGCAAAACTCTATCTGCTAAAAATACTACAAAACAATTAGGCAGGCATGGTGGCACATGCCTGTAATCCCAGCTACTCAGGAGGCTGAGACGCTAGAATCACTTGAACTCAGAGGCAGAGGTTGCAGTGAGCTGAGATTGTGCCACTGCACTCCAACCTGGATGACAGAGTGACACTGTCTCAAAACATAAATAAAATAATAAATTTAGAACATTTTAGTTTTATTTTGGAAAACAATTAAAAGTCATATATGAGTGTTTCATTTCTTTTTTTTTGAAGCAGAGTTTCGCTCTTATCGCCCAGGCTGGAGTGCAATGGCGCGATCTTTGCTTACTGCAACTTCTGTCTCCCAGGTTCAAGCGATTCTCCTGCCTCAGCCTCCCGAGTAGTTGGGATTATAGGTGCCTGCCATCATCCCTGGATAATTTTTGTACTTTTAGTAGAGGTGGGATTTCACCACGTTGACCAAGCTGGTCTTGAACTCCTGACCTCAGGTGATCCATCTGTCTTGACCTCCCAAAGTGCTGGAATTTCAGGTGTGAGCCACCAAACCCGGCTGAGTGTTTCACTGTGTAAAAGCAGATTATTGCACAATACCTACAAATGGTATACATATAATTTGTTGTTTTTTACATATATTATATTAAATAAATTTTAGGGGAAAAAATGCCACCAGGATTGGATCTTTCCCACAGAGCTCATATAGACTTCTCACAAAGCACTTGCATTATGCAGAAAGTTTGGGAGTGCACACAATTTGTTAAGCAGATTGTTACATAGCAATTATATAAGTGTTTTAGTATTTTTCATGTACATGCTTTAAATTTTATTTAAAAAGGCACTGTCATCATTTTTTTTAACAGACCACAGACACTAGTATATTCTAATATTTGGAAAGACAACTGGCTTTGGAGATCAGCAGCCTTGGAATTACATCTCAGCTTCACCACTTACTGGCTGTAGGAGCCAATCATCAGATAGATAAAGTAAGTTGACCATCTATAAAGTGGGGATAACAACTACGTTATGAAATTTGAGAGTAAGAATGTTTTCATTGGACATGCAGAGTTGCATCACAAACACAAATATATCCACATTCCACAGATTGAACTATGCATGTTTAGTAAACCAAATCGAAACATTTAAACCACAACTTTCTTTTAACTCTGAAGTTAATCCATTTTCACAGCCCTAATTCTATTCTCAATCATTCCTAATCTTTTGAAAGTGATTTGGAAACCAGTATGTTATTGTTTACCTACTTTTGGAATTTAGAGGGAGGATGTACGAGGCTCTAATCTAGGTCCCTTTACATATTTATAAGTTAATTCTCCTAACGACCTCATTAGGTAGGAGTGATTTTCCAGAGAAGATAACAGACCTGGCTCTTAAATGTGCCAAGTGAATGAAATTATTTTTTAAATAAAAATAAATGGAAATAACTTCATCCTTAGTTTTTTTTCTTAAGCAGAGTTTCCCTCTTGTTGCCCAGGCTGGAGTGCAATGGTGCAATCTCGGCTCACTGCAACCTCCACCTCCCCGGTTCAAGCAATTCTCCTGCCTCAGCCTCTCCAGTAGCTGGAATTACAGGCACGCATCACCACGCCTGGCTAATTTTTTGTATTTTTACTAGAGATGGGGTTTCACCATGTTGGCCAGGCTGGTCTTGAATTCCTGACCTCAGGTGATCCACCTGCCTCAGCCTCCCGAAGTGCTGGGATTACAAATGTGAGCCACCACACCCAACCAAAAGACAAATTTTTTTTTAAGACAAGTGTGGTGGTATATGCCTACAGTCCCAGCTACTCAGGAGGCTGAGGTGGGAAGATAGCTTGAGCCTAGGAGTTGGAGGCTTCAGGGAGTTATGATTGCACCACTGCACTCCAGCCTGGGCAACAGAGCAAGACTCCGTCTCAAAAAAAAAAAAAAAAAAAGGCAGGCGTGGTGGCTCTAGCCTGTAATCCTAGCACTTTGGGAGGCCAAGGCGGGTGGATCATTTGAGGTCAGGAGTTTGAGACCAGCCTGACTAACATGGTGAAAACCACACCTGTCTCTACTAAAAATACAAAAATTAGCTGGGTGTGGTGGTGCACACCTGTGATCCCAGCTACTTGGGAGGCTGAGGCAGGAGAATCACTTGAACTCCGGAGGTGGAGGGTGCAGTGAACTGAGATCATGTCACTGCACTCCAGCCTGGGTGATAGAGCCAGATTCCGTCTCAAAACATACACACACAAACACACACAGCATGGACTGCTACTTAAGCCTAAAACACAATTGTAAGCCTACCCCACTGTACTTTCTTTTTTTTTTTTTTTTGAGGCGGAGTCTCACTCTTTCGCCCAGGCTGGAGTGCAGTGGTGCCATCTCGGCTCACTGCAGCCTCTGCCTCCCGGGTTCAAGCTATTCTCCTGCCTCAGCCTCCTGAGTAGCTGGGATTACAGGCGTGTGCCACCCCGCCTGGCTAATTTTTATATTTTTAGTACAGACGGGTTTCACCATGTTGGTCAGGCTGATCTCAAACTCCGGACCTTGTGATCAGCTCTCCTCGGCCTCCCAAAGTGCTGGGTTTACAGGCGTGAGCCACCGCGCCTGGCCCCCACTGTACTTTGTATTTGGCCATAAAGAAATCTAGCTTCCTGAAGCCAGCTTCCATTCGGATTCCAGCTTTCTGGCTCCTATACGGGTTTGTGGTTTTCAATGGCCTACAGTTTAAATAGAAAGGACTAGAAAGCCTTCCTTAGCAGAAAAGAAAAGGGAGTATTCGTTACGCATCATGTAGTTTAGGACTTCAACCAGAAGGTGTCTCTGCAGCCAAGGGATAGGAATCTGGCCTCAAGAAGTAGAAGACTGGATTTTCTAGTTTGAGAAAAATTGTGGCAGAAATGAAGCAAACAAAGGTAAGTCAGCTACCTACAGAAACCAATCCCAATAGTATAAATTGTTCTTAGCCAACAGCTGAAAAGGCTGGTAGAAAACTTAAGCAAAACCCACTTTTTTTTTTTTTTTTTTTGAGACAGGGTTTCACTTTGCTGCCCAGGCTGGAGTGCAGTGGTGTGATCACGGCTCACAGCAGCTTTGACCTCCTGGACTCAAGTGATTCTCCCACCTTAGCCTCCCAAGTAGCTGGGCCACAGGCATGCACCACCATGCCTGGCTATTTTTTTTTTTTTACTTATTTTTGAGATGGAGTCTTGCTCTGTTGCCCAGGCTGGAGTGCAGTGGGGTGGCGTGATCTCGGCTCACTGCAAACTCCACCTCCCGGGTTCAAGCAATTCTCCTGCCTCAGCCTCCCGAGTAGCTGGGATTACAGGCGCCCACCACCACTCCTGGCTAATTTTTTGTATTTTTAGTAGAGACGGGGTTTCACCGTGTTAGCCAGGATGGTCTCATCTCCTGACCTCGTGATCCGCCCGCCGTGGCCTCCCAAAGTGCTGGGATTACAGGTGTGAGCCACCGCGCCCAGCCTCCTGGCTAATTTTTTTTTTTTTTTTGAGACGGAGTCTCGCTCTGTCCCCCAGGCTGGAGTGCAGTGGCACGATCTTGGCTCACTGCAAGCTCCACCTCCCGGCTTCAGGCCATTCTCCTGCCTCAGCCTCCCGCGTAGCTGGGATACAGGCGCTGGCTGCCACGCCCGGCTAATTTTTTTGTAGTTTTAGTAGAGATGGGGTTTCACCGTGTTAGCCAGGATGATCTTGATCTCCTGACCTCGTGATCCGCCCGCCTCAGCCTCCCAAGTGCTGAGATTACAGGCGTGAACCACCGTGCCCAGCCCCTCCTGGCTAATTTTTAATTTTTTTTGTAGAGATGGGGGTTTTGCTATGTTGCCCAGGCTGGTCTTGAACTCCTGGGCTCATGCCGTCGTCTCACCTCAGTCTCACAGAGTGTTGGGATTACAGGAGTGAGCCACTGTGCCTGGCTCAAAACCGACCCTTAATGCAAGGAAGCTGCTTTAAAAGCAGAGCATCTGTCCTGTCACCTGAAACACACCAGGCTGTGTGAAGGTGAGCTTTGAAAACTGAGAGGCAGTTCCCAAGGCAGGTGCTGCAGAAGAGACGGCTCTTCCGTGAGAATAGATGTGAAGATGAAGGGAAAGAAGAAAAATGCAGTTTTGTAAGTGCAGAGCTAGGGAAATAAGGAAAACTTTCACCCTAGGTAGACCTTTGAAGTATGCCTTCATTTTCGGTGAAACATGGTGACTTTCTAGAATCTAGGTACACTTTGATATTCAAGGGAAAGAAAAGGATCCAAATATGTCAATATCTTAATCAATATTTGTTGAATATCATATTTTTTACTTAGGAGAAATAAGTAAATTATAAGACAAAAATTAGTAGTATAAATATTAGAGAGTTGATTACAGGGTAACAAGGGATCCTCCACCTTAAGGAACACACTTTTATTAAAAATGTTGTCCTGGCCAGGTGTGGTGGCTCACGCCTGTAATCCCAGCACTTTAGGAGGCCGAGGTGGGTGGATCACCTGAGGTCGGGAGTTCCAGACCAGCCTGGCCAATATGGTGAAACTCTGTCTCCACTAAAAATACAAAAATTAACTGGGCGTGGTGACGGGTGCCTATAATCCCAGCTACTTGGGACTTGGGAGGCTGAGGCAGGAGAATTGCTTGAACCAAGGATGTGCAGGTTGCAGTGAGCCGAGACTGCACCGCTATACTCCAGTCTGGGTGACAGAGCGTGACTCCATCTCAAAAAAAAAAAAAAAAAGTTGTCCTAGATGATTTTTTTTCTTTACTAAATGTATTTTGCCATTGATTTTTCTTATAAAACCAAAGGTATATTTGCCCAAGGAAGACATTGATCCCAAATGATAATACAGTCACATCTAAGGTTGAAGAAGACCTTTTGAAAATTATACTTGGCCAGTTCAGTGGCTCACACCTGTAATCGCAACACTTTGGGAAGCTGAGGCAGAAGGATTGTTTGAGACCAATAATTTGAGACTGGCCTGGGCAACATGGCAAGACCCTGTCTGTATAAAAACATTAAAAGATTAGCCAGGGCCGGGCGCGGTGGCTCACGCCTGTAATCCCAGCACTTTGGGAGGCCGAGACGGGCGGATCACGAGGTCAGGAGATCGAGACCATCTTGGCTAACACGGTGAAACCCCGTTTCTACTAAAAATACAAAAAATTAGCCGGGCGTAGTGGCGGGCGCCTGTAGTCCCAGCTACTTGGGAGGCTGAGGCAGGAGAATGGCGTGAACCCGGGAGGCGGAGCTTGCAGTGAGCCGAGATCGCGCCACCGCACTCCAACCTGGGAGACACAGTGAGACTCCGTCTCAAAAAAAAAAAAAAAAAAAGATTAGCCAGGCATGGTGGTGTATACATGTAGTCCCAGCTACTCGGGAGGCTGAGGCAGGAGGATCACTTGAGCCCAAGAAGTTGAGGCTGCAGTGACCTATGATAGCGCCACTGCACTCCAGCCTGAAGATGTTTTGGATTATTCAAAGGATAATTAATAATAATCTAAAAATGTTTCAACCATATCCTAGAACATATGCAAAGTAATAAGGGCAATTTTTATGTTTTGCATCACAGCTTGAATGGCTACATTAAAAAGAACAATGTGGGCAGACTGAACAGAAAGTCGTTGACTGAAAGCTTACTTAGCTTCCCTTATACAACCTACCTGAGATATTTTCTAGCAGGAGACTAAGTAGTTATCCTTGGCTGCTCAGACCTGCTTCGGATGCCCTGGGGAAATTGGGATGTGACCAGGTGGATCTGAGAAAGACGAGGAAAAAGGCAAAAGCCACACAGCTGAGGTGGTGATGCAGAACACAGTCTTTTTATTATTATTATTATTATTTGTGACAGAGTCTTGCTCGGTCACCCAGGCTGGAGTGCAGTGGTATGATCTCAGCTCACTGCAACCTCTGCCTCCCAGGTTTAAGCCATTCTTCTGCCTCAGCCTCCTGAGTAGCTGGGACTACAGGTGCCCACCACCATGCCTGGCTAATTTTTGTATTTTTAGTAGAGGCGGCGTTTCACTGAGTTGGGCAGGCTGGTCTTGAACTCCTGACCTCAAATGATCCACCCACTTCGGCCTCCCAAAGTGCTAGGATTACAGGTATGAGCCACCATGTCCATCTAGAACACAGTCTTAAGAGAGAGAATGTGTGCATTCAGCTCACCCACAGAACCAGGGCATTTGGAGTGTTCAATGTGTGTCCAACAGTGCCTTGATTCCTATGTGATGGCAGAATTTATAATCAGCGAGTAATTTCCTTATTTGGGGAATTAGTAGCATGTAAATATACTACGATGTTGTCTTTTGGCATACAGAATTTCTGAATAATGCTCCTGTATCAACATTGCATGTATAAATTTAGCTTTTTTTCTTTTTTTTTTCAGAGTAGTAATGAGTTGGACCAATAAAAAGTGCAAAGCCTGGCTTTCTTCAAGTCCTCATGCTCCGAGAGTCTAAGGAGCAACATTGTAAGGCTGCAATTTTCTTTCAGGTTGCAGGTAAACTGCTCTGCAGGCAGCCTAAGTGTTCTTTGAAAATCACTGAAAATATGTGACATCTCACTGTTTGTATCACTCTCAGGTCAGACCTTAGGTCCTCAGACATTCTGTATCACTTCTAAAAGTTTCCAAGTTCCTATCACTGTCATTGAGAATAACTTGGTCTGCTCTTTTCAAATTCTGGAAACAGGACACAATGACATTACATAGGAAAATGTCTCGTTTTCCTCTTTGAATCTATCTTTTGCTTTTTCAGAAAAGGGTGAGTTGGTAATGATGGCTGATTAGGAGCTGGGTGAAGGGTCTATCTCTCTGCCTTTGTCTTGCATTACAGGGGCTCTGAGAATTCCACCCCCAAGCCACTCCTCTGAGTCTTCTTCAGGACAGGAACACAACACTTATAGGCCTGTATTTTGTTTTTTTTGTGAGAGGAGTTTTCACTGTGTTGCCCAGGCTGGAGTGCAATGGCACGATCTCGACTCACTGCAACCTTTGCCTCCTGGGTTCAAGCAATTCTTGTGCGTTAGCCTCCCAAGTAGCTGGGATTACAGGCATGCACCACCAAGTCTGGCTATTTTTTAAAGATTTTTGGTAGATACAGGGTTTTGCCATGTTGGCCAGGCTGGTCTCGAACTCCTGGCCTCAAGTGATCCACTCACCTCATCCTCCCAAAGTGCTGGGATTACAGGTGTGAGCCACTTGTGCCTGGCCAGGCCTATATTCTTTTTTATTCTTTTTTTTTTTGAGATGGAGTCTTGCTCTGTTGCCAGGCTGGAGTGCAGTGGCACGATCTCGGCTCACTGCAACCTCTGCCTCCTGGGTTCAAGCGATTCTCCTGCCTCAGCCTCCCGAGTAGCTGGGATTACAGGCATGTGCCACCATGCCCGGCTAATTTTTTTTGTATTTTTAGTAGAGACGGGGTTTCACCATGTTGGCCAGGATGGTCGTGATCTCTTGACCTTGTGATCCGCCCGCCTCGGCCTCTCAAGGTGCTGGGATTACAGGTGTGGCCTCAAGGGCCAGAAATACTTCTACACAATAAGCCATGATACTCTTCTTGGTGCTATTTACAAGTGAAGCCATCGCAGGCACTTCATTCAGTCTTACTGTCTTGTTGTCTTTATTCCTGCGCTTCTGCTACCTGCTCTGTCCTGCTTTCAAGACCTCTCAAAATACTCTTCTTCCCTGGGTCGAAACTGAGCCCAGTCACCCTGAACTTAATGGAGAGACCACTTTTCCTACTGGCTCCTACCTTGACAGGGATTATAATACAATGGGGAAGATCCTAGGTTCCAGAGGTAGGTTGCCTGGGTTTTAATCCCAGTTCTATCACTTTCTAGCTCTGTGATTTTGGCCAATTCCCCTAATCCCTATGTGCCTCATTTTCCTTATCTGCAAAATAGAGATATAATACAAACCATCTAATTAGGTTGTTGTGAAGATTAAGTGAGTTCCCTTAGGTACACTGTTTAGCATAACGCGTGGCAGATTGCTATTTCCTCTGAGTTTCTCTCAGAACCTAACTCAGTTCTTGGTACTCAATAAATCCTTATTAAACGTAAACATCTAAACTATTTTCCTTTTTGCCTGATGATCTCCTTTGATTACTCCCTTCTCTAATTTTCTATATTCTTTGTGCCAAAGAGGACTATTCTTCAAGGAGATCTCCAGCAAGTCTCTACCAAAGTCTCAATCAGAAACACCATCTAGTGACCTCAATCTATACAGGAAAGGAGCGTAAGTGACATAACACACAGCACACAGCATATGTTCTGGTCATTATTGAGGGACAAGAGTCATCTGCTTCTTCTCTGTGGAAATTAGAACAATGCTGCATTTTCTAGGTCCTTCCCAGAGTTGTTTTTGTTTTTGACACTCTTGAGAGAGTAGCAAAAGTTCTGATATTTGATGTTCGAATTACCTCCATTAGTGGAGGACACTCTGTGATCATACAGTCATCAGTAAGAATGGTTTCAGTGCTGCTCCTGCAGCTTCCACAGTGAAAGATTTTTTTATTTGCTTTACTAGCCAGCTAAGGTTTCTGTTGAGACACCCAGGGAGATGGTAAAACTGCAGCTGTAGCTGGGCACGGTGGCTCACGCCTGTAATCCCAGCACTTTGGGAGGCTGAGGCGGGGGGATCACGAGGTCAGGAGTTCGAGACCAGTCTGGCCAACATATCGAAACCCCGTCTCTACTAAAAATACAAAATTAGCCGGGCATGGTGGTGTGCGCCTGTAGTCTCAGCTACTCGGGAGGCTGAGGCAGGAGAATGGCTTGAACCTGGGAGGTGGAGGTTGTGGTGAGCTGAGATTGCACCACTGCACTCCAGCCTGGGTGACAGAGTGAGACTCTGTCTAAAAAAAAAAACAAAAACCCAAAAACTGCAGCTGTGAAGCCCAGCACCAAAGTTATAGTCCCTGCTAGAGGCAGCTGAGAGCCATGAAGTGATAGGAGAGGCAGGTCACACCCCATCATTTATCTGGGATGGAATGAGCTCAGCTGATGAAAGGGCTTAACCAATGCAAGAAGCCAAGGCCCACTTCATTCTTATCTTTAGTTGCTAATAAGGGAGCCAATTAGTGTTAATTGTGTTGGCAGTTTGGAACAGCTACCAGGGAATAGATCCAAGACCATTGTGGGATGACCCCTCTGTCCCATCTTAAGTCCCAGCCATTACTCATGGTTGGATAGGGAATTGGAGCACCAGGAGGTGTTCTTTGGTCAGCGAGTAAACACGAGTTATCCTTCCACACATTTACAGTGCCCTGGGTGTCAGTTTTTAATACTGTGCATGCAGTGACCTCACAATACAGTTCTACCATTGAGAGAGACATAGATATGGATGGATCAGGACTAGTCCAAAGGAATACATTTTAACATTGGAATATTCACAATCTTCCCTCCTTTCCACCCAGCCTGCCAAAGACTATTTTGTTGACAGTCTGATTTCCTACCTGCAACCCTCACCTAAAGCAGCTAAGTTAATCTATTTAATAAAGGGAAGGGGAGAGAGGAGGAGGAAGCCTGGGAGCTATGAAGGATGCAGGTAATAGGCAAGGGAAGAAAAAGAGATATGAAATTGCTGGAGTTATTAACTTGATGACCCTCAATGTCCTCGGAGAGTCACTAGGAAGGATGGAATTTTTATTATTTACTTATTTATTTTGCTTAACCGACTGTTGTTTAAACACGACGTGGTTCATTGGACAATGCGCACCACTGCTTCATCAGGGTTATACAAGCAACAGAAATAGTATGTAGGCACTCTGACAGACATCCCTGTAGAATTGTTCAGAGATGGGGGTGGTAGGAAGGAAAATGACGTACCTTCTTTGGCTGTCACCCACCCAATGACTGGAATGCCTGTTTGGACTGGCTTGTCCGCCCTTGAACACGCAAATCCTAGTTTCCCCATTCTCCTATATTCGGTGACAATTAGGTTGACTGTGCAGGGTGAGCTGGATTTTGTAAGAGGAAGGAATTTTACCGAAGAATTCCCCTGCGTTGTTACCAACTTGGTTACAGTTGCTTCAAGAGTGTAGCTATTCCTGCATTTGTGGCCTCAAGGGCTAAAGTGGGACAACGCTGGTATTTTTGGTGATGAGGAAACACTTTTTTTTTGTTAAGGGAGGTTGGGTGATCGTTGAACTGGGACAGAGGTCACAGCAGAGGTCACATTGGCGATTCGAGCGGCGGTGGGGGGTTGGCTTTGGGTCGGGCATCCTGCGCCCCCCACTCGGGAAAGGTGGCGGAGACTTCGAGGTTGGGGGCCCATCGAAGGTTCCCACCGCCAGCTCCCGGAGGGGGGCACCCGGGAGCCAGCGCCTCAGGAACCGGGGCCCACGCGGGAAGGTCGAGCCCGCCGGTGAGGTCACGGTTGCCATGGCTCCGGGCAGTGACGCGCGTCGGCACGTGACCCGCGGTTGCCATGGAGCCGGGCGCCGGTCGGCG
This sequence comes from Homo sapiens, assembly GCF_000001405.40. Lineage (NCBI taxonomy): Eukaryota > Metazoa > Chordata > Mammalia > Primates > Hominidae > Homo > Homo sapiens. The sequence continues at coordinate 117,098,526 of NC_000011.10, read as the reverse complement.
AAAGCGCCCCGCCTCCCCGAGTGACGTCCGCGGCCCCCCCTTTCCCGCCCCCCCTTGCCCCCTCCCCCGAGCCGGCTCCCCGCGGCCCCGGAGGTTTCACTGCACAACAAGATGGCGGCGGCGGCGGCGAGCGGAGCTGGCGGGGCTGCCGGGGCCGGGACTGGGGGAGCCGGGCCCGCGGGCCGCCTGCTGCCTCCGCCCGCGCCGGGGTCCCCAGCCGCCCCCGCTGCCGTGTCCCCTGCGGCCGGCCAGCCGCGTCCCCCAGCCCCGGCCTCCCGCGGACCCATGCCCGCCCGTATCGGCTACTACGAGATCGACCGCACCATCGGCAAGGGCAACTTCGCGGTGGTCAAGCGGGCCACGCACCTCGTCACCAAGGCCAAGGTACCGGCGCAGGGGCCAGGCGGCAGTCGGAGCGTGGCGGGGCCGGGAGAGGTCCGCGCCCCCCAGCCGGGGGGTCGGGGCGGCGAGCGCGGCGCGTGGTGGGAGCGTTGGGGGCCGGGAGGCGGGAGGGAGCCAGCCGCGGCGGGGCGGGCGCGGAGCTAGGGACACCTGGGACTCGAGACGGCGGAACTCCAAGCAGGGGGCCGAGGGCACAGAGCACCGGCGCCCAGGAGCCGGGCGCGGGGAGGGGTCCTCGGGGCTGAGGGCAGGCGGGTAAAGGGGATGATTGGAAAGAAGGGGTCGGAACTCCCCGAGGGCCGGGAGACTGTAAGCCCAGAAGACTCTGGAACCAGCAGCTAGGGAATCATAAGGGAATGAGGGCAGGGGCATATGAAATGTGGACCCGGAGGATGGGGAAAAACAAGGGTGAAGTGGCAGACCCGGGCTTGTAAGGGGACCCAGGACGGCTGGGGCACGGACTGGGAATGTGCACGTCTGCAGGGCGCTGGGAGGTCCCAGGATCCTGGTGCCTTAAGACAGAGACAGGAATCCGCATTTGATCATCTAAGACTGATAGATGGTGCGAAGGGGATCCCGAGGAGACACGATTAGTGGAGGAGGCAATGAGGAAAATGGGGAAATAAGGGGGAAATTGCTTTGCTTGTCCACAGGAAGGGGCCCAGGGAATGGGGGAGTGAGGTGGGGGTGGGGGCTGTCCCAGGTTTATGATGGCACTAGGTAGTCAGGGGTTAAACAATTTGGGAGAGCTGATTGCTGGTTATTTTTAGTTGTTGGAGGGTCGGGAATTGTGGGCTTTGTAGAACCCAGGGTGGGCTTTTACTGGTTGGGGGGAAGCTTGTGATTGAAGAACCCAGACACCGGGAGATTACACTCATCGAGCCCTTAGTTCTCAAAGGGATTTGAGGCGCTATAGGAGTGAAATTGGCCAAGGTCAATTAGGAAGCTATATATGTATGCATGTAAAATTCTTTGAGGAAATATGGTAGCACTTTCATGTAGCCTTCGTTGGGAGGACTGGAATCTAAGACATCAGGAGGAATCTTTTGGTTTTGGTGGAACCCGCAAAGCCCATTTTTACTCTAAAATTTTCTTTGCTCAATATCTTACTTGAATGAATACTTTTAATGTAGTCATTCATTATGTTTAGAACTGCAGCTTGTGTTTTCCCTCAGCCTGAGGAATGAAGAACCCTTACAGCTGCTGCCGCCTCCTACCAAAGCCACATCAATTCCCCTCACCTCCTCAGCCTAGCCTCTGGTTGTCATGACCTACCTTGTTTTTGCTTTTTTGGCAGTGGCTTGTTTTCTGAAGCCAGTGACTTATCTAGGCCTTCTCTCCTGATCACTTGCAACCTGAAGTTCCTTCCCCACCATCTTTCTGCCTGAGGCTACAAGGGGCCCTTCTTACCAGGGTGTCAGGGTGGGTGGCTGTGGCGAATTGATTGGTCAGTTTCACTTCCTCTGGAGGGCCCTCTTCAGCCTTTTTGTCCGTTTTTATCACAGGGCCTCCAGTCTGCAGGTCAGAGCTGAATGAGATACCAAAGTCCAGGGCTCCCTCAGACCCTGAGGGGAAGTCAGGGGAAGTCGATTGAGCCAAGACTTTGGTGTGCTCCTCACTTGCCACCCCAGCCCCTCACCGTGTTTCCAGTCTAGTTGACTATTAGCCAAGGCAAACTTACATTTACAAACAATATGCCTTGTTCCTTGTTTTGCTATTTCTTTCCTTTTTTTCTGCCTATTTTCTGTGTAATCACTTTGTGCTCCTGTGGTTATTTTGCTCTGACCTCTGGGGGATAGTCTCCATGAACTTAATTGGTTGCCTGGTTTATGGTTTCATGATTTAAAGAATTTTGAATCTTCCAGCCCTTGGATACACCAAAATATTGATAAAATCTGTTACAGACAGGGTTGAATGTTTTCGTAAATGTAATTGCAAACAGTTGATTCTTGGCTTTAATATAAAAGAGACATTTCTATCTTCAGTAGTCAGCAAAGCCAGTGCCTAATTATGGCTGGTCTGCCCGCTTTCTAATTTTCATGTGTGTGTATATGTGCGTGCGTGTGTTTTTCATAGTTTTTCTCTGAGACCTTGGTATCCTTTAGGACTGCAGCATTTTAAACACTGGCTTGTTTACAAACGGGTGTCACTGTTTATGTTGGTTTTTATCTTTGATCATTTGTGGTATGCAGTTGTGCAATTCCTATGTATGGAAATATTCAAAGTCTTGAATGAGACTGAAATGGCTTGGACAATGAGTTGCATGTGTGAAGGAGCCACACCAGCATTCATTTGTGTTTCTGTAGCAGTGTGCAATTTCCTAGTTACAGTTACAAGTGCTATATCTTTTGCTGCTTAAATTACTCTGACTACATGAGTGAAGCTTAATTCACAAGGAGTTGTCACGTGCTCTGGGTGAACTAGGAGCATATTTTGGCCTGCTCCATGCTTCTCTGAATCCACTTTGGAAGGGGTTCTCAAATGCGGACAGCTTAGATGTGCCTAACAGCTGTCGACATACAGTACGATGGCCTATTAAGGTTATGGTTTGGTTATATAACAATGGTGAAGGTGCATAGGTACTAGAAGTTGCCGAAGCTGCTGCTTCAGTTAACTCAGGTTGATTTTTTTTCTCCCCATGCACTGCAGCCTTTATCTTACTTCTGCAGAGGGGTCATTTGGAAACAGAGAGTTATTTTTTTCCCCCATCTGTCTCCAGAATGTGTCATTTGTTGTTTTGTCTTTTAGAGGTGTGTGATTTTTTTTTCCCCTTGTAGGAAATGGTCTGGGTTTTCTTATAACCATATATAACAGTCAGACAGAGGTAATTCAGATGATACTTGTGTTGGCTGAAGGAGGTTAGGTAATAGGTATTTTCTGAACATTAGAAATAATTATGATCCCCCTCCTTTTTTTTTTTTTTTTTTTTTTTAAACACACATGACCCATTCCAAGAACTAAGAGACTAAAGTAAACCTCATTTATTGAGTAGGATACTGCACTCCATCCAATACTGCGTGGTTAAGCTGGCCCTTTCCCAAATTCTGTTAACTCTCAAACCGTCTAGAGTGGGATCCTGGGATGAATAAAATCAGTAGAGAAAAGTGAAGCTTTTCCTATTTGGTTGTTGGTTACTTTTGCAGCACGGCATTCATGAGCTCAGACTTCATATTGGCAGCACTGCAGTGCTTAGAGCGGCACTGCAGAACAGTTACCAGGAGAGAATGTTCAGCTGTGACATACTTTGGTTAGTAGCTCACCCTGGCTGTCTTTGTCCTACCTGCTTTGATTTCCTTTTCTTTGGAAGAGCCTTACTTAGCCTGAGGTTCTCTGGCTCTGTTTTTTTTTTTGGTAGGAAACTATAAAGTATTACAGATATTTTTAAAAAAGAATGTTTTCTGCTCTCAAATTGCAGGTAGTCTGTTGCCTGTGCCTAATTATACCTTCACTAGTTGGATGATTGGGAACAAAGAGTAGATAGATTTTGTATGCATTTTTTTTCCTTTTTTAAAATATTGGGGCAGGGTCTTACTCTGTCACCCAGGCTAGAGTGCAGTGACACTGCCAGAGTTCACTGTAACCTCCAACTCCCAGGCTCAAGAGATCCTCCTGCCTCAGCTTCCTAAGTAGCTGGGACTACAGGCTTATACCACCACACCAGGTTAATTTTTAAATTTTTTTTGTAGAGATGGGGGTCTCATTATGTTGCCCAGGCTGGTCTTGAACTTCTGGACTCAAGTGATCCTCCTGCTTCAGCCTCCCAAAGTGCTGGGATTACAGGCATGAGTCTGTAACCCAAATGCTTGGCCCATATGCATTTTTTAAAGTATGCATGACTATAAAAGCCTTTGGCCAAATACGTTTAAACTATATTTCAACAAATATATATCACTTGCCTGTTATTGGTTTGTGGTAAGAGTTCCAGCTTTGGATAAAGCAACCTGAGTTTGAATCTTTTGCTGCTTAATAGTTGGATATTTTTAGGCTGTGAGAAGTTATTTAACTTCTGTGTGCTTGGGTTTCCTCATCTGTAAAGTGGGATGACAGTAGTACTTACCTCACAAGTTTAGGTGTTATGAAGATTAAAGAAGATAGTGTATGTAAAGCTCTTAGAGCAGCATGGTGCCCTAATAGCATGACGTAAATATTACCATCATCATCATCGTTATCAGATGTTTTAGTAACATAATAATATTATGGACATAATAATAGTCCTCCTTTTTTTGCTTCTCACCCCTTGGGCACGATTCATGAATGTATATGCCATTAGTTTTGTGTAGGTAGATGCCATCCTGACGATAGACTTTCCTGGTAAAAAAAAAGTTTGCTACTATTGCAGGTGCCACTTTGAGATAGTTGGATTTAATTTGTATAGGGTACAGGCTGGCTAATCTCATGAAATCAGCATTTTAAAACATAAATTTTCATTAGTTAAACTTTTTTTTTTTTTTTTAAATAGCAATGTGACTTATCTAATGAAAACTGTGACCAACACTGGCTTTTGCTTTGGGCTGCCTTGAATTTTCAGTGTGTTTTGTGTAACTAATTTTTGTTATGTTGATGATGGAACAGAGTTGAGTGCAGTCTTTTCTCCAGAGGTCCACTTAAATTAGGTTTAAGTGAAATATTTAAGAAATGTTTCTGCAAGCTTAAGGACACATTTGCCCTTGCGTGCACAAGCAAAGGCCTTAGACGGCCAAGGTCAGAATTCTTAACTTTAAATATTACACAGAGAAGACATTTTGCCCTATGACCCCTTTCCAAATATTGACTAGCCAGACACATCGGTGTGGTTTAGTGCAAACTCATTTCCATGAGGAGAACAAGTCAAAGTGGGCTAAAAGCATTATTTTCACCTCTAAAGAAGAGTTTAACGAAGCACATGAGATGATGCTTTCACCCATTAGAAAACTGAAAACAAGATTCATTTGGTAAGTAGGAGAGAATTATGTCAAAAAGAAATTGAAAGCAGAATTTACATTAGATACATTTGAGGAAGATAGCCCCATCCCTAGACAATCTAGAAGTGACTATTGAAAGATGATTATGTTCAGTTTGATACAGTGGTGATGGGGTTGCTAAACGTTTTTGAAATTTTGTAAAGAGCTAAGACTGATTGAGACTAGTCTCTCCAGAGTCAAAATACCAGTATTCCATTTTCTACATCAAAGATGTTTATTTTAACATTTTGACTTTGGTGCCAGCTCCCTAGAAAGTCATAGATCTCGCTCAAGCCAGAGGTGCCCAGACTAGTTATTTCTGTGCCAGAAGTGCTGTTTTCATTTTTCAGGCTTCAGTCTGGCTAATGTTTTCTAGTTCATCGCGTAAAAGAGAACAAAATGGATGCTTTGAAAAGAAAAAGAAATGCTTTCTACTCACCAGAGCCACTGTAACTGTAAAACAACACCTAAGACATCTGCATAGAGATGGAACCTTTCCCTTAATCATTTATTCATTCAACACATTTATTGAATGAAAATTTTTTGTCAGGTTCCATTCTAGGGTCTGGAGTGCACCAATGAACAAGGGAGACAAAAAGCATCTGCCTTTCTGGAGCTTTCTAGTAGAAGGAGACAGACAAGGGACATGTAAAAAAATTAAAAATTTCATATAGGAATGAATACCAGGAAGAAAATAAACGGACTAGAGAATCCCTGGGGGGGGCTGCTGCCTCAGATAGAGTGGTCAGGGAAGACCTTTCTTTCCAAGATGATGATATTTGAGCTGAGACCTGAGTGATGAGAAAAAGCCAACCTGGGAAGATTTGGAAGACAGAAGATTCCTTACAGAAGGAATGGCATGTGCAAAGGCCATGGGGCAGAAGTGAGTTTGGTTTGGTCAAAGATTAGACACAAGGTCATGATGCCATGGTACCTTAGCAAACAAGTGGAAGGATGGGAAAAGATGAGGCCAGACATGTAGGAGGGGCCAGATCATCTGGGTCTTATGGCCATTTTATGGAATTGGGTGTGACACGGGGGTGACATCAGAGAGTATCAAGCAGAACACTAATATCACCTAATTTATGTTTTTAAAACGTGGCTGGATGTGGTGGCTCATGCCTGTAATTCCAGTGCTTTGGGGGGGCATGAGGCAGGAGGATCACTTGAGGCCAGGAGTTCAAGACCAGCCTGGGCAACATAGTGAGATCCCATCTCTACAAACAATTTAAAAATTAGCTGGGTGTGGTGGTGCGCACCTGTAGCCTCAGCTACTTGGGAGGTGGAGGCGGGAGGATCACTTGATCCTGGGAGTCTGAGGCTGTGGTGAACTATGGACACACCATTGTATCCCAGCCTGGGTGACAGAGTGAAACCCTGTCTCAGGAAAACAAACCAAAAGAAAAACAGCAACTCATGCTGGTTATTTTATGGTTAAGAGCAAGAATCCTTTTCTGATGCATTTCTTGGCACAAGGGAGGAGTTCAGTTTTAACAACTTATATTCTTTCTCACTGTAGAGGAATATTGACATAAATTGCACATAAATTAAGCATGATCAACTAACAAGTATTTGTTGATTTATTGGGCATGAAAAAGACCTTAGAGAGGTTCTATTCTAGTTCTGTCTTCTCCACAGTCTGGAAAGACAGACTTAACAGAATTTATAATCTCAGGTTTTGCCTGGCATGGTGGCTCACGCCTGTAATTCCAGCACTTTGGGAGGCTGAGGCAGGTGGATCACCTGAGGTCAGGAGTTCGAGACCAGCCTGGCTAACATGGCGAAACCCTGTTTTTACTAAAAATACAAAAAATTAGCCAGGCGTGGTGGTACATGCCTGTAATCCCAGCTACTTGGGAGGCTGAGGCAGGAGAATTGCTTGAACCCAGGAGGCAGAGGTTGCAGTGAGCCGAGATCGTGCCGTCGCACTCCAGCCTGGGCAACAAGAGTGAAACTCCGTCTCAAAAAAAAAAAAAAAAAAAAAGAAAAAAAAAACCTCAGGATTTTACGGACTTTTAAAGTCATTTAGACCAATTATCCATTAGATTCATGGCTCATCTCTCTCCTCACTCCCATTTTCCCGGAGTCTTATAGGTAGTTAGTGGGGGAGCTGGAGTTAGAATCCAGTTATCACTACTCCTACTTAATTCTACCCTGACTTCTCTAATCACAGAAAACAGTGCCCTTGCCTTCTGAGCACTTGCTTTTTTACTGGGGAAGCGAGATACACCTATACCAATTAAAGTCTAAGATATTTATCCTTTCTATAAGACAAACCAAAAGCGAGATGTCATGATGAGAGGAAACATTTCCGAGTAGAGAGGAAGAGTAAATATTCCAACCCTGTATTTCACCTGTCCTTTGGCATTATACCACTCTGTCACCTTTGCCACTAACTTTTAGTACCCTATGGGTCCACTGCTTTGCCTTTAAATCTGCTAGTCAGATGCCCCTTGGCATGACTGAGATATGAAGAAAATGAAAAGGGAAAGAAGTAAACACAGCATGCAATGACCGTAAAAGTAGTCTGCCTTACGTAGTTTTCTCATGTCATTATATCTAGCTAACTCCTAGGGAATATTGGTAATTATACATTTGTTCTGCTGGGCTGGTCTGATCTACCTTTGAGGGTATGTTTCTTAGATGGGCTCCTCACTTACTAAATGACTAACACTTTCCAGGGATGGTGACATCTTATAACTCATTAAGAGAACTGGTCATCTAGATATATACCTTGATGACACAGGTGAGGGTCAAGAGAACCATTTATATCAAGGGTTCCTCTTTTTTTTTTTTTTCATTATCCTAAGTAAACACAAGAAGGAATTCTTCTTAATATAGTTCTAGTTTCTGGTCTGTGGGCTATGGCTGTTCTCCAGATGAATGATCTCACCTATCAGGTAGGTGAGTCCCTGGTTCCTCCTAATAGCGAGTAGCTTGGTCCCTTTCTGGGATAATAATGTAGTCATACAGTCCCGTGGATGACTGATAACATCAAGAGGGTGAAAATTATATACATTCAAATGGGCTTTTATCCTAATCTAATAAAATATTGCTAAATAAATGGCGTAGGCAATGTCCTTGAGAAGTCTCAACAGTCTTGAATGAATTAGCTTGAAAGACTTCTTTTGGATCTGTTCAGAATAGAATTGCGGAAGCGAGTACGGAACTGTTGGATGAGCCATCAGTAAGTTATGTTAGGAACATATTTGTGTTTAGCAGGTGTGTGATCCGTGGTAGACAAGGAGCCTCTGGACACTGATGGTATTTTATCTCAGACTTAGGCTTTTCAAAGAGGTAGGAATCAGATTGTGAATACTTAGCCACATTTCCCAGAAGTTGAAACGGAAAGAGAAGCAGACTCATTGCCTGTTGAAGCTTGTCTGTGTGGGCTGAGCTCACTCAGTTGGATACTTTCGGCCAGTTATTTTAAACTAAATTTAGGTTTTGATGAAGTTCTGAAAAATTATCAAATTTCTGTCTAGTTTCAGCTCCAGCGCATGTTTACCAGCAGTATACTTTACTTTTCATAGCTCCCCCCAGAATTGAATGTGAAAATGTAGGTTAGTTGCCCACATTTCTTGAGACGGAATTTTTTGGAGAAGAAATTTTTTATTCCATCCATCCATCCAATAAACGTGCAAAATTATCAGAAATAGAAATGGATGATATATGGCCCAAAATTCAAAAGGTACAAAGGAGCATTCAGTGAAATGAAGTCTTCTTGCCACCCCAATACCTGAGTCACACAGTTTCTTAGTCTTTTTTTTTTTTTTTTGAGACGGAGTCTCACTCTGTTGCCCAGGCTGGAGTGCAGTGGCGCGATCTTGGCTCACTGCAAGCTCCACCTCTCGGGTTCACGCCGTTCTCCTGTCTCAGCCTCCAGAGTAGTTGGGACTACAGGCGCCTGCCGCCACGCCCAGCTAATTTTTTGTATTTTTAGTAGAGACGGCGTTTCACCATGTGTTAGCCAGGCTGGTCTCGATTTCCTGACCTCGTGATCTGCCCGCCTCAGCCTCCCAAAGTGCTGGGATTACAGGCGTGAGCCACCGCGCCCGGCCAGCTTCTTACTCTTATAAACATTTATTAAGGGCATCTCTGGATTAGTCCAAGTGCTAGATGCCGTTTATTTTCTGACAGTGCTTTGACATACTTGAAATTTCCAAGCATAATTTTACTTAAAAGTAAAAAAAGAAAATACCTGGCCAGATGCAGTGGTTCACGCCTGTAATCCCAGCACTTTGGGAGGCTGAGGCAGGAGGATCACTTGAGCCCCAGAGTTGGAGACCAGCCTGGGCAACATAGTGAGACCTTATCTCTGCAAATAATAATAATAAAAATAACCAGGGGTGTGGTGGTGCATGCCTGTGGTCCCAGCTACTCAGGAGGCTGAGGTGGGAGGATCGCTTGAGCCCAGGAGGTCAAGGTTTCTGTGAGCTATGATCGCACCACTGAACTCCAGCCTGGGCAACAGAGCCAGAGCACTTCTCAAATAAAAAAGGACCAAAGAAAAATACCTAACCTAACTTATACTGCTCATTAGGATGGCACAGTGTGATAATCTAATGTAAGCCCTGTGGGGGCCGGAATTTTAATCTGTTATTCACTGCTGTATTCCTTATGTTTCGTGCAATGTCTGCAGATATTCATTGAGTACATGAATATAAGGATTAAAAATAAGAGCTGAGTTTGTTTTTATACCCTTAATACATCTTTTGACTTTTACTATTGGAATTTCCTATCTATAGTTAAGATGTTAAAGAAAAGTAATTTTCTACCTTTTTCTCACAAATCTCCGAGTAAGGAGATTTCACAGCTTTTCTGGGCTAGTAATTGATTTTTGGCATATCTCAAACTTTTACTATTAGGAAGATCAGTGTATCTAAAGTAAGTCTTGCAATTTGAATTCAAATCCCTTAGTTTTTTGTTTTTTGTTTTTATATTTTTGAGATAGGGTTTCGCTTTGTCACCTAAGGCTGGAGTGCAGTGATGTGATCATGGCTCTCTGCAGCCTCCACCTCCTAGGTTCAAGTCATCCTTCTACTTCAGCCTCCTGAGTACCTGGGACTACAGGTGCATGCCACCATGCCCAGCTAATTTTAAAAAATTTTATTTTTAGTAGAGATGGGGGTCTTGCTATGTTGCTAGGCTGGTCTTGAACTCCTGGGCTCAAATGATCCTCCCTCTTTGGCTTCCCGAAGTGTTGGGATTACGGGTGTGAGCCATCACGCCTGGCCAACATCAGTTTTACTTTACCATAACATTGCTGTTATTTTTTGAATCTTTTTTATAATTTTATTTCTAGTTTTTCACTTTACAAATTTTCTGTGATAACCATTGTTGTGCACAAGTCTTTGATGTACTTCTGATTTTTTGCTCCGGATATATTGTTGAAAGGGAAATTACCGTGCCAAAGGGAACACATGCTTGTACGGCACCTAATATGTATATTGCCACATTGCTTTCCAGAAAGGCTGCACTAGAATTAACCTCCTGAGCAGTGTATGAGCAGGCTTGGCTCACTGCAAGCCACACTGGCTCTCTTTATCTTATCTGTCTCCCCATCTGCCTTTGTTGGCTTGGGGGTGTAGGGCTTTTAAGTCTCTACTACACCTCTAAACCTAGTCCCATAGATATAGTACAAGTCAGGAGAAGGTTATAGCAGCTGTGTAATCCATCTTTCCCTGTACCAAACCTGGAAGAGGAATGACAAGAATTCAAGTGTAAATCTAACCTTTTTTTGAGGCAGAGTCTTGCTCTGTCACCCAGGCTGGAGTGCAATGGTGCGATCTCGGCTCACTGCAACCTCCGCCTCCTGGGTTCAAGCGATTCTCTTGCCTCAGCTTCCCTAGTAGCTGGGATTACAGGTGCCCATAGCCACGCCTGGCTAATTTTTGTATTTTTAGTAGAGATGGGTTTCACCATGTTGGCCAGGCTGGTCTTGAACTCCTGACCTCAAGTAATCCACCCCCCGCCCCCAGCCTCTCAGAGTGGTGGTATTACAGGCATGAGCCACCGCACCCGGCCAAGTCTCACCTTTTACTTGCTTTTTATAAATCATCATTCTCTCCTGATCTTTGATAAAGGGACAAAAACCCAAACTGGAGAAATTGCTGAAGGGAAGAAGAAAGGTTAATGAGAAACAGACTCTTGATCACCCAAACCATTGATTTTTTTTTTTTTTTTTTTTGAGATGGAGTCTCGCTCTGTTGTCCAGGCTGGAGTACAATGGCGTGATCTTGGCTCACTGCAACCTCTGCCTCTCCGGTTCAAGTGATTCCCCTGCCTCAGCCTCCTCAGTAGCTAGGATTACAGGCACGTGCCACCACACCTGGCTAATTTTTGTATTTTTAGTAGAGACGGGGTTTCACCGTGTTAGTCAGGCTGCTCTCCAACTCCTGACTTTGTGATCCACCTGCCTCGACCTCCCAAAGTGCTGGGATTACAGGAGTGAGCCATTGCACCTTGCCTCTCCACTGACTTTTTTTTTTTTTGAGACGGAGTCTCACTCTGTCACCCAGGCTGGAGTGCAGTGGCGCAGTCTCTGCTCACTGCAACCTCTGCCTCCTGGGTTCAAGAGATTCTCCTGCCTCAGCCTCCCAGGTAGCTGGGACTACGGGCGCCCACCACCACACCCGGCTAATTTTTTTGTATTTTTAGTAGAGACGGGGTTTCACCATGCTGGCCAGGGTGGTCTTGAACTCCTACCTCGTGATCCACTCGCCTCGGCCTCCCAGAGTGCTGGGATTATAGGCGTGAGCCACTGCACCCAGCCTACCATTGATTTTTAAATAACTATTTTTTGGTAAACCAGCGTGAGAATTTCAGAGATTAATAAAAGTTGTAAATTGCTCCTCCCTCGTTTTAATGGTGAAAAGATAGTCAAGGAGATTGTGAAGGAGAAAGTTATATGAATAAATATGGTAATGCAGCAGTCCTATCATGTTTAAATTTGCTGTGTGCATTGTACTTTATGGGTTAAGAGATTTTCAAGGGTAATTGGGCCATATAGGATATTGTGCTTAGTATGTTGTGGGGTTATGACTGTGGAATTATCTGTGTTTTGGACATTTGGTGGTAACTGCTTTTCTTTTATCTCCAATAGAAGCCCTCCTATACAGTAAGTTTTGGTTATGATGTGCTTAGTTAATTGAGGGGAAAAACTGATAAAGCAGGAAAATCAGAAATATATATTCATGCATTAATCTTTTTTTGGTTTTTCTTTTTTATGTAGACGGAGTCTTGCTCTGTCGCCCAGGCTGGAAGTGCAGTGGCATGATCTCGGCTCACTGCAACCTCTGCCTCCTGAGTAGCTGGGACTATAGGCACATGCCACCATGCCCGGCCAATTTTTGTATTTTTTGTAGAGATGGGGTTTCGCCATGTTGGCCAGGATGGTCTCGAATTCCTGAGCTCAGGCAGTTCGCCTGCTTCGGTCTCCTAAAGTGCTAGGCTTACAGGCATGAGCCACCATGCCTGGCTCATGCATTACTCTTTTAAAAAGTATGTATTGTGGAAAATTTCAAACATAAATGAAAGTAGAGGGAATAATATAATGAACCCCTATGTGCCTGTCGCCTAGTTTAAACAGTTGTCATCTTGTGACCAATCTTGCATTTATACCTTTCCCACTTCCCCGCTTTTTTCCTGGATTTTGAAGCATATCCCAGAATCCTTTCATTTCATCGGTAGATATTTTGGCATGTATCTCTAAATAGATGAAGATTCTTTAAACAAACAAACAAAACCAAACCCCAGGGCTGGGTATGGTGGTTCATGCCTGCCATCCCAGCACTTTGGGAGGTCTAGGTAGGTGGATCGCTTGAGGCTAGCTAGTTCAAAACCAGCCTGAGCAGCACGGTAGTAGTGAGGCCCCATCTCTACCAAAAAATAAAAATAAGTGAGCGGTGGATGGTGGTAAGTGGCTGTAGTTCTAGCTACTTGGGAGGTTGAGCTGGGAGGATTGCTTGAGCCCAGGAGTTCCAGATTACAGTGCAGTAAACTATGGTTGCGCCACTGCATTCCAGCCTGTGTGACAGAGACCCTGTCTCTAAAAAGGAAAGAAAGAAAAGAGAGAGAAAAGAAAGAAAGAAAGATTGATTAGCACATAGGTTAATATCAAAATATCTTAACCTATGTTAACAAACATTAATGTTTTTTGTTAATATTAAATATTAATGTTTGTTAACATAGGTTAATATTTTGTTAACCTGTTGATGCAGGGCCAAGGCTTTTTCTTTGTGTGCCCTAGTTGGAGTTCCTTAATTTTGTTTCCATTAAATACACCCATAATTCATTATCTATAATTTCCAGTTTTGTTTGCTTTTTAAAGCAGAACATGAATTTAATGGCATTTGTGAAGCAATATTAGTACAGCATCCCTCTTGATTTTTATGACTCCTTCCCAGTCTTTTATACTCATCTCATTCACGTCTAATTTACTATGTCTTTTTAAGCATTTGATGAAGTTTTCATAGAAACGTATCTCCTTAATTTTTCATCAGTTTACATTCTATTTAATTAAATTACATAACTGTAATAATGAGCAACTGGTATAAATAGGTTTGGGAAAAAAACAGTTAATTATTGGTAAGAATATAACTTAATAACGGGAGGCTGGGCCCGGCGCGGTGGCTCATGCCTGTAATTGCAGCACTTTGGGAGGCCCAGGCAGGCGGATCACCTGAGGTCAGGAGTTCCAGACCAGCCTGGCCAACCTGGTGAAACCCTGTCTCTACTAAAAATACAAAAATTAGCTGGGTGTGTTGGTGCATGCCTGTAATCCTAGCTACTCGAGAGGTCTGAGGCAGGAGAATTGCTTGAACCTGGGAGGCAGAGGTTGCAGTGAGCCAAGATCCTGCCACTGTACTGCAGCCTGGGCCACAGAGCGAGACTCCATCTCAAACAAACCAACCACAAAAAAACCAAAAAACTTAATAATGGGAGCAGCAGAAGCTTATAAGAGTAAGAGACAGCTGTTATTAGTTGGGGCCAGTTTGCATGTTGGGGGCATTGGTTGCTTTACTGAGACAAGGAGAAGCATTGATTATTTTGGCAGGTTGGTTGAGTGAAGGTGGGCTAAGAGAGCTTCTGCGTTAATTTAAAATGATAAAGAAGTCAAAGCTGTTAGAAATTTGAGGACAAGTTATTTTATAGAATCTTTTATTATTTATAGTGTGTACTTCGAGGTGGTATTTTTGTCCACTTATGTTAGAATTTGTGTGAACTGAGCTGAATTTGGTAATGAGTCAGTGGTATTAAAAACTTGGTGAAGAAACTGGCCAAACTCTTTAGTTTAAGAGGTTTATATCTGTTCACTGCTAGTGTAGTGTTCTGTGGAACAAGTTGACATTTTCTTGTAGTAAGTTGTTTTCTGTTTCTGGCGGAAGCAATCTTGGTTCATATGCTGCAAGAAACAGAACTGTTTTTATTGTGGAAGACAGGAGCAGAGCTGTGTGTTTCTTATTAGGATGAGTTGGACACCTGCAGGATTTCTTCTCTCTTTCTGCTTCTTGCCTCCTGTTGTCTTTTCCTTCTGTTAGAATGTTCTAATATTGCATAAGCAGCATTCCGACAATAGTTGAATTTTTTTGGTACTTCATTTTTTTAAACTCTCAAAATAATGTTTTTAGTGATTGTATGTTCTTGGCTTACTTTCCATTTCTACATCAACAGGGATATTGTTATTCTAGTCAAATGGGGTAGTTGTATTCTGGCAATGATCTTTGGGTCCAAGTCAGCTGCAGAAACAACACTTTCATATATTATACCTAAATATCTTACATGTGTATGGTAATTCTGGGAGGTAATTAAATGTTGGGATGGTACTTTAGGATCTCTTTAAAGGATTTCACAGTTCTCAGGAATAAAATAACTTGTTTGAAGCATGTTACTCATTGGCCTTTGACCATGCAAAAGGGTAGCCAGTGATTTTAGCCTACTGCCTCTTCCGATCTCATTTTCCTCCTTTCTTTTGAGGCAGCAGCTGCATCCAGTGCCCTGCTCTAATTGAGCTCTTAGTAAAAGGGGTATTGTTATACCAAGTCACAACCTCGTATAGCAGTGAGGTTACATCAATGGTTGTTAGATTTTTAGGCCACGCATCCATTTTGGAGTCACATTAAATTTTGAAAACCAAAATTTAGTTGCATTACCTAAATTTCTCTTCCTTTTCTTATCCTGATACCAGGATAAGAATAGGTTTTCTGTTTTTCCAGCTCTTTGTGGAACCTTTTTGGCCCATCAGAGTTGCTTGCGACAATCTGTAGTTAAAGAACTGAGACTGGTGCGGGAATCGGGATGTTTCTGGTTCCAGTTTTTACTAGCCAGCAGTTTGACTTTGGGCAAATTACTTAACCTCAGGGGGCTTCCAGTTTCTCTTTAATTTATAATTTTTTCAACTGCTTTATTGAGGTACATTTCACAGACCATACAGTTCACCCAATTTTTTTTAAGTGTATTCATGGAGCTGTGCGACCATCACTATAATACATTTTAGAACATTTTCATTATCCTTAAAAGAAGCATGGTACCCATTAGCAGTCACTGCTTATTTCTTCAACCTCTCTTCTCAGCCCTAAGCAACCACAAATTAATTTTTATCGATTTACGTCATCTGGACACTTCATATAAATAGAATTATGCAGTGGGTGTCCTGTTGTATTTTACTTCTTTCACTTGGTGTAATGCCTTCAAGGTTCATGCATGTTCTTACATATGTTGGAATCTCATTATTTTTTTATGGCTGAATAATATTATGTTGTATGGATACGCCACATTTTTAAAATCAATTCATGAATTGGTGGGCATTGTTTCTACTTATTGGCGATTATGAATAATATGGTCTTGAACATTTGTGTACAAATTTCTGTGTGATCATGTTTTCATTTTTTTCTTGGGCATATACCTAGGAGTGGAATCGCTTGGTCATGTGGTGACTCCTTGTTTAAGGTTTTGAGCAACTTCCAAACTGTTTTCCACAGTAGCTGCCCCATTTTATATTCTTACCTGCAATGTATGAGGGTTTCTGTTCTGTCTACATCCAAAACTTATTTTCTTTTTTTTGATTTTAGCCATCCTAGTGGATGTGAAGAAGTATTGCATTGTGGTTTTGATCTACATTTCCCTAATGAACAATGGTAGTGAGCATCATTTCATGTGCCAGTTGATCATTTGTATATTTCCTTTGGAGAAATGTCTATTAACATCCTTTGCCCATTTTTGAATTGGATTATTTGTCTTTTTATTGCTGAGTTGTAAGAGTTCTTTATGTTTGGGATACAAGTCCCTTATCGGATACATGATTTACAAATATTTTCTGCCATTCTGTGGGTTGTCTTTTCAGTTTCTTGGTAGTGTTGTTTGCAGCACAAGTGTCTTTAATTTTGATTCTCTAGTTTCTTAATTTATATAGTTGTTTAAACTCTGAAACTATATGTTTTATTGAGATTATTTTCCTCTGTGCTCATTCTGTACTTTCTCCCATGTTCATATAGCTCTCTCTTTCCCGGGACGTTTTCTAGCCTCAAAGACTTTATTTTTTTGATTAATTTATTTATTTTGAGACGGAGTCTCGCTCTGTCGCCCACGCTGGAGTGCAGTGGCGCCATCTCGGCTCACTGCAAGCTCCGCCTCCCAGGTTCATGCCATTCTCCTGCCTCAGCCTCCTGAGTAGCTGGGACTACAGGTACCTGCCATCACGCCCGGCTAATCTTTTGTAATTTTTAGTAGAGACGGGGTTTCACCGTGTTAGCCAGGATGGTCTTGATCTCCTGACCTTGTGATCCGCCTGCCTCGGCCTTCCAAAGTGCTGTGATTACAGGTGTGAGCCACTGCGCCCGGCCTCTAGCCTCAAAGACTTTAAAAACATCTGTCTATGTATTTGCCTCTCTAATACATGTGTCTTACAAAATAATCAAACCTTACAAAATGTATAACAAAGAAAGTGAAAGTTCCTCATCTCTCCAGAGAAAACATTAACTATTTATAACCAGATTTTTTCCCCATTCACATGGTAAAAATTTTTTTTAATTAAAAAAGGGAACATACCACAATCTAGTTTGCCACTTGTTTTTTCATTTAATAGTATATCTCCAACATTATTCCATGTCAGTACACTTTGTCCTTGTCTCAATCATTTTAATGGCTGCAGAGTATTCTATTTTATGGATATACTATACTTTACATAGTAGCCTATTGATAGATTTTAGGGTTGTTTCTAGATATTGTTTTATTTTTTTGAGACAGAGTTTCTCTGTCACCCATGCTGGAGTGCAATGGCATGATCTTGGCTCACTGCAACTTCTGCCTCCCAGATTCGAGTGATTCTCCCACCTCAGCCTCCCAAGTAGCTGGGATTACAGGTGCGCGCCACCACACCCAGCTAATTTTTGTATTTTTAGTAGAGACGGGGTTTCACCATGTTGGCTTGGCTGGTCACGAACTCCTGGCCTTGAGTGATCCCCCTGCCTCAGCCTCCCAAAGTGCTGGGATTACAGGTGTGAGTCAGCGTGCCCAGCCCAGATTTTATTGTTTTAATTACAAATTTTACGTAAGTTGTTTCTGCACATTTATATTTGCACACTTGTGCTAGTGGTTTTTTTTTCTATTCCATTTATTTGCTATTGCAGTATTTACTATTCAAAACACGTAGACTTATTTTAAAAAATAAAAGAATTTTATTTAGTGTGACCTAGAGTCAACGTCTCAAAAGTTATGTATTCTTTTCCATCATGATATATACAATGTTCTGATCTTCTTTTAAAGCCAGAGTCTTCATTTTCTTGGTAATTGTATAGAATAATTTACTAGAAGTGGAATGCTTGGATCAAAGTATGAGTGCTTAAAATCATGTAAGATGTTGCCACATCACCCTCCAAGTAAGGCCATGCCAATTCACTCAGCTTGAGAGTGTATGACAGTGATTTTTCTGTTCTTTTTAACCCTGGCAAATAGCCTTTTTAGGGAATTAATCTGACAGGTGAAAAAATGTCATTTTATTATTTGTAGTTACTTATTAGTACATTCGAGCATCATTTAATTTGTCTGTTGGTTGTCTTTCTGCTTTGTCTACTTTTCTGTTGGGCTTTTGGCTTTTTCTTATTCATCAGTTGTCATAGCTTTATTATTATTATTAATGTTTTAAAAAAATTGAGTTGGAGTCTCACTCTGTCACCCAGGCTGGAGTACAGTGGTGCAATCTTGGCTCTCTGAAACCTCTGCCTCCCAAATTCAAATGGTTCTCATGTCTCAGCCTCCCAAAATGCTGGGATTACAGGCATGAGCTGCTGTGCCTGGCCTGTAATAGCTTTTTAATATTAGGGAAATTAGTTACCTTATAAAATATATTACTGATATTTTTCTTTGTCTTTTGACTTTGTGTGTGTGTCTAATATAAAATGAAAATGCTTTTATTTTTATAGTCAGATTTTTCTGTTTTTTTTTCTCTTTATGGCTTGCTTTTTAAAATTCTAATTATATAAAAATATTTACCCATTTTTTTCAACTACTTTTATGGTTTTGTTTTTAAATGTAAATCTTTGCTTCATGTGAAATGCATTTTGATATAAACCAAATGAGATAGGGGATGAGTTGTAGAATTTATTAGAGTTGTAAATTTACATTTATTTTTGTGATTATTAATGGCTTATTCCTACTTGACTGTAAGTCTCATGAGGGCAATGTATTGTGTTGTTTTGTTTTTCCCTTGCTCTTATTTTCAGTGTCTAGCACAATGCTTGCCTTGTAATACACCCTCCATTTATTGAATAAATGAGTCTAGGTTTTTCTCCAGGTCTCTAGCTTCTCCTGACACAATTAATTGCATAATTGCTCTTTTCCTTCTTGATTTAAAAAGCAACACTATCATTTACAAAACTCCAATAGATACTTAGGTACATTTCTGAATTCTAATCCATTGAGTGTGCTGTCTTTTCTTGCTTTGATACTGTACAGCTTTAATTATGATAGCTTTATACAACTTAAAGTATATTTGGGAGGCCAGCTTTAAGCACTCTTAAATATATTATACCACAGTTTGGGAAGCTCTATAATCTCCTTTATTAAACTTTTTGCTATACCTTTGGAAACATTCATTTAACTTAACAATTAAACACTTAATCCATTCTGAAAGTCAGCCTGCAAAGCAGAAATGATTTTTGGGGTGTTATTTGGTGTAAAGAGTTTTTTTTTTTTTAGGATATCATACTTAATTCTGGCATGACCTCTTTAGTGTCTTTTAAAAAACTCTCATTTTATAACTTTGGGCATTTCTAGAAAAGCAACATTTTTCTCACAGTTTTCTAATGCAAAATACACAGAGGGGTAGGTGGCAGAAAAGGTATCGAGATGATTGTGTTGGCACCCCACTGATGTCGAAGCAGATAGTGGAAAAGACATTACTTAAAAGTGTTTTGCAGATTTCGGGTTAAATTAAAAATATGACAATTTTAATTTAATTTAATTAAAAATATGACAATTCTCAGGCCGGGTGTGGTGGCTCACGCCTATAATCCCAGCACTTTGGGAGGCCAAGGCGGGCGGATTGCCTGAGGTCAGGAGTTTGAGACCAGTCTGGCCAACATGGTGAAACCCCATCTCTACTAAAAATACAAAAAAATTAGCTGGGCCTGTAATCCCAGCTACTTGGGAGGCTGAGGCAGGAGACTTGCTTAACCAGGGAGGTGGAGGTTGCAGTGAGCCAAGATCATGCCACTGCACTACAGCTGGGTGACAAAGCAAGACTCCGTCTCAAAAAAAAAAAAAAAAAAAAGGTGTTATGCAGATTTCAGTTTAGCCACCTTGATCCTCCCACCTTGTGCATGACACGTTACCTTCCTGTGGCATGCAGTATTTGACTGATTCATTGGATGTGACTTGCATTAAGTTCAGATAACATTGCTGAATAATCACTTTCTTATTCTTTAGTGTAGCCTCCTTTCTCTGTAGAACATCAGAAATTCTTAAACTCTGAAATACAGCATTCTCTTGGGATTTTCTGTAATGTCTTTCTCATGTAGGAACCAACTTCAGGGTCTTGTGAGCATCAGAGAAGTTTAAGGTCTAGGGAACTGAGCTAATGGAACAAGGCATGCCTAATGTGATAAAATCCTTGCTTTCTTTGCAATTGAAATTGTTTATTCTAAATAACTGCTAATTTACAAATGTATTTTCACATGATTACCCATTCTGTTCTCAAAGAGCATAATAGGGGTTTTGTGACTTTCAGACTTTCCTGAAAAAGCCTAACCGTGGATTTTAGAATTATTAAGCTAGAAAAATACACACATACACACACAGGTTTGTTTGGGACCCTTAGTCTCCACCCTGGAATTAAGTGACACTGAAAATAACTCTGGAATAAAAGGTTTTTATGTAGCAGAATAGTTGACTTACAGGGGTTCTTCCCTTTGCACATTTTCTCTGGGTAGAAAATGAGCTTGTTTTTCTTTTAGTTGTATTACAATTTTTTTTTTCCTCAATGCTAGTCTTAACTGAGAGATTTTTAGGCAGTTAACTCTCCCAGCACAGCAATAAGCAGCTTATTAGTAGATATTATCTCTTGTTGATTTGTTACCCTTGAGATTTACTGTGCTTGCAAAACACCTGTCTGTATTTGAGCTTTGCTAGGTAGTTGGCTTTTGTGTTTGACTGAAGATTTTTTCCAAAGAAAGCAAATAGCTATTAGGAAAAGAAAGAGTCAGCAAATTTCTGTATGCTTTCATGGAAGAGATTTCCCAATTAGAAAGCTTTTGTAGGCTTAACCTTTTGCCCTAAAGTAACCCAACATTTCATTATGTATTCCATTGAGGTTTTGGAGCTCGGCACCAGAAAGCGAGGACCAAGGTTGAATGTGAAAGGAATATTCAGAGGATGAAGCTCATAGTCAACAAAGTGCTGCTTCATAGGCTAGGTCCAAAAATAACCTGCTTGCCATAGGGAGCAAGAATGGAGGTAGCATTAGCTGCTGTTTTGAGCAGTGTTTCATGTCCTGTCATGTCATTCCAGAATGGTTTTTTGGTTTTGTTTAGAGACAGGGTCTTGCTCTGTTGACCAGGCCAGAGTGCAGTGTGGTGTGATTGTAGCTCACAGTCACCTCAAACTCCTGGGCTCAAGTGATCCTCCCATCTCAGTTTCCTGAATAGCTAGGACTACAGACACACACCATTGCACTTGGCTAGTGGTTTTATTTTTAGTATAGACAGTGTCTCGGTTTGTTGCCTAGGCTGGTCTCAAACTCCTGGCCTGAAGCAGTTATCCTACCTTGGCCTTCCAAAGCACTGGAATTATAGGCATGAGCAGCCACACCTGGTCTCATTCCAGAATAATTAAAATTATGTTTAAGGCAGCCGGGTGCAGTGGCTCATGCCTGTAATCTCAGTACTTTGGGAGGCCGAGGCGGGTGGATCATGAGGTCAGGAGTTCAAGACCAGCCTGGCCAATATGGTGAAACCCCGTCTCTACTAAAAATACAAAATAAAAATACAAAAATTAGCCGGGTATGGTAATTAGCGGGTGCCTGTAATCCCAGCTACTTGGGAGTCTGAGGCAGAGAATTGCTTGAACCCGGGAGGTGGAGGTTGCAGTGAGCCAAGATCGCGCCACTGCACTGCAGCCTGGGTGACAGAGTGAGACTCCATCTCGAAAAAAAAAAAATTGTGTTTAAGGCAATATCATTTAAAATTTTATTTTGGGAGAATGTTGCCTTGGTAAATTGGTAAATAACAGTTGTTCTGAAAGGTTTCGGAAGAATGCCTTTCTGCTAAATTGAAGAAATTAACATAATTTACTCTTCTGTAAATAGGGGGATGGTCTGCATTGTGCTCATTTAATCATTGGAGTTCAAATTAATGATTTGCTGGGGTCCTGTGGTGAATCTTGAGTGATTAAGAGGGAGAACTCAGTCCTTGGTTCAGAAAAGTTAGCATTGGAATGGATCCTCAACAGGCCCTGAAGGTAGGAAGTGTTCTGATTTAGAGAGCTCTTCCAAGGCTTGTGATGGAACCCTGCAACGGTAAGTTTTACGAGTATCAGTAACTGGCCGGGTGCAGTGGCTCACACCTGTAATCCCAGCACTTTGGGAGGCTGTGGTGGGTGGATCACCTAAGATCAGGAGTTGGAGACCAGCCTGGCCAACATGGTGAAACCCCGTCTCTACTAAATATGCAAAAATTAGCCAGCCATGGTGGCAGGCGCCTGTAATCCCAGCTACTAGAGAGGCTGAGGCAGGAGAATTGCTTGAACCCAGGAGGTGGAGGTTGCAGTGAGCCGAGATCGTGCATTGCACTCCAGCCTGGGCAACAAGAGCAAAAAACTGTCTCAAAAAAAAAAAAAAAAAAAAAAAAAAGCCAGGCTTGGTGGCTCACGCCTATAATCCCAGCACTTTGGGAGCCAATGTGGGCAGATCATAAGGTCAGGAGATCGAGACCATCTTGGCTAACACTGTGAAACCCCATCTCTACTAAAAATAAAAAAAAAATTAGCCAGGTGTGGTGGCGGGCACCTGTAGTCCCAGCTCCTTGGGAGGCTGAAGCAGGAGAATGGCGTGAACCTGGGAGGCGGAGCTTGCAGTGAGCCGAGATCGTGCCACTGCACTCCAGCCTGGGCAGCAGAGCTGAGATTCCTCAAAAAAAAAAAAAAAGAAAAAAAAATAATCAATAACATAGAATGTGGATATACATAGCACATAGATACGTATAGCAAGTCAGGAAGTTTGCCTAGAAGGAATAAATTAACTCTTGTTACTTGGTGAGATCATGGAAGGGAATGTAATTTGTTTTAGGTGGTGGTAATTGTGAGTTTGAGGCTGGCCCAGGAAATGAGTTGTCAGATATGCTGTCATCCTCATTAATGGTTCAGCTTATTTCTCAGGTTTATAGTTGTATGAGGAGATGCTATGCCTACCCCATTTAGGGAACTATTAGGTTCAAAATCATAAAAGCTAAAGAAGAGTGAAATACAGTGAAAAGTATCCTGTTCACACATACCCCATGATCATCCAGATTTCCCTTCCCAGGGGCAGTTGATATTATCTGTGTCTTATATGTCTTGAGATAGTTTATGTGTATAGAAGTAAATGTAAATATCTACTACTTATTTCCTCTTTTAACACAAATTATAGTAAATAATATACAATAGTCTGCATCTTACTTTTTTCACTCTCGTATCTAATGTTAAAAAAGCTACGTGGTATTCCAATGAAAGGATGTATTATATATATTTTTTAGATATTTCATTTGAGTTGTTTTTTTTTTTTGTTTTGAGACGGAGTCTCTCTCTGTCACCCAGGCTGGAGTGCAATGGCGCGATCTTGACTCACTGCAACCTCCACCTCCCTGGTTCAAGCAATTTCCCTGCCTCAGTCCCCTCAGTAGCTGGGATTACAGGCTCATGCCACCACACCTGGCTAATTTTTTTTTGTATTTTTAGTAGAGACAGGGTTTCACCATGTTGGCTAGACTGGTCCCAAACTCCTGACCTCAGGGAATCCTCCTGCCTGGGCCTCCCAAAGTGCTGGGATTACAGGCGTGAGCCACCACGCCTGGCCTTGAGTTGTTTCTAAGCTGTTGCTAATAAAACAATGCTAGAGGATTTAAAAAAATATGTTAGGGTTTTATATTGACAAGTAAATATTGTCATAATAGAAACTTGCTATACTTATAATAATAATACATCTATAGAACATGTTCATAAATGTCTATTTGAGCCTTCCTGTAAGGTAAGTACAACATTTTATCACTTCATAACTAGTAAAGTGGCAGAAGTAGAGGTAGAACCAAGGTCTTCTGACTCCTATTTGAGTATCTGTCTACTTTACCCAAAATACATATACTGTTGTGGGGCTGTAGGGAAGTGGGGGTGGGAAAATAAGAGGAAGTAGACCTAGGTGGGGCAAGCTTGAGATAGGGATGTATCTGTCATTCTAGAAATTGGGATCCTGTTTGCTAGGAGTAAGTGGAACTGGACATCAGCCTGTTACAGGGACATAAAGGCACTTAGGCACTGGCAGAGCACTATGGTTTGATTGCCATCTTGGAGTACAGTAGTATGGTAAGCCAAAGAGTGGTAGTTCTGGAGAAGCTGGGGACTGTCAGAGCTCCCTAGAATAGACTGAGAGTGAAACAGCATTCACGATTTGCTAAGGAGGCTGGGCTACTAGGAAGGATAAGGTAGGAGCCCAGGAGTTCAGGGCTGCAGTGAATTATGATTGTGCCACTGCATTCTAGCCTTGGCAACAGAGCAAGACCCTGTCTCTTAAAAATATTGGTCAAGACCATAAAACAAGAACATAGGCCATAGTGAAAACATAAAATTTTCTTAGCAGCTGTGGTAGCAAACATGTTAATGGTAAGGAGATAACTGTAATGTTAGTCAATTTTGGCTTAAGACTGAGGACTGAGAAACAGCCTTCTTCCTCCGGAGGAGCAGTTAAGTCATCTTACAACTGGGAGTAGAGAGACAAGGACGTGTGAAGCTGATTCATGCTTTCATTATATAGTTAATACTATTTGGAAACCTGTGTGTAGGTCTGGTCAATAGACTTCCATCTTAATTGCTGTATGCTAAGTGCCTCCTATGTTCTGTATACTTCATATAATTCTTGCTAGCCTTCAACAGCTTTTTACAAAGTAACTATTGTTTTACCTAATTTCTATTGAGAAAAATGAGCTTCACTTAGGTAACTTGTCCAAAGTTCTTTACCTTGTAAGTGGTAGAGCTGAGATTTATAAGTAGGTCTATATGACTCCAGGGCTCTTGTTCTTTCCACGATACCAGGTATTAGGCATCAAAATTGGACAGTAGAATTCTAATCACAGCTGTACATAACCAGAAAGTATGAGTATGGATGAGTGTTAGCATGTAACCAGACAACTTGTCTGTTATGGATGATTTGGGCTGAAAGAGTAGAAGGAATGCTAAGGAAAATGAGCATTGGAGATGTTGAGAGCTCGCAAACTCATGATGAATGTGTATATAATTTAAGTAATGCACTTGCTGTGCATATGTAGAGCCTTAAGATA
Organism: Homo sapiens; assembly: GCF_000001405.40. Lineage (NCBI taxonomy): Eukaryota > Metazoa > Chordata > Mammalia > Primates > Hominidae > Homo > Homo sapiens. The sequence continues at coordinate 117,073,166 of NC_000011.10, read as the reverse complement.
AAATTTCCAATGCTCCCTTCCCTCATTAGGTTTTTCTTTCTAAAGTCCTTCTATATTGAGATTATATAGCTGCCACTAAAGACTGTAGCTGGTAGTAGCCAGGACCTGGAACTTTTTGGCAAGAGGGTGTTATCTGGAGGATCCAAGTATACTGAGATCAACATAATCATGAATTCTTCTCCCACTGTAAAGTTTGAGGAGGTAAGAATCTCCTTGACTTAGCAAATTTGGGCTTATAAATGCTAGGTCCAACTAGACTTTACTGGCCTCAATCCCTTAGCATTATCCTGCAAAATACTGATGTATACTTTTTGGATAATACCTTTGATCTACTTTCAGCCACCATTGTAGGGAATTGTTAGTATGAGAGGTTGACATTTTGGTTAAATAATCACTTGGAAACTGTGACTCAGCATTAGTCACTGGCTTTCTGCTGGGTTACATTCTCTTGTCTCTTGCCTTAATTGTGGTAAGCCTCAGCCATTTGATTACACAACTACCAAAGAGGATGACCTTAGTGATAACCCATTCACATTTTCAGATAGTAAAAATATTAGGGACAAAATCTTTCATATGTATTAGCGAGTGGTATGGGTTCGCCTCTGGAGAAATGTTAGCACATTTTCCAGGTTTGCCCGATGATATTAAAAGATGAATAGCTATCTTAGTGAAAATAGCTGTTTACACTTTTAGTTAGTAGTTTTTAAAAGTGGAAATGTAACAATATGCTTTTTGGACACAGTCATGTTATTTTATTTTTATTTTTATTTTTATTTTTTTTGAGACGGAGTTTTGCTCTTGTGCAGGCTGGAGTGCCGTGGCATGATCTGGGCTCACTGCAATTTCTGCCTCCCTGGTTCAAGCGATTCTCCTACCTCAGCCTCGCTGGTAGCTGGGATTACAGGCACATGCCACCAGGCCTGGCTAATTTTTGTATTTTTTGTGGAGATGGGGTTTTGCCATGTTGGCCAGGCTGGTCTCGAACTCCTGACCTCTGGTGATCTGCCCACCTTGGCCTCCCAAAGTGCTGGGATTACAGGTGTGAGCCACCACGCCTGGCTGTGGATATAGTCATTTTAGTATTTGAGATTAAATATTAAACCTCATTTGGCGAACTTTAAAACCATCAGTGATTTGAGTTAATTCTACCTGTTTTACCTTATTTTTCACCAGTGTGTGTTTCCTCACTGCCTCATTATATTGCCACATTTAATCTTTCATTAAAACAAACAAACAAACACAACTCTTGGCTGGGTGTGGTGGCTCACACCTGTAATCCCGGTACTTTGGAAGGCTGAGGTGGGAGGATTCCTTGAGTTCTAGACCAGCCTGGTCAACATAGGGAGATTCTCTCTCTCCTGAAAAAAAAAAAAAAAAAAAAAAATTAACCAAGCATGGTGGCACACATCTGTAGTCCCAGCTACTCAATAGGCAAAGTGAGAGGATTGCTTGAGCCTGGGAGGTTGAGGCTGCAGTGAACATGATCAAACCACTGCATTCCAGCCTGGAGGACAGAGCGAGACCCTGTCTTACAAAACAAAACAACAACTCTTGGAATTTCTCTTTTCCCCTCCCTTCTTCTTCCCCTTCTTCCTTCTATTTATCCTTCTGTTTCATCTACAAATATTTGAGTGTCACTGTGTTCTAGGCACTGTGCCAGACATTGGGATTCGTTGGTAAGCAAGAGAGAGAGGCATGGCCTCTGTCCTTATGAGCTTGCAGTTTATCCTAGTGTTACTTATCTAGTCTGCCCTGCCTTCAAGGTTCAGTGGAAGCCCGATCTTCATGTAGTCCTTTGACTTCTTTGGCCCTTGCAAACCTATCCCTTTGACCTATGCTACTTTAAATCTGATTCATACAATTTAGCATTTATTGATATAATTTCTTATACTGTGGGCTAATTGTTTAAATATCTTGTTTTACTGGCTAGAGTATAGTTCCTTAAGGACAGAGACTGTCATGTTATTTTTTTTTTTTTTGCAATACTGAGCCCAAAGGTTTTGATTTCAGTCTGCCCTGCTGAATGTTGAAGTTACTAGTAGCTCTTGGGACTTAGAAGTAGTGATGAGATAATGCCTTGCTTTTTAGTTTATTTTCTATTTTGTTTTATTTTATGTTTCTTTTTTGAAATGGTATTGGGCTGGCCGCAGTGGCTCACGCTTGTAATCTCAGCACTTTGGGAGGCCGACGTGGGTGGATCACCTGGCCAACATGGTGAAACCCCGTCTCTACTAAAAAGACAAAAAGTTAGCCAGGTGTGGTGGCGGGGGCCTGTAATCCCAGCTACTAGGGAGGCTGAGACAGGAGAATTGCTCGAACCCGGGAGGCGGAGGTTGTGGTGAGCTGAGATCGCACCATTGTACTCCAGTGTGGGCAACACGAGTGAAACTTCGTCACAAAAAAAAAAAAAAAAAGAAAAAGGGCCGGGCGCAGTGGCTCACACCTGTAACCCCAGCACTTTGGAAGGCAGAGGCGGGTGGATCACCTGAGGTCAGGAGTTCGAGACCAGCCTGGCCAACATGGCGAAACCCTGTCTCTACTAAAAATACAAAAATTAGCTCGTGTGATGGCGGGCGCCTGTCATCCCAACTACTGAGGAGGCTGAGGCAGGAGAATCTCTTGAACCCAGGAGATGGAGGTTGCAGTGAGCCGAGATCGTGCCATTGCACTCCAGCCTGGGCGACAAGAGTGAAACTCTGTCTCAAAAAAGAAAAAAAAAAAAAGGTATTGTTCAGTCATCCAGGCTGGAGTAAAGTGGCACAATCATGGCTCACTGCAGCCTTGAATTACTGGGCTCAAGTGATCTTCTTATCTTAGCTTCCTGAGTAGCTGGGATTACAGGCAGTAGCGACCATGCCTGGTAGATTATCCCTTTAAAAAAATTCCTTCTAGTTGTTTGCCTAATATTTGTTATCTGCTTCTGTTAATCTGTGCTAAAAATGAGTGGAAATGACCTTACTGATTCACTATTTGCATTTATATTGTTTTCTAGTGAAGGGGTTGTATTTGAGGTTACCATTGCATAGCTTCTCATCTAGTTCTCCTTGTGACATTATAATGAGGGATGCATTTCATGACTAAGGAATAGAGCTAAGCTAATGTTGATCTCTTAGTAGCATGTTGTAATCTTTTGGGCTTAAATGCCCTATCACTATGCCTTAGTTCATGAAGTGTTAAAAGTAACTCACCTAAAATGGGAAGCGGAGAATGTAATAACTTAAAGATCAAAATCGAATTTCTCATAAAGATTTTTAGAAATAGAAAATAATCTTTTAATGGGCCAACATTATTTACATTTTATGATGTTAGAGATCAAAACTCTTCCTGAGTAGTAAATGAATGTGGCGACTTAAATGTGAAGGAGGGAGGCTGTGTGATTGACTTAAATGTTTTTCTGAATGTGCTAAAAGCTCTGAGGTAATGGCAAACTTCAATATTGGAAATAGAAGGGATATATTCTTTATTAAGAAGGAGAATAGAGGGTACTGGGGGAAGGAAATGCTCTTTTGCCTACACTTAAAAATTAAGAAGGTAAGTATATGAAATTGAAGGGGTAAAAGACCACAGAGCAGGAGACAAGGAAACCGTTATTTCCCTCTGAAATAATTCTAGATGGTGATTTGAACAAACCAGTTGCTAAAAAACTTATATGATAATTGGGGCAGTTTGAACATTGACTGGGTATCTGATGTTAAGGAATTATTCTCTTCAGATGGGGCAGTAGTATGGTGGTCATATTGCAGACAAAAAGTACTTACCTTTTAGAAATATATACTGAAATACATATGGATGACGGAATGTGTCTGAGATTTGCTGGGGGAAAGGAAGAAGTGGTCAGCAGTATAGATAAAATGGCCATGTATTTATTTATAACTGTCTAAGCTGGCTGATGGGTACAAGAGGCACATTGTATTATTTCTTTCTACTTATATATATGTTTGAAAATTTCCATAAAATAACAACAACAAACCCCCCCCCCCCCAAAAAAAAATCTTAACAACTACCAGAACTGGCAGAATTGTCAAGCCTACCCCTTTATCTTCTTTCTCTCTAATTTTAGATGGGCAAGTAAAGCCATAGATTCATGCTGATGTTTCCAAATGGGAATGCAGTTTAGATTTCCATCCCCTTAAGTTTCAATCTATCTGTAGTGCAGCATCACTGAGAGAACAAGCCCTGCTATTTTCCCAGCAGTGTGGTAAGTTACAACAGGGTAGGAGTCATACTACCCATCTTTAAGGCTCTTCCTCCTTATAGGTGAAGAAATAAGATTTAAAAAGCAAAACATAATTAGAGAATAGGAAAATGTGGTTTAAAATTATATGTCATATTTTATAGTTCTGGCCAAACATAAGAAATTCTAGAGAAAGGAAAGAACATTTTGGGTTAGGAATAACCAAAGGCTTTTCTTTTGAAACAGGGTCTCACTCTGTCACCCAGTTTGGAGTGCAGTGGTGCATTTATGGCTCACTGTGGCCTCAACCGCTTGGGCTCGCTGCAGCCTCAGCCTCCTGGGCTCAGCTGCCTGAGTAGCTGGGACTACAGGCATGCGCCACCTGTCCAGCTAATTTTTGTATTACTTTAGAGATAGGGTCTCGCTATATTGCCCAGGCTGGTTTCAAACTCCTGGGCTCAAGTGACCCTCCTACTTTGGCCTCGCAAAGTGCTAGGTTTACAGGCATGAGCCATCATGCCAGACCACAAAGACATTTTTTATTAGGCCAGTGGATGTTCGGATCATCTTTAAACAACATTGAAAGTTGAATTGCTGACAGTAATATGGGGATAGCATTCCAGGGAGAGAAAATACTATGTTTGGTGGAGAATAGATGAATTTGGATTGGGGAACAGAAGATATTTTTGATGGGTAGGATGGGGTCATTTCATAAAGGACATGAATTTTTAGTTGAGACATTTGGGCTTGATCTTATAGACCTTAAGGAGCCATTTTTGGGGTGTGGGGAACCATTTTTGACCCTTAAGCTACCTAAGTATTTATTAATTTGGTTTGATGATAATATTGTGTATTCTTAGTTGCAGGCTTTTGCATAGAGAGTATAACTTGACTTTGTAGCCTTTACATTCTTTTTAACATAAATTTGTTATTTCCACAGTGTTCCAAAAGTTATTCAGGGACCAGAATTAATATTTATTTTTTACAAATTATTTATTTATTTATTTTTGAGACAGGGTCTTGTTCTGTTGCCCAGGCTGGAGTGCAGTGGCGCGATCTCGGCTCACTGCAGCCTCCGCCTCCCGGGTTGAAGCGATTCTGCCTCAACCTCCCCAGTAGCTTGGACTACAGGTGCCTGTCACCATGCCCAGCTAATTTTTGTATTTTTAGTAGAGATGGGGTTTCACCATGTTGGCCTGGCTGGTTTCGAACTCCTGACCTCAAGTGATCCTCCCGCCTTGGCCTCTCAAAGTGCTGGGATTACAGGCATGAGCCACCGTGCCTGGCCACATTTTGATATTTTTAATCAACTTTATTGAGGCATAATTTACATTCAATAAGATTGAACCATTTTAAGTTTACAATTTGAATTTTGACAAATATACACACCCATTTAATAACCATACAATCAAGATACAGAACAATTCAGTCTCGCAGAAAGTTACAGTAGCACTGTTTGCATTCATTCTCATCCTCCTCCACTTCCAGAAAACCACTGATTTGCTGTCACCATAGGTTAGTTTTGCTTTTTCTGGAATTTCATATAAATGGCCTCATCTAGGATGTACTCTTCTTTCATCAGCATTCTTTAAGATTCATTTATTGTTGTTTGTATCAGAGTTTGTTGTTTTTTATTGCTGAGTGGTAATCTGAGTAGTGTTACATTGTATGGATGTAACAAGATTTGTTTATTCATTCACCTATTGATGAACATTTGGATTGTGTCTGGTTTTCTTGCTTTTATGAATAAGGCTGTTATGAACTTCATGTACAGCTTTGCGTAGATGTATGTTTTCATTTCTCTTAGGTAAATACCTTACAGTGGAATGGCTGGGTCATATGGTTGGTAGGTTTATGTTTAACTTTTAAAGAAACTGCCAAATTGTCTTCCAAAGTTGCCGTACCATTTTATATTCTCTTTAGCAATATATGAGATAGGAGAGTTCTAGTTGCTTTAAATCCTTACCATTGCTAAAATGATATATCTTAAATTTTAGTTGTTCCAATAGTTGTGTCATGGTATCTTGTGGTTTTAATTTACATTTCCCTAATGACTAATGATATTGAGTATCTTTTTATGTACTTATTTTCATGCTGTGTATCTTCTTTGGTGAAGCATTTGTTCAGATCTTTTGCTCATTAAAAGAAATGGGCTGACCGGGCACAGTGGCTCATGCATGCCTGTAATCCCAGCACTTTGGGAGGCCAAAGTGGGAGGACCACTTGAAGCCAGGAGTTCGAGACCACCCTGGGCAACAAGCGACACTCTGTCTCTACAAAAAACTTAAGAATTAGCTGGGTGCTTGGCATGTGCCTTTAGTCCCAGCTATTCAGGAGTTTAAGGTGGGGGGATCACTTGAGCCTAGCTGTTTAAGGCTGCAGTGAGCTGTGATGGTGCCATTGCACTCCAACTTGAGTGACAGAGCAAGACCCTGTCTTTCCAAAAAAAAAAAAAAAAGGATTGTTTCTTTATAGTTGAATATTGAGAATTCTTTATATATCCTGGATACAAGTCCTGTGTTATATAAATGCTTTACGCTTTGCAAAGATTTTTTTTTTTTCCGATTCCATGGCTTATTTTTTCATTCTTTCAGCAGTGTCTTTTGAAGAGCAAGAGTTTTTAGAGGCCAGGTGCGGTGGCTCACGCCTGTAATCCCAGTACTTTGGGAGGCCGAGTTGGGTGGATCACTTAAGGTCAGGAGTTTGAGACCAGCCTGACCAACATGGTGAAACCTCATCTCTATGAAAATACAAAAATTAGCCAGACATGGTGGCGTGTGCCTGTAATCCCAGCTACTCAGGAGGCTGAGGCAGGAGAATCACTTGAATCCGGAGGCGGAGGTTGCAGTGAGCTGAGGTCACACCACTGCACTCCAGCCTGGGTGACAGAGCAAAACTCCATCTCAAAAAAAAAAAAAAGAAGAAAAGAAAAGAAAAATAAAGTATTCTAGTGAAGACCGGATTCCTTGGCATAAGACACCAGGAATTTTAGATTGATAGGAGTAAAAATAAATAAAGAAATATTGGCTCAGGGAATAAACTTCATTAAAATCAATTTATGGGCCAGGTTTGGCGGCTCACACCTGTAATTGTGCAGCACTTTGGGAGACTGAGGTGGGCAGATCACTTGGGGCCAGGAGTTCGAGACCAGCCTGGCCAACAGAGTGAAGCCCTGTCTCTACTGAAAATACAAAAATTAGCCAGGTGTGGTGGTGCATGCCTGTAATACCAGCTACTAGGGTGGCTGAGGCAGATGAATTGCTTGAATCCTGGAGGTAGTGGTTGCAGTGAGCTGAGATCGTGCCACTACACTCCAACAGTGTGAGACTCTGTGTCAAAAAAAAAAAAAAATCAATTTATGAAAGTTATTTTTAAATTTGAAGATATTGAAGATACTAAATTTGTGTTTAAAAAGCATTTATTTTGATCAACTCCGCTGTATAGAATATTTTGTCTTAAGTCACTGTAAAGTTTCCATGCCCTCAAATGAAATACAGTGCCAGGTTTAACATTCGTTTTCATGGATTGTTTTCAAAAGTTATTGAGTTGTCTGATTTGCTGTAAAAAAAATGAAAAATTCATTTCTTTTATTAACATGATGTATTTACTGTGATTATTCTAATAGACTAATGGACTTTTAATTTTACTGTTTAAAATAGTTTATAATTAAAATTTAATATCCAGTCTTCACTTGTTCTTTCATTTTTTAAAATAATAAAGTAGTTTGGGGTTTATCAGAACAAGGGAAGAAACCAAGCTACGTCTCATTTTATGTTGGGTAAGAATCACTAGAGACGAAATTATTATTATTATTATTGTTATTATTATTATTATTATTATTTTTGAGATGGAGTCTCCCTGTGTCACCCAGGCTGGAGTGCAGTGGTGCAATCTCAGCTCGCTGCAACCTCTGCCTGCTGGGTTCAAGCAGTTCTTCTGCCTCAGCCTCCCGAGTAGCTGGGACTACAGGCGTGTGCCACCTTGCCCAGCTAATTTTTTGTATTTTTAGTGGAGATGGGGTTTCACCATGCTGACCGGGCTGGTTTTGAACTCCTGACCTCGTGATCTGCCCACCTCGGCTTCCCAAAGTGCTGGGATTACAGGCGTGAGCCACCGCCTGGCCGACAAAGTTACTTTCTATGGGATCAATTCCTGAGTTTTATCTAACACGAGAATTTTAGCAATTAAAAGTCAAGTGCAGTTCAGATATATTAGTTTAGGTAATATTTTTAGTGTTTGAAGAGAGCTCAATTTGTAAGCCATTTAGCTACTAATTACCCTGCCTTTGCTGTAGAAAGAACTTAAATGAAAGACCTGTTTTAAGATGCCTTTTTAAAAAGCAGCCGTTGTAGGTATAAGAGTTGAAAAATCAAGATCTAGGCAGCAGTGGAGAATTATGAAGTCTGATAAGATAATATGCTAAAATTGTATTGTTAATTCTGATTTGTGACAGTGCTTATCAGTAGAAAAGAAATGTGATCTGTGGTTAAAGACTGAACTGCCACTAAATGTAAAATGTTTTTTAGATGAGTTGGAAGAATGCTGAACCAGTCTTTATTGCCCAAGATGGCTTTGAGTCAGCAATCTCAAAGAATAAAGAAAAAGGAGTTAAGAGTGAGAGGCAATAAGTAATATGCTGTTTTCATTTAAGATGTCTTGAAGAGATAATTAAAAAGTTGTAGGGGTATAGGAATTGTGATGTTTCTCTGGTGTTAATGAAGTCTACTATAAATTAGATAATACAGGCACTCTAAATTATTGTTTTTCCTTTTTTAAATTCTTGGCAGTTACTGACAAATTATACTCAGGATCAAGTTTAAGTCTCAGTACATGAATGACCCTGACATTGAAAACCCTGAAGGATGTTGACCTTAGTTTTGACCTGGCTTTATCCTGAGCAGCCTCTGTGAATTCTTAATGCTGTGCTCTTTAACAGGGGTACTTTTTCCAGATGTTTTTGATACTGTATTCATTAACATATAATAAAGTTATCAGTGTCCCTGAAGGCTAATTTTTTTTTTCTGACTGAATATGAGATATGGAGCGTGCAATTTGTACTTATTGGTATTAACATTACCAACAAGGTTTGTCTTTTTCTTATAAGATGGGGAATCTTAAGAAACTTCAGGCCAGGCGTGGTGGCTCATGCCTGTAATCCTAGCTTTGGGAAGCTGAAGTGGGGCGAATCACTTGAGATCAGGAGTTCGAGAACAGCCTGGCCAAGGTGAAACCCCGTCTCTACTAAAAATACAAAAAATTAGCCAGGCGTAGTGGTGGATGCCTGTAATTCCAGCTACTTGGGAGGCTGAGGCCCGGGAGACAGAGGTTGCAGTGAGCCGAGATCATGCCATTACACTCCAGCCTGGGCAACAGGGTGAGATTCCATCTAAAAAAAAAAAAAAAAAAGAAACTTCATTAAGAAGTTAAAGCCTGGGTATGCTCTCCTTGATAATTTCTTTTTACTCACATCTTTATTGGTAAATCAGGCCAGAAGGATTATTTACCTTTTCAGAAAGGGAAACTAGGTTCTACGGTTTGGTTACAGATAGCCTGGCAGCTGACTTTACATTGGGCAGAGGAGACTGCCGTACTTAGTGGTTCTGAGAAACCAAGAGAGTATTGCCTGCTACAGCTATGAGAAAAGGTATTGAATCTTCCCCCTCCTTTGTGGGGGAATTCCAATCTCACTAATTTATGGTTTCAGTGTAGTTATGGTCATAGCTTCTGAGACGTGGGTACTCATTGAAGCTAACAGTTTTAGAGAAAGGGGAGGGTGTTTAATTCCAATAACTGGTAGTTTATATCACTTTAATAATTTAGACCCAATGATATGAAGATTAGTTAGTATAAGGCAGATATACATGTAATACATTCTTTTAAATATTGTACAAGGAGTAAGAAACCCCTTTAAGTAGTCATGTAATTCATTATAGCAGCTGAACATTTCTAAGTGCAACATTATAGGAAACCAGTAAAGCTGATTTCTGATTTATCTGCAGCAAAAGAATTTAATATTCCAACTTCAGCAAAAGGCAATTAAAAACAAACTTAAATCACATTGTGTGCTTTTAATACGTATGTTTTTTTCCATGCTGTCTGATGTATTTTAGTTCTTAGTCATTTACTTCCATTAGTTTCCAAATTGGTTGAGGGAATTAAATTGGTAGCCAAGTTACCTATACAAGATTTTCCTACTGTGTATGTGAACCACTCTTTCTGGGAAAATCCTCCCGTTGGCACTTTTCTTGAAGGCATGCACTTTTTCCACACTTAGTGATTTGGGGACTGAAGCCTGCATTTAGCCTGTATTTAGTCAGAGGTGACAAATGGCTAAATTTTTTTTTTCCAGTTTAGAGATTGAGAAATGATTCAGAATTGAAACTAAAGTGAATTTGGACTTACTGTATTTCTTTGCAATTACTTTTAAACAATTGCTGTCTGTTACTATTAGGCATATTTTGGACCTATGGGTTCCATTTTGGGCCGATATTTGGTGTTATGTTGTTAAATTTCTTGCCTGGCTTAGATGGTTCATTGTTGAAACTAAACTGGAACTAGGTTTGATCAGAGGGCCAATGGAAATGCACGTTGTGGCCCATTTGGGGAGGACAAAATTTGACATATTTTTACTTTAAGAATTCTTAGGAAAATTTGGATAACGTGAGAATATATTTCCAAAGGGTTAAGTAATTTTCGAGGGAAAATCAGAAAGCTTGTAATTCCTACTGAAAATATTAGCCTGCTGAAATATTAGCCTATTTCCTACTGAAAATATAACATTAGCAGGCCGGGCACAGTGGAGTTCACGCCTGGCTAATTTTTGTATTTTTAGTAGAGATGGGGTTTCACCATGTTGGCCAGGCTGGTCTTGAACTCCTGACCTCAAATGATCTGCCTACCTACGCCTCCCAAAGTGCTGGGATTACAGGCGTGAACCACTGTGCCTGGCTTGACTTTTTTATTTAAAAAAAAAAAATCTATACCCAATTGCCCTATCAGTTTATCATTTACTCACTTATTTGAAACGGTCATATTAACATACACTCTTTATTTATTTATGTGCCTATACTTTGTTTTAATTACTGTATCTTTAGAATATGTTTCAAAATTTCATTAACTATTATAATTGATTCTCTTTTTTTGTAACGTATCATCAGCAAATAATAATTTGGACTCTTCTAATATTTCTGCTTATTTATTGACATTTTCAAAGAATAGCTTATGATTGATAATAATCATACCAGCGAATACAGTGCTTTTCAACTTAAATATGCACAGCAATTACCTGAGGATCTTATTAAAATGAAGACTCAGTAGGGCTGGAGTGGCCTGAGAGTCTGCATTTTGACAAGCTCCCAGGTAATGTTGACTTATGGGTTCATAGACCTTATGTTGAGTTACAGGGAACTAAGATTTATTGAGTACTTAATTTGTTCTGGTCAGTGCTTTTACATCTGTGAACTCGTTTAATCTTTAAAACTCCATGATGATTATTATCCCCAATTTGCCAGTGAAGAAACTGACACTTAGAGAAGTTTATAACTTACCCAAAGTGACGCAACCATTAAGTGGAAGAGCCAGACTGAGCCCAAGCAGAGTTTGCACTCTGAACCTCTCGAATATATTGCTTTACCACATGCGTGTTCGCTCACACACACACACAACAGACATTATCTTCTCTTGTGTGACTCAAATGGTAATACCTTAAAATTTTTTTTTTAATGAATAGGCTTTATTTTATCTATTTTTTGAGATGGGGTCTTGCTCTGTTGCCCAGGAGTGCAGTGGTATGATCGCAGCTTACCACAGCCCTGAACTTCTGGGCTCAAGCCATCTTCCTGCCTCAGCCTCCTGAGTAGCTGGGACTACCGGTGTGTGCCACCATGCCCAACTAATTTTTAATTTTTGATAGAGACGAGGTCTTACTGTGTTAGCCCTGCCTGGTCTCAAACTCCTGGCCTCAAGCGATCCCTTCACCTCAGCCTCCAAAAGTTCTGATATTACAGGTGTGAGCCACAGCATCTGGCCAGGCTTTATGTTGAGAAGTTTAGAGTTTACAGAAAAGTTGAGCAGAAAGTACGGAGAAATCCCACATATCCCATTATCTCTGCCTGTCCTCACGATTTTCCCTGATATTAACATCTTGCATTAGTGTGGTACATTTGCTACAATTGATGAGCAATATTGGTACATTAACTAAAATTCATAGTTTACATTAGAATCCATAGTTTGTGTTGCACATTTGTAAGAGTTTTCACAAATTTGTAATGTTGCATATCCATTATTACAGTATCATACAGAATAATTTCACTACCCTAAGAATTCCCTGTGCTGTACCTATTCATCCCTTCCTCTCCTCAGTCCCTGGCAATCACTGATTTTTTTTTTTTTTTTTGAGATGGAGTTTTGCTCTTGTCATCCAGGCTGGAGTGCAATGGCATGCTCTCGGCTCACTGCAAACTCTGCCTCTCGGGTTCAAGCGATTCTCCTCCCTCAGCCTCCCGAGTAGCTGGGATTACAGGCATGCGCCACCACGCCTGGCTAATTTTTATATTTTTAGTAGAGATGGGGTTTCACCATGTTGGCCAGGTTGGTCTCGAACTCCTGATCTCAGGTGATCCGCCTGCCTCGGCCTCTCAAAGTGCTGGGATTACAGGCATGAGCCACCTCGCCTGGCCAATCACTGATCTTTTTACTGTCTCCATAGTTTTGATGTTACCAGAATGGCATTATTGCATGTAGCCTTTTCAGATTGACTTTTTTTCACTTAGTAAAGTGCATTTAGGTTTCCTCCAAGTTTTTTCATGGTTTGATAGCTCATTGTTTTTAGCACTAATATTCCATTGTCTGGATTTCCACTGTTTATTTACCCATTCACCTATTAAGGAACTTGTTGGTTGCTTTCAACTTTTTTCAACTATGAATAAAGCTGCTATAAACATCTGTCTGCAGGTTTTGTGTGGATATATGTTTTCAGCTCATTTGGCTAAATACCAAAGACAGAACTGCGTGATCATATAGTAAGAGAATGTTTAGTTTTCTAGAAACTGCCAAACTGTCTTACAAAGTGGCTGTACTATTTTGCTTTCCCACCAGCAGTAAATGAGAGTTCCTGTTGTTCTATATCCTTACCAGCATTTGATGTTGTCACTGCTTTGAATTTTAGCCATTCTAATAGGTATGTGGTGTCTCGTTGTTGTTTTAATTTGCAGTAGCCTAGTAACATATGATGTTTAGCATCTTTTCATACACTATTTGCCATCTGTATATATCGGTGAGGTATCTGATCATATCTTTTGCCCATTTTAAAATTGGGATGTTTGTTTTCTTATTGTTGAGTTTTAAGAGTTCTTTGTATATTTTGGATACCAGTGCTTCACCAGATAGGTATTTTGCAAAGATTTTCTTCTAGCCTGTGGCTTGTTTATGCCTTTAGTTTTTTACCATTAAATATGTTGCTTGCTGTCTGGTTGTGACAAATAATCATCAAGTTAAGAAAGCTTCTTTCTTTGTCTCTCTAAGAGCTTTTGTCAGGAATGGCTATTCAGGGAAGTCCTTGAAAATTATTTGGCTAAACAAATAGATTAAGCTTTGTTTTTAGCAAGACATCCTGTTTTATTCCATATAATTAAAAACACATTCTTTATAGTGTGATATTAAGACTGTAACTGAGACTTTAATTCCTATTCCTTCTAAATCATTTTCTCTTACTCTGTGATTTTGTATGCCTTTAATGTCCATGTTGATTACTTGTCCAGCATCTTAATCTCATCTGACTTGGTCTTTCTTCTCCCAGCTATCTGTTCTTCCACTTCTCTGTAGCAATTTATTTCTGTGGCCAAACGTCCACTTCTGGAATTACAAATCTGTAAATTTTTCTCTTTGAACACAATTTCCTGTCTTTTCAGTTCTTCCATTTGCTGAGTTTATTTTCTCATTTCACTGAGGCCGCCAGCCCCTTAAATCTCCATTGTCTCCCAATTTGTGACATTCTTCCTGGCATCACTTTATCCCATATGGATGCCATAATTGGTCACTTTCAATGAGTCATCAGTATCCGCAGTTCTCCTGCATCTTTGTTCTTCTTTCCCACATGCCATGCAGATCTCCAGCTGTGGATTAACAGTACTGCCCTTTTTCTGTGTTCCCGCTCTAGGGCCTGAAGAAATGATTTCATCATATTAATTTGTTCTTTTGCTAATCCATGGGTTTTAGCCTCATCTGTGCTTATTATTCTCTTTAGTAGTTTTCTCACTTGTTTGGAGTTGATTTCATTTCTCCTTCACCAGAATGACAGTTCTTTCTAAATCTTTCCACATTTTCCTTTGGTTCGTGTCACCTTCCTCCATTGCAGCTGATTCTACACTTCAGCAGAGTGACCTTTAAAAAGAGAGAAAACAACAAATCTATTATGTTATTTCCTGTACAATACTGTTCATTATAAAGATGGAGGTAATTTTTTTTTTTTTTTTTGAGATGGAGTCTCGCTCTGTTGCCCGGGCTGGAGTGCAGTGGTGTGATCTCGGCTCACTGCAGCTTCCGCCTCCTGGGTTCAAGCGATTCTCCTGCCTCAGCCTCCTGAGTAGCTGGGATTACAGGTGCATGCCACCATGCCTCGCTACTTTCTGTATTTTTAGCAGAGATGGGGTTTCACCATGTTGGTCAGGCTGGTCTTGAACTCCTGACCTCATGATCTGCCTGCCTCAGCCTGCCAAAGTGCTGGGATTACAGGTGTGAGCCACTGCACCTGGCCAGAGGTAAAATTCTTAAGTTTAACAGGATCTTTCTGGTTTTCTAGCCTCATCTCTGTCCTCTTAGCGCCTTAGCTTCACTGGCCCTTTTTCAGATCCTTCACATGCCAAGCTCATTCTTAGCACAGGGCTTTGTATATGCTCTTTTCTCTGCTGGACACCTTTTTTCTTGGCATGTTTAATTTGTATTTATCTTAAGGACTTAGCTTATGTGTTCCTTTCTCAAGAAAGTTTTCCCTGACCTTCCATTTGCCTAAAGGTAGATTAGATTCCCTCTGAAATTATTAATAGTAATGATGGTAACAACAATAATAGCAGCAACCTTTGAGTGTTTATGAGTTGCAGAGACTGTTCTTAGCACTTACACATAGGAAGTTTTTTGGTTTTCATAGCAACCCTATGAGTTGTATAGGTGGGTAAATAAGTAGGACCTAGAATTATCTGCATCTTATAGATGAGGAAACTGAAGTGAGGAATGTTAAGTCACTTGTCCAAAGTCACACAGCCATTTGGTAGCAGAGTTGGAATTTGAACCCGGGCAGACCCCAGTGCCCACGTTCTAAACTGCTGTGCTCTACTGTAATGGTGAGTATAACTGTGTAATGTTTTTTGTTAATGCCTACCTTTGTTGGTAGGCTCTAAGCTCCTCGAGGTCAGAAATCATACCTGTCTGGTTAATTTCCATGGCCTAGGACGGAGCCTGGCATGGAGTAGTCTGTGACCGAGTACTTGTTCCTATTGAATGAATCACAGCTTGCCAGTCTACTAAATTGAGGAAATAGAGGGTTTCAGTGTGATCCTTTTCACTTTTCCTCCCCACTGCTTCCAAATATTAAACTCCCTTGGTTAAAAGAATAGGTGCCTGTACTTATTTCAAAATCTAACCCCTCTACCTGTTTGCCTTGTATATTCTAGGAGTAATTTATGTACTTCGTAAGAAAAATTAGTGCAGATGTACATAAAGTAAAGGTATACGTCTTCCATTTTTTCCTCCTTTAACGTTTTATACTTCCAGGTGTCAACTGCTAGTAGTTAAATCTTCTTCTGTACATGTACACATTTTGTGGACACTTAAAATACACAAGGGTAATGTATGTAGTATTATCTAAGTTTTTTAAAAATTTAATTTTGATATTGAACGATAGTTTCACAAGATGTCTCCATTGAGGGAAACAAGGTAAAGGGTACAGGAGATCTCTGTTGTTTCTTACAACTGCCTGTGACTCTACAATTATCTCTAAAGAAATGGTTAATTAAAAAATAAACTATAGAAATATTTTCATGTCAGCGTATTGACCTGTTTCTTTTAAATGGCTATGTAAAATGTTATTATATAGATGTGTATTACTTTATTTCACGTTTCCCCTATTGATGGACTTTTAAGTTCCTTCCATTTTTCATTTTCACCAATATTGCCAAAGGTGGACCATCCTTGAATTTGTAGGTATATCCTTGGTTGGTATATATGCACAGCCAAGTTTTAGAAGAGGAGATCAAAAGATGGGCATATTTGAAATGTTGGTAAGAGTTGGCCAGACCATCCTCCAGACAAGTTTATACTTTCGTTAGCAGGTGAGATAGAAGCTCTGTGTGTTCACCTGCACTGTCCTGATCCCATTCTGCCACTTCTTCTTGGGGACTTTATATCTATATCTATATCTATATCTATATCTATATCTATATCTATATCTATATCTATATCTATCTATATATTTTTATTATACTTTAAGTTCTAGGGCACATGTGCACAATGTGCAGGTTTGTTACATATGTATACATGTGCCATGTTGGTGTGCTGCACTCATTAACTCATCATTTACATAAGGTATATCTCCTAATGCTATCCCTCCCCACTCCCTCCACCTCACAACAGGCCCCAGTGTGTGATGTTCCCCTTCCTGTGTCCGAGTGTTCTCATTGTTCAGTTCCCACCTATGAGTGAGAACATGCGGTGTTTGATTTTTTGTCCCTGCGATAGTTTGCTGAGAATGATGGTTTCCAGTTTCATCCATGTCCCTACAAAGGACATGAACTCATCCTTTTTTATGGCTAAATAGTATTCCATGGTGTATATGTGCCACATTTTCTTAATCCAGGGACTTTGTTTTATTAACTAATCCTTTTCCATTTAATATATCTACTTCCCTGTTGGTTCTCTTCTGTCTCCTCATCCTGTAGCACATCCTCCAAACTGATAGAGCTTTGGTTGCTGTCAGTTCTTTTGTGCTGCTATAGGAGAATACCTGACACTGGGTAATTTATAAATAACAGAATTTTATTTTCTCATAGTTCTGGAGGCTGGGAGGGCACTGGCAGGTTCATTGATGGGGATTTGGTCTCTGCTTCTTAGACGATGCCTTGAATGCTGTGTCCTCACATGGCAGAAGGCAGAAGGGCAAAAAGGGAGTAACTCCCTCCATCAAGCCCATTTTTAAGGGCACCTAATTGCATTCATGAACGGAGGAACCCTCATGACTTAATGATGTCTTAAAGGCCCGACTTCTTAATACCATCACGTTGGCAACATCTGACTTTTAGAGGCGGAGACATTCAAACTGTGGCCCTAGCCAAGTCCTTTGTGTGCTTTTACTTATCTTTACAACCATCCTATGAGATAGTGCCTGTTTCTCTGCCTACTTGTTAAGCGATTATATTCTTCTGGATTTTGTCCTTGGCTCCTCTATCCAACCCACCTGTAGCCCCACCTTCTCTTCTGTTCCCTCATCCAAACCAGAGAGACCAGGATTTGAATCTGGCTCCATTATTTTCTCCCTAAGAGACACGGAATGATTTACTTTGTCTCTATGTTTCTGTTTCTTTCTCTGTAAGTAAGAGTGGGGAGACTAGAGCTACCTATCTCAGGATTGTGTGGAGTAAATGAATAATGTGTGTAAAACATTTAAAATAGTGTCTCATGTACACTAAGTGCTTAATAAATGCTAATAATAGGAATAGTAACAACAGTATAGTTACATTGTTATTATAAATCTGTATCTGTGGTACTCTTAGCTTAAGTTCGTACAAAAATATTGAGCTGCCTGTTAGAAATCTACATTTGGATGCCTCCCCAGATATCTTAAACTCAGTTTATCTAAAGTCAGAGTCTTTCTGTGGCTTCAGTGCTTAGTGACTGTGTCCGTGAATAAACTACTTATTTTCTTTAAGCCTCCATTTCTCCATTTATGAAAGGGTGATAATGAACTTATTTTATCAATATTAAATGAGATAATTCTTGTAAAAGTATTTAGCATAGTGCTGGTATATACTAATATCTTAATAAATATTAGTTGCTATTATTATTATTCCTTTTAAATGCTGATCCCCTTTTTGTCCTGTTCTGCCCAGAAAAAGAGCCTCAGGATAGCTTTGCCTGTCTGCCTGTCTTCCTTATCCTTCATATGCAACCAGTCAGCAAGTACTGTTATTTTGTATTTTCATTTTAAACATCTTAATTTTTATTTATTTTAAAATTATTTATAGAGATGGGGTCTCACTATGTTGTCTAAGCTGGTCTTGAATTCTTGGGCTCCAGTGATCCTCCCACCTCTGCCAAAGTGCTGGGATTACAGGTGTGAACCACCACACCTGGCCTATCAAGTACTGTTGATTGTGCTTCCGAAACATGTGCTTGCATCCAACCACTCCTTATCATTTCTTGACACAATTATTGTGGTAATCTCCTAATTGCTCTCCTGGCCTCTTGGCCATCTTGTACCTTTCATCCTGAGTTATCTTTATAGTAGGTAGATCTGCTCATATCACTCAGCAGAAAGGCCTCTGATGGGTCTCTCTTACCTGAAATATAAAGCCTCCAAGGCCCACTACACCACAGTCATCTTTAGAGCCTCCCCTCTTGTTCTGGGACCCATGGGTCCTACAGTATATGCAGACTACTGACTGTTCTGTGACTGCACCCTGTACTCTAAATCTCATACCTTTGTCCCTGACCTGCTGTTGCTGTACCTGCCTTCTTTTTGCTTAGAGGGTTGTCCCCTCAAGCACTCCCTGCTAATAAGCACTCAGCCTTCCACCCCAAACATCTAGTCTGTCTGGTGAATTCCTGGTGATTCTTCAGTGGTCTGTCTCAAATATATCTTCTACGCTCTTTTCTCTTTAGTCTTAACTGCCATCCAAGGCAACATTAGTTAGTCCCTCATTATAAGAGGCAATATAAGCTGGTGAGAGGTATATACCCACAGTCCTAGCTACTTGGGAGTCTGAAGCAGGAGGATTGCTTGAGGCCAGCCTGGGCAGCATAGCAAGACCTTGTCTCTTTGAAAAAAATAGAAAGAAAATGCTGGGTGTGGTGGCTCACATCTGTAATCCCAGCACTTTGGAAGGCCAAGTAGGGAGGATTGCTTGAGCTCAGGAGTTCGAGACCAGCCTGGGCAATACAGCAAGACCCCATCTCTACAAAAACTAAAAAAATTAGCTGGGCATGGTGGCACATGCCTGTGGTTTCAGCTACTCTGGATGCTGAGGGAGAAGGATCACTTGAGCCCAGGAGTTTGAGGCTGCAGTGAGCCATGATTGTGCTCCAGCCTGGGTGACAGAGTAAGACCTTGTCTCAGTGGAGGGGGTAGGGTGGGAGGGGGGAAAGAGGCAATATAGTGGTAAGTTAAAATCCCTGAGTTTGGAGCCAGACTGCCTTTGTTATTAAGGTAGTTGTATATAACTGGGATGAAACTGTTTAACTTTTTTGTGTCTCAGTTTTCTCATTTATAACAAATGAGTAATATTAGTCTTGCTGTGAGGGTTAAGTGAATTAATGTAGGGAAAATGCATTGAAAGGGCTTGCATATTACTAAGTACTTCATAAATATAGCTATTATTATTATTCTCAAAGCATTTCTTACATACTTACCTATAATAGCATTTGCCACTTTACTTTTTTTTTTTTTTTCCAAGACAGAGTCTTGCTCTGTTGCCCAGGCTGGAGTGTAGTGGCATGATCTAGGCTCACTGTGACCTCCGCCTCCTGGGTTCAAGCAATTCTCCTGCTTCAGCCTCCTGAGTAGCTGGGATTATAGGTGTATGCCACTATGCCCAGCTAATTTTTGTATTTTTAGTAGAGACAGGGTTTTACCGTGTTGGCCAGGCTGGTCTTGAACTCCTGACCTTGTGATCCACCCACCTCGGCCTCCCAAAGTGCTGGGGTTACAGGCATGAGCCACCGCGCCCGGCCTGCAGTTACTTTTTTGTGTATATTTCCCAATAGACTGTGGCTTTTTTGAAGGTGGGCTATTTTAATCATCTTTGTGTCATCAGTATGTAGTACACAGTGGGACCCAGTAAACAATCAGATGTGCTGTTTGTGTAGCCCAGAATAAAGTGCCAGGTCCTCCTGCATTGCAGCAGTCAGCAGCATGCATCTGGAAAGTATTGCTTTCTGAAACTACGGCATTAGAGCCACAAAGCTGTTTGGGATTGGACCTTAGCAAGCTCTTCAACCAGAAATTTGCTATTACAATGAAGCTTCCTATCTGCAATAGGTAGATTGTAACTGACAGCATGTAGTCATTGGAAGGAGGTTAATCCCAGAGCATAAGAGGACTTCTGATTTATTTTTGCTTAAAGGGATACAATCCAAGGCCACAAAGGCTGCTATAAGACTTTTGTTTTGTTGGGGATAATAAAGAGAGCTGTTTCTGCCTTTTCCACTTTCTTCTTATAAACCTGCTGAAGATTGAAATGTTAAAATGTGATTCAGAGAAGAGATTTCTTTATTGTAAACATGATAGAGAGCTCAGAATGAATGCCGGAGATAGACTCTTTATAGAGGATTTCAGGGTATTAAACTCTTAAGCCCCTTATGGTCAGGTTTTACTGCCAACCCTTAACACCCCACCATGCCTGGGCTACTGCAATAGTAACTGGTCTTTCTACCTTTAGGTTCGCTGCAGTCTCTCCTGCCTACTGCTATGATATTAATATTTATAAAGCCTTACTTTGACTTTTCTCATGCATTATAAAAAATCCTCGCAAAATACCCCATCATATACAAGGAAAGTTCCAAGTTTTAGCTTGTCATTCTGGACTTGTATTAGGATTCTCCAGAGAGAGAGAGAGAGATTTCTTTCCTTTCTTTTTTTCTCTTTTTTTTTCCCAGGGTTTCACTCTTGTTGCCCAGTCGAGTCCAGTGGCACTATCTTGCAAACTGCAACTTCCGCCTTCCGGTTTCAAGCAATTCTCCTGCCTCAGCCTCCTGAGTAGCTGGGATTACAGGCGCCTGCCACCACGACCGGCTAATTTTTGCATTTTTATTAGAGACGGGATTTCACCATGTTGGCCAGGCTGATCTCAAACTCCTGACCTCGTGATCCACCTGCCTCAGCCTTCCAAAGTGCTGGGATTACAGGCATGAGCCACCACGCCCGGCCTGGATAGATGGATTTCTGTAATAAACCTCTATAGGCCAGGCGTTGTAGCTCATGCCTGTAATCCCAGCGTTTTGGGAGGCTGAGGCGGGCAGATCACCTGAGGTCAGGAGTTTGAGACCAGGTCGGCCAACATGTTGAAACCCCATCTCTATTAAAAATACAAAAATTAGCCGGGCATGGTGGTGTGCACTTGTAAATCCCAGCTATTTGGAAGGCTGAGGCAGACAATCACTTGAACCCAGGAGGTGGAGGTTGCAGTGAGCTGAGATTGCGCCATTGCACTCCAGCCTGGGTGACTGAGGGAGACTCGGTCTCAAAAAACAAAAAACAAGGAAAAAAACCCCAAAACCTTCATAATAAGTTTCCATATCTATATCTATAGATATAGAAGAGGTTTATTTTATATATATAATAGATACATAGATAGGTATAAGAGGAGGTTTATTATGGAAGTTGGCTCATGTGATTCATGTGATCATGGAGGCCGAGAAATCCTATGATAGGCCATGTGCAACCTGGAGAACCAGGAAAGCTGGTGGTGTAATTAAGTTGGAGTCTGAGGTCCTGAGAACCAGGGGAATCAAGGCTGAAGGCCTGGGAATTGGGAAGGGGTGGTGTGCTGGTGTAAGTCCTGGAGTCCAAAGACCCAAGAACCAGGAGCTTTGATGTCCAAGAGTGGGAGAAGATGGATATCCCAGCTCAAGAAGAAAGAGTGAATTTGCTCTTCCTCTGCCGTTTGCTCTCTCTGGGTGGAAAAGGGTAAACAGATTATGACGCCCACCCTCATTGGTGAGTGTGGGTCTTCTTTATTTAGTTTACTGATTCAAATGCTAATCTCTTGCAGAAATACCCTCAGAGACCCACCTAGAAATGTTTTATCAGCTGTCTGGGCCATTCCTTAGCTTAGTCAACTTGGCACATAAAATTAACCATCACAGGACTCTTCTGCAGTCTGACTCTGGTTACCTTTTCTACCTTATCTTCCACTATATCCTAGAATGAGCTGTGTAGCTTACCTGGCCTAGTTGTGAGTCCTATAATGTGAATTGCATTTTATGTTTGTATCTACCCAGAACATTTTACCTTTTGAAATTTTGCCTCTCCTTTAAGATCCATTAAAAAAAAACTATTTATTTATTTATCTGTTTATTTATTTATTTAATTTATTTTTTTTGAGATGAAGTCTCACTCTTGTTGCCCAGGCTGGAGTGCAGTGGTGTGATCTCGGCTCACTGCAACCTCTGCCTCCCAGGTTCAAGCGATTCTCCTGCCTCAAGCCTCCTGAGTAGCTGGGATTACAGGCGTGTGCCACCACGCCTGGCTAATTTTTGTATTTTTAGTGGAAATGGGGTTTCACCCTGTTGGCCAGGCTGGTCTCGAACTCCTGACCTCAAGTGATCTGCCCGCCTCTGCCTCCCAAAGTACTGGGATTACAGGCATGAGCCACCACACCCAGCTTATTTTGAAATAATTATAGAATCATAGGAAATTACAAAATTAGTACATCGAGTCCTGTATACCCTTCCCCCAACTTTCACCAATGGTGATATCTTTTTGTGTGTGTGTGTGTGTGTGATGGAGTCTTGATCTTGTCGCCCAGGCTGTTGTGCAATGGCGCGATCTCAGCTCACTGCAACTTCCGTCTCCCAGGTTCAAGCGATTCTCCTGCCTCAGCCTCTTAAGTAGCTGGGATTATAGGTGCCTGCTACCATGCCCGGCTTATTTTTGTACTTTTGAAGAGACAAGGTTTTGCCATGTTGGCCAGGCTGGTCTCAAACCCTGACCTCAGGTGATCCGCCTGCCTTGGCCTCCCAGAGCATTGGGATTACAGGCGTGAGCCACTGTGCCCGGCTGCTATCTTATATAATTATACTATAATATAAGATCCTATTTTTTTTTTAAGAGACAGGTTTTCGCTCAGACGCCCAGGCTGGAGTGCAGTGCTGTGATGCTAGCTCACTATAAACTTGAACTCTGGGCTCAAGTGATCCTCAGGAGGAGGATCCTAGCTCCTGGGTAGCTAGGACTACAGTCACGTGCCACTATGCCTGGCTAATTTTAAAATTTGTATAGAGATGATATCTCGGTTTGTTGCCCAGGCTGGTCTCAAACTCCTGGCTTCAAGTGATTCCTCCACTTCAGCTTCCAAAAATGTTGGGACTAGGTGTGAGCCATTGCACCTAGACTGATCCATTTTAAAACTCTATTTTGAATAAAATTTTCAGGGGTAAAAAAGGTTTTTTTCTTTTCCTTTTCTTCCTTGCTTCTTTCTTTCTTTTTTTTTGAGATGGAGCCTTGCTGTGTCACCTAGGCTGGTATGCAGTGGCGCGATCTCGGCTTACTGCAATCTCTGCCTTCCAGGTTCAAGCCATTCTCATGCCTCAGCCTCCCAAGTAGCTGGGATTATAGGCATGCACCATGATGCTTGGGTAATTTTTGTATTTTTAGTAGAGATGGTGTTTCACTGTGTTGGCCAGGCTGGTCTCGAACTCCTGACCTTAAGTGATCTCCCGGCCTTGGCCTCCTAAAGTGCTGGGATTACAGTCATGAGCCACTGCGTCCAGATGGAAAGTATCTTTTTAAACTTTATATCCCTCCCTAGAATTTATCCCCTAATATATGGTGTTTATGGAGGTGGTTGGAATCAACTACTTTTTATAAATATATTATTAAAGAGTTGACAACCCCTAAAAATCTTTTAGATGCTAGACAAAAAAACTGAGAGAAATCATGAAGTATTTTTTTAAAAAATTTTTTGAGATGGAGTCTCACTCCAGTGACAACCCAGGTTGGAGTGCAGTGGCACGATCTCAGCTCACTGCAACCTCTGCCTCCCAGGTTCAAGCAATTCTCCTGCCTCAGCCTCCTGAGTAGCCGGGATTACAAGCGTGCGCCACCACGCCCAGCTAATTTTTGTATTTTTAGCAGAGACGGGGTTTCACCATGTTGGTCAGGGTGGTCTCGAACTCCTGACCTCATGATCCACATGCCTCAGCTTCCCTAAGTGCTGGGATTACAGGTGTGAGCCACCATGCCTGGCTAGTCATGAAGTATTTTAAAGGACGTGGGTTCTGACACTCTTAAATTCAATAGGCCAAAGTTCCTGGCATTTTTTTCTTGGATATGTACCGCATAGACCTTTCTTAGTAGATACTGGGAGAAAGAAGTTGGTTTAATAATGAATTAATGGGAAAGTTTTTTTTTTGAGACGGAGTTTCGCTCTTATTGCCCAGGCTGGAGTGCAATGGCCCGATCTCTGCTTACTGCAACCTCCGCCTCTAGGGTTCAGGTGATTCTCCTGCCTCGGCCTCCCGAGTAGCTGGGATTACAGGCATGCACCGCCAAGCCCGGCTAATTTTGTATTTTTAGCAGAGATGGGGTTTCTCCATGTTGGTCAGGCTGGTCTCGAACTCCCAACCGCAGGTGATCGGCCCACCTCGGCTTCCCAAAGTGCTGGGATTACAGGCGTGAGCCACCGCGTCCAGCCTGGAAAGTTTTAATTGACCTTATGTCTGTATAATTAAATGTATTTCATTAACTTTTTAAAGGTAAATAAATCTGGGGTTTCATCTAAGTGTCAAAAATATGATTTTCACCAATGGCCTACTTATTTTTGCCATTATTTGCATAAATAGCTTTCTGGTTTTTCTCAAGTTAACCTGTATGCTTGTGATGTGAAAGTCATAGTATGTATAAAAAATAGTACCAAGATGAAGTATAGATGGTCATTCTGAACCATTATTCCTTAGCAGAGTGAACTATATTTAAGGTTTTAGAAATAAATCGTATTTCCATGTCTGAATAAGACCTTAGTCTTATTTAAATAAATGTAGGGGAGATGGAGAGAAAGAATAAGATTTGCCTAAGAATACTAATATTAAGATGAATGGCAGGTAGGACACACTGAGGCTGTCAGGCATTGTTCTCAGTGTTTTACATTCACCATCTTGCTTCATCCTCACAACAGACTTTATCATTTGATTAGAAAAAAATCAGTACGATCTAGATGTTCTCATTGAATAACATTTTTTCATAAACAATTTAATTTCATTTAATTTATATTGTTACTATTTTTTATATAAGTAAATATGAGGTCTCACTATGTTGCCCAGGCTGGTCTCAAACTCCTGGGCTCAAGCAGTCCTCTCACCTCGGCCTCCGAAGTGCTGGGATTACAGGCATGAGCCACCACATCTGGCCCTGAACTATTTTAATGCAACAAGTATTTACTGAGTTCCGATAAATGAACCAAGTCTGGTGCTTTAGAACCATGATCTCAAACTGGAGGACATGTCTAAGAATATCTAGGCTTGGACTGTTTTAAGAGAATAAATTTCCAGATTCTCTATATTTTATTTATACTCTTTCCTGAAATTGACTTGTTTGAAGGCAACACTGATATAATGCTAGTCCACCTTCCCTACCCTCCCTTTAGCCCTGTGCCTTCTTATGATTAACAGAAGACAGCCATACCTTTCACCCATCTTGAATCTCACCATTGTACCTTTCTATGAGGTATAAAATCCTCCAGGATTCTAACAAAGGGATAGTCAAAACACTAGTGTCACGTGTGAAACTTCCTTTTATCAAGGTATCTTCCTCCATACATCTTATTAAGAGATGCATCTCCAAAAAAGGAAATTACTTTTTATGTTTAGTTCTCAAAATTTGTAACATTTGCATTGTCTTCATCGATTGTGTTTTACTATAATAGTAACCATACCACAATCCAACATAAATAAACAATAATATACATGTTTTCATTAAGGAAAGTATGATAAAAGTTATATTAAATACTGTGGAAGAAGCAGAATAGAAATACAGTTTCAGGGAGACCGATAAATGGCATAGCATTTTATATAGGAAAAAAAGATTCTGTTACAGTTTTAAAATATAGGATGGGGGATATCAGATTGCCCAGGTGTTTAGATTTTATTGGAATTAGTGATACAGTAGGGTTTTTTGTTTGTTTGTTTGTTTTTAAGACAGGGTCTTGCTCTGTTGCCCAGGCTGGAGTGCAGTGGTGCGATTTTGGCTCACTGCAGCCTCTGCCTCCCAGGCTAAAGCAATCCTCCCACCTCAGCCTCCTGAGCAGCTGGGACTACAGGCGAGTACCACCGTGTGTGACTAATTTTTGTATTTTTTTGTAGAGACGGGGTTTTGCCATGTGGCTCAGGCTGGTCTTGAACTCCTTGGCCCAAGTGATCCACCTCCTTCCACCTCCCAAAGTGCTGGGATTATGGGCGTGAGCCACTTTGCCTCACCAATATAGTAGGTTTAATAGCTTTAAAATTAGCAATATAATAGTGTTTTTAGGTGTCAGTTCTAAATAGACATAGATTGATATATAAATGAAAATATAACCTTTGCAGTGATTAAAACTTGTAATGAAAATTTTAGATGTCAACCTAAGAATATTCAAGGAGACACCTTTTTCCCCCCATTAAATTTGTTTTAGCAGGTATGTGAGCAAAACTTTTGAATAGTGCCGCAAAGGATATAGAGATCAAGAAGAAATAATTTTTGCCCTCAAGATGCTTGTTAGTTAAATGGTGAAGCAGGGGCATAGATACATGGTTTGGCTTAAATAAAGCCTTAATTGTGTCATGGTATTTTGCTGTTTGCTTAACATGGGCATTGTGCCTCAGTGTTGTGTCATGCTTGTTAAAATGACCCTTGAGTGGTAGTTTAGCTCATATGTGCTGTGTTACCACATAGGCTATTGTGCAGAACAGTGAGGAATTGTATATTGTGAAAGACAGATGGATAGGAACAGTGCCCACTGCACTTACCACCAATGAATGGTAGGGCTTTCTCTCATTGTCTAGTTGATGTGATCATAAAAAACATTAGACTGGAAGTCAGGACACCCTAATTCTCATCCTGAGTCTGCCACAGAACGTATGACCTTGGCTAAATCATTTAACGCATTTGAACTCTAGTTTCCTCATATAAAAAAAGTTTAAACTGGATGATTTTCTACCTGTGAAGTTTAGAGTTCATACATTTTTACACAGTATATGCGTTTTAGAAGGGATAGGTGCAGCAGATTTTAAGAAACAGATGCCAAAATAATGGAGTAGATTACTTACTGTAATATGCGGAGAAGAGTAGCTTACTAATTATTTATCTAAGTGTGATTAGGACAGTCTGTTATATGGCTTGTCGTAAGTGTTGTGGGTCTCACCACTGCCCTTTTTATTTAAAAAGAGAATTTCCTCTACTTTTGAGAATTAGAACAAATACTACACAGGATTAGTAAGCGAGAATACCAATTTCAGCTTCATGCCAGTGCCTCTAGTGAAAACCACATTTTTGCAGTGTTCTAGCAGAATATTAAAATGGCTTATGGATTACAGACAGCTCAGGCTTTGGTCTTTATAGGTCAGAGGTGGAAACCAACGGAGCAATTACCGTTCACTCTTATGGGCGGGGCTTCTTAGGTTCCTTATGGAGCTAAAGTGAAACTCTGGAACAGTTCCACTAGAATGGCTTTCCTGGGAGCTTATGAGGCTTACATTCTGAAACTGATACTCTTGTAGTACAAGAATAACTACAAACTGATGTGGAATTAGGAGGCCAGAGAGGGGAGAAGCCACATGTAGCTCTCATTCTCACAAGTCCTTTGGCTGGCGAACAGAGGTTTTTCCCGTCACTAAGCAGATATTTGGTTATATATTGACAAATCCTCTCTAAACAATTCTTAGAATAGAAGACTGATTCTGTCTTGTGCTTTGGAGGTGAAGGGGAAGAGCAATGTTGAAATGAGTGAAATTAGCTTGTGATGGTTTAACATCTGCAAATATCATCTATCTAACCAGTCTTTATCTCCTATGTGTGTTCTTAAATATGGTCCCCATTGTTTGAAGCCAAGAAAGATAACTGAGGAAATTCTATGGCTGATTTGCCGATGTTATTACCAATTATTTATTAGCCTTAGTATCGG
Source organism: Homo sapiens (assembly GCF_000001405.40). Classification (NCBI taxonomy): domain Eukaryota; kingdom Metazoa; phylum Chordata; class Mammalia; order Primates; family Hominidae; genus Homo; species Homo sapiens. The sequence goes on along the minus strand of NC_000011.10, from coordinate 117,044,915 downwards.
ATAGTTTGACTGATTTGCCATGTTGTTTTTTAGAAATGGGGGTCTTGCTCTGTTGCCCAGGCTGGAGTGCAGTGACGCAATCCTAGCTCACTGCAGCCTCGAACTCCTGTGCTCAAGTGATCCTCCTGCCTCACCTGTGAGTAGCTGGGACAACAAGCGTATACCACCACTTCTGGCTAATTTCTTTTTTTACTTTTTATAAAGACGGGGTCTCCCTATGTTGCCCAAAGGCTGATGATTTGCCTTTTTTAGGTAGAAAACCTGGACTGGGCCCTCAAGTTTTTAACTTTTTTTTTTTTTCTTGGTGATACAAAATGTGGGGTGAAGAGGTCTGTTAAAGTGACCAGGCTTGGTGCTATTTAAAGCCGAGGAGGGAAATACTGTTTCCTGGCAGGCTTTATTGTGTTTTTGTATTATTAAATCTCTTAAGTCAGCAGTTTACTTTTTGTCTAGTTGTATGTCTTGGCTTGTCTAAATGAATCATAATTAAAATTTAGTCACTGGGACTCTTAATCTTGTCTAAGCAGGAATTATAGTTTAGAGATACTATACCTTGCTGTGTATAGAATAAGAAAAGTATAAGTCTGCTATGATCACTGAGATGGGTTTTTATAAGTACTAAACTTTTTTAGAAGCATAGTTTTCTTTATCACCTGTCCCCCAGAAAGTTTAGAAAGTGAAAATTAAAAAGTAAGTAAAAATAATGGTATTGGAGTTATAATTTGGAAATTTGTTTCATTCACTTGCATTTTAATATTTATTATGTAAACATGAAATGATAAATTTGTTTCCTTTGAAAAGATTCAAGAAATAGAATAGTTTTAAAAGTAGTCTTTTACATTCCTTTGCTTATTGACAAAATCATCATCAGGAACATCGATTCAGGGAATGAGGCTTCTGATCCATCTCAAAACGAACATTACTAATATTTGCTATGGTCATTTGACATAAGTTTTTATTGAGTCAGAACTATACTGGGGCAGTAGCCTTCAAGCCAGTTAAACATGAATTAAGAACTTGTGTGCCAGGTACTGCACTAAATGTTAATGGCATAAAGGTGAATAAAACATCGTTTATACTGTGTTTTGTTTCACACAGGATTTGAGATGGCTGACAGAAAGTAACTAAAGTGAGATTGTAAAATGTAACTGAGGTTCAGAACCAGGGAAAAGATAAATTAGATTTGGAGGCCTAGATATGGTTAAATAATTAATTAGACATGAAACCCTATGGCTGAACAGTTCAGTTGAATGTTGATTTTAGTAGTGATATGATACAGAAGCTAAGCTTTGTTATAGTCACGCAATGTTGAGGCATGGTTAATATATTTAGCAGGATTATGAAGAGTTCAGGCATTTTTTGGAAACTCCTATGAATATGTCATCTAGAATTGGTTTTGTAAAATGGTAGTGCTTGTACTGTTTAGTTACATGTGTTGAATATCAGATGGATTTCAGTATTTTTTTAAAACTTTGCTTAAGCCTCTTAAGCCTCATTGAGTGGGGAGACTGCAGTGTAAGTATCCAGGCTGAAGACTGAACTTCCACCTTATTTTTATGTGGTAATGAGTTTTTGTTTAGATGATATATATGTTTTAATGTTGAGATGGAAAAAGTAGAAGTGAATTGCAGTGTAGAAACTACTCTGTTTCCTTTTTTATCTATTTTTATTTCAGTCATTAAGCTTTCCCCATCTTTAGTCTATTGAGTTGTTTCATGGCACGTTCGGAGGGATGGTGGGAATGCCCTTTGCTGAATCAAAAACTACTGTTTCTCCAACTTCACAGGTTAGAGAAGCTCATCAAGTCAATAATTTATAATTTTAATATGGAAGCTGTTTTGGGAACTCTTGTGGGCATATCTTGGTTTTAAAAGAAGAAAAAAGATTTACTGATTTAAGAGGTATATAAACGCAGCTTGCTGACAGTAGCTTTTGATTTTATTGGTTCAACAGATATCATTGTTGCACAATACATAATCTTTCACTGTGGCAGCTAATGAGATACAAAACTGCATAATTGCACCAACAGTTATTTTCCTTATAGAATTTGGCGGCTACTAAGTAAACAACTTTTAAAATTTATCTTAATTGGTTTAGTTATGTGCCATCATTGAATGAGTCTTAACATTTTCCTTCACGCTGTTGCACTCCACATTCTTAGTTGAACAGAGAAAGATATTATTTTAAGGGAGGGCTTGATCTTTTAGCATTTTAGCCAGTTGGCTTTTCTTAATTAGGATGATTACTCATATTTAGATGAAATCTAACTGAGAAACCACAGCAAAATGCTTACTGAAAACATTCGGGTAGTCAGTGTGGAGGAAAGACTCCTGGAAAATAAAATGTCTCAAGGTTGTTTTGAAGTTTATCCTCATTGTTTTTATTTATCCTTATGTGTGTTAAGTATACGAGGATTCCTGGTTGTACTGGTATTTTGGCAAAGTCCTGTACTGTTCCTCAAATGCTTCTAATGCAGACACTGACTTTTAAGAACCAGACACATGTAGATGTGCAGCGAGACAACACTCTGGCCTTTAACCATTGTGCCTCCTTTCTTACCTGCGAATTGCGTTTACTAGCGTATTTCACATTTCAGCCAATAGATCTAAAGAATACAAATGAGAACATATAGGACCTGTCTGCAAATAGGTTTTAACTTCCAGAGATTAGAAGTAGCTGTTGAGAGCACTGTGGGTTTAGTGAGAAAGAGTGCTTTGGCAGAATGGGCAGTGTCTACTGTAGGCTAAAAATGGGGGAACTATAGCATATCATGAGCCTTCTGTAACCCTCGAAGTCAGTTATTAGCAGTTGAACATGCTCTTTGGTCATAATGGCAGTCCCCAGGCTCCAGATAATAATTTGAGCAGGGAGCTGGGAGAAATAAGGAGGACATGAGTACATGGGACAAAAGTGGGCCAGTAAAGGGAAAATTACATATGAATGGAAGAATAGAGAATGGAAAATGGTAAACTGGAGAGAAAAAGATGAAAAAGACATGAAAAAAAAGAGTAGGGATAAACGGGCTCTACCTGTTTCCTTTTCTGATCAGTAAAGGAAAATACTTCTTGAAATCCTTAGGGCATCTTTGGACAAGGAAATCAGAAGTAATTCAAATTGTATTGTTGTCAGAGTTTAGTCTTAAAAGTTGTGTTGCCAGGTAGAAAACAAAGCATGATAATCATTTATAGAACTCCTTTAGTTGGTTTACTTGCCTCTTAGGGTAAAAACAAAATTAGACTTCCAGAGTAGTCTGTGATCTTGGAAAAGTCTTTCTGAAAAATGATTATAGAACTGTTAAGACATCTCCCATCTCATCTCATATGGCATCATACTTTTCCCAATTATTTTCAGATATTTTAGCATCAAAGTTTTCTAGAATGAGTTTTGTAGAACACTAGTATCCCTCATTGCTTAAATATATTAGGAGGAAAAGGATTTTTTTTATTAAATAAGTTTGGGAATATATAGAGTGGACAAAATTAGTTTTAAAATTACAGGTCATTTGAGAGGTCTTGAAGTACCAGTGTCTTGTGGATCCCTGAAGGGCTAGATGAGGGTGGGGCATGTAGCCTTTCTCAAATTTATGTGACTACCATACAGTTTGAGGAAAGCTGGTCTATATAAATGCATTACCTGTGAAACCTGGCTTTCTTCCACATCTCCTCTGACTTGCTTTGCTATTTTTTTCCCCATCTCTTACAGTACTTCCTGCTATCCCCCAAATTGGGGGAATTCTTTCTTTTTTCATTTTAAAATATGATATTCTGGAGATCTGAATTCTCTCTTTTTACATTTTTATATGTGTATTCCACTTTGAGCAATATTAATACTAGCTTACATTTTAAAATACGATATTCTGGAGATCCAATGTATAACATGAGGGCTATAGTTAATAATATTGTATTGCACTGGGATTTTTTTTGAGAGTAGATTTTAGTTGCCCTTGCTAAAAAAAAAAAAAAAAAAAGGAGGCAGGTAACTGTGAGGTGATGGATAAATTAATTTGCTTGACTATAGTAACCATTTCACTATATATAAGTATATAAAAACATTGTGTTGTATACCTTAAATATATACAATGAAAAAGAAAAGAAAAGAAAATATGATGATAGTATTTATATGTGAACTCTTTATTTGGATCTTTAAGTTTCTGGATAATCTGGTCCCTAATCTTATCTACATTCCCAGGTTTATTCATCACCAGTCTTCCATGGTAAGTCTTCACTTGAGCTCAATTTACTATTCCATGATTATATTCTGTATGTGGAATGTTCTCCTCTACTTTTTGTATTATGGTCTGGCTCAAGTGCACCTTTTCCATGAGACCTTCCCTGATATCTTTAGCTAGAAGTAATCTCTTCCTTGGCACATCTGTAGCATTTATGTACTAATACCTATAGTGTTATTTACAGATTTATTTGTGGTTATTTATGCACATGTCTTAGATTTCGAGCTTCAGAAGAGAGGGAATAGCATGCCATATCACCCAGAAGCTTGTAGCTTAGCTATTGCCTAGTAACATTATTAACAGAGTAATAATGTCAGCTAACATTTGTTGTTTACTATAATAAATGACGAGCACAGTTCTAAATGCTTTAGATAATTAATGTAGTGAAGAAGTAGAGTAACTTACTCAGTCACATGCTCAGTTAGTGATGGCGCCAGGATTTGAACCTAAGCATTCTTCTGCTCTTTATCACTATACAGTACTGCTTGCTATGATAGGTGCTCAGTGAGATTTGAATGAACAAATGAGCAGACAAGGCTTTGAAAAAGAGGGCCCATCATCTGTGGCTCAAGCTCATAAGGCACTTTCTTTTCCCCTTTTCAAAGCTGACATTTATCATTTATCTAGCCATGTAATGTTTTCAGTGACTAAGAACAATTAGCTAGAGTTCAGGTGGGCTGTGGGAGTGGTAGAGATGAGTGTGTGGGGAAATGTGTTTAGTCACTGTGTTTATTTTATTTATACACTAGAACCTGCTGCTATCCTTGTTGAAGAAATAGTGGTGAGTCCAGGCTTTGGAGTCAGGAAAACCTGGATGGGAGTTTCAGCTTCTTCATTTATTAGCAGTTTGGGCAAGTTTCTTAACAGTTGTAAACCGTAGTTTTCTTCTTTGTAAAATAATAGTAACTACTTCTTTAGTGTCTATGTGAGGATTAAATCAGATGATCATGTAAAGCACTTAGCTATAGTACCTACTACATATTAAGTGCCCAACAAATGTTACTTATGATACAATAGGTTTTACTTAACATAAAATTAACTCCTAATTTCTTAAAAAAATATGTCTTTTGAATGTGGACCTTTCGATTTTAGTCAGCTAAAGCATTAAGTCTGTTTTCTTCCACTCCCTCAACTTCATAGTAACATGTCTGTTTATAATATGCAGTGAGAATTGTAGTGTACATTGCACCATTTATACACTGCAAACATCATACATTAGTAACAAGTCTGTCATGAACTGAGTTAATTGTAGGGTTTGTTCTGAACATTTTCTTGCCAGGCATGGTGGCTTACGCCTGTGATCCCAGCACTATGGGAGGCTGAAGTGGGAGGATCACTTAAGTGAGTTCAAGACCAGGGCAACATAGCGAGACCTCACCTCTACAAACAAACACAATTAAAAAAATATATTTTTTCATTGTTGAGCTTTATTTTCGGTGTTTGTAATATGAAGACAATAGGTATCTTTTTATTTATCAAATAAGGTTTATTAATTATGCTTTTTCTTTTAAATGACAGCCTTGAGTCAACTTTTTCTGTCTTTGTGCTAAGAATTACAGTAGTCTCAACGTAGAGCCGAGGTGATTCTGATCTAAAGATGCTCCGTGAATGTGCGATATTTCTTTTTCTTTTTTTTTTGAGATGGAGTCTCACTCCGTCGCCCAGGCTGGAATGCAGTGGCACAATCTCAGCTCCCTGCAGCCTCCGCCTCCCAGGTTCAAACAATTCTCCTGCCTCAGCCTCCCGAGTAGCTGGGATTAGAGGCACACACCACCATGCCTGGCTAATTTTTGTATTTTTAGTAGAGATGGGGTTTCACCATTTTGGCCAGGATGGTCTTGATCTCCTGACCTCAGATGATATGCCCGCCTCCGCCTCCCAAAGTGCTGGGATTACAGGCATGAGCCACTGCGCCTGGCCGCATGTGGGATATTTCGAAGAATCTTAGCTTTGATGCATCTGTGGGGAAGAAATGAGTGATTATTAACAAAGGTAAAAGGAGAGGAGAGTCATTGCAAATAAAGAATCTTGTAGCGGCCAGGTGCGGTGGCTCACACTTGTAATCCCAACACTTTGAGAGGCCGAGGAGGATCACCTGAGGTCAGGAGTTCGATACCAGCCTGGCCAACATGGTGAAACCTCGTCTCTACTGAAAATACAAAAATTAGCCAGGCGTGGTGGCGGGTGCCTGTAATCCCAGCTACTCTGGAGGCTGAGGCAGGAGAATCGCTTGAACCTGGGAGGCAGAGGCTGTGGTGAGCCGAGATTGCACCACTGCACTCCAGCCTGGGAGACAGAGCGAGACTCTGTCTCAAAAAAAAAAAAAAAGTATCTTGTAGCAGTTTATTCTAGGCCAGAGCCACAGTTTGTGTTGATTTGGCTAGAAATTATTAAAGTTGGTATTCTGTGAAATTTTGTTTGAGTGGTTCTTTGTTTGGTTGAGCGGGTTCAGATGAGGCTGAGAAAACAGGAAGATTGTGCTTGGAAGAGGGGGAGAAGGCTTCCTTAGGCCAAGGCAGGTCAGTCATTCTATAAGGAGAGTCTCTATACAGGATGTTTCTGCTTTTAAAAATATGGTCTGATATGCAAATTCACTTATCTAGTGCAAATGATTCTGGCAAAGGTTTCTACTTTCTTGATTCAGGAATAAGACAAAAGAGTTTTCCACCCCATAGTACACAACAAAAAAGAGGCATTATAAAACTTTTCAGAACTACTAAAGTGGTATGATTTTATGATTTCTTGTTGAATTCAGCATTTGAAAACAGAAGAAATGTGAAAACAGAGGAAAGGTGCTTAGCATAGGAATTAACTTGTTTCTTGGCAAGGAAACCAGGGTCAGGTGTTTGAATCACTTGGCTTTGTGGTGGTTCTGTTGGTTTTTGTGTGTGTGTTTTTCTTCTTCTGCTGGATTATCATCTCTTTTTTTCTGCCTTGGAAACTGTTGCTTTATCTAGGGCAATCACCCCACTTACACAGGAGGCAAATTCAAAGCTGGTTGCCTTATGTTGTTAAAAGCTGTCAGATTCACATCCTTTGCCATATCCTTCTTCAGGAGTCAGGACAATGAAGACAGGAGTCTAAACATGGGGCCAGAGTGAGCTGCCCCGTCCTCAGTACTAACACCTATTCCTGACAGCTTAAGTTGCTTCTCAGCCTTAGTGAAGCTTTCTCAGCTATTCTGGCTCATGATGATCATTCCCTCCTTTGAACTGAAATAGCCTAATTGTCTCTGAGTCATGTGGCAATTAGTCTTGTTTTGCTTTCTGATATCTCTTGTAGTTGACTTTTATTGTTAATGTATGCTGCTTGAAGGCAAGGGCTGTTGTGAATTTATTATATTGCTATATATTTTACAGAGACTCTTGATTTTTCCCTGGTTTACCTTGGGAAGTTTTCCTGCCTCTTAAATGGCGAGAGGATCCTTTAGAAGATTTCCTAACTCTCAGAATCTTTTAGATTTTTCATGTCATGCTGTGTTTGCTATGGCCTTGAAAAAGCAGTTTTTCCCTTTTTTGCAGCAGACACAACCAAGATTCTGGATAAAGACCAGGCAACACAATTTTCCTAGAGTAATACTTACCTTGAGTAGTTTCTTATGGGGAAAAAAGCCCCCAATATTCTTAGGCTTAATTTCTATGATCAAATATTTTAAAGATAGAAACAAATGATATATAGTAGTTAGGTATGGGGGCAGGCAAACAAGCAAAATGTTAAGATCTTGCATGACTAATTAGTACTGTATAAAACACATTTAAATTTTGTTGTACCCATTCTTACATTAGAAATGAATTGATTGATTCATATGGTATTGGTTTTCCTTTAAGGGATTTATTTCTTAATGAATCAGAGGTTTCACATTGAAAAAGAATCTGCGTATTTTTATATACTATCCCAACTTTCATCTGAGTTATTTCATGTTTTTCATTGCCCCATTGGAAACCGTATTTTGCCGAAGAGTCATTTAATATATTTTTCACACTGGCTTTGATTTGGTGACATGTAGCAGTTCTGGAAGAATTAACGATATGTTAACACAAGTTGACTGTGATAGAATAATTACAATAAATATGCCTATTTTCCTTTGGGGAGAAAAGTCTAAAATTCTGCTTTATAGAAGCTATTCTCAGCTCTAAAAGAGCATATATGTAGATCTTCATTTCTTTTCTTCTAACAATTTTAGGGGAAAATACAAACCTTAAGTTATTTCCTGAAATATTTCCCAGGATGATTACTACCTTGGATTTTAAGGCTTCTTTCTTCACAAGTTCTGACTCTTCTATAAGCACAATCAGAATGGTCAGAATGCTGACTCTCCTTTAGGTAGTCAGAATGGGTCTTCCAAACCTTTGTATGAGCCCATTAGCTGCCTCAGCTTTCCCTCAACTTTCAGGAAAACACAGGTTACATATTCTTTACGTTACTATGAGAAACTACCTACATTATTTTTTTTTAAATTTTATTTTTGGCTGGGCACATTGGCTCACACCTGCAATCCCAACATTTTGGGAGGCTGAGATGAAAGGATTGCTTGAAGCCAGGAGTTGCAAGACAAGCCTAGGTGACAAAGTGAGACCTTGACTATAAAAAAAAAAAATTAACCTTTCCGGCGGTGATGACCTACCCACACGAGAACATGCCTCTTGCAAAGGGTCTCCTTCATCCCTCTCCAGAAAAGGAGAAGAGGAAACACAAGAAGAAACGCCTGGTGCAGAGCCCCAATTCCTGCTTCATGGATGTGAAATGCCCAGGATGCTATAAAATCATCACGGTCTTTAGCCATGCACAAACGGTAGTTTTGTGTGTTGGCTGCTCCACTGTCCTCTGCCAGCCTACAGGAGGAAAAGCAAGGCTTACAGAAGGATGTTCCTTCAGGAGGAAGCAGCACTAAAAGCACTCTGAATCAAGATGAGTGGGAAACCATCTCAATAAACACATTTTGGATTAAAAAAAAAAATTAAAACAATTAGCCGGGCATGGTGGCATGCACCTGTAGTCCCAGCTACTCTGGAGGCTAAGGTGGGAGGATCGCTTGAGCCTAGGAGCTCAAGGTTACAGTGAGCTATGATCACATCACTGCATTCCAGCCTGGGTGACAATAGCCCTATAATGTAGGTAGTTACTTTTATCTGCATTTTACAAATGAAAAGAACTGACAGACATTGAGTTAAAATAACCAGTACAAAAATCACAGATGGGGGATAGCCAAAGCTTTAAAATGGAATAGCAGGAAGTTTTAATTTGCAAATAGAATCATTAATGTTTAATAGAATCATTAATAGATTTAATAGAATTAATGAATTGATAGAATCATTAATTCATACTTAGTTTGGAGTGATTGTTGAACACATTTCTCAGCTAATTTAGGTCTTCATTATATTTTAGAACATATTATCTGCATCATTAAAAAATTCCTCATTTCCTCATTGCCTATCTCTGCCTTTTATTCACTCAGTTTTAAAATAAACAGATTTTGTTTATACTGCTTCTTTTATTAATATTTATGGTAAGATATTTTATACTGCTGATAAATGGACATTAATGATATATAGCCTATTGTTTGAAAAAAGCATTTTGGATTATAGCCCAGAACTGGAAACAACCAAGAGATAAATAAATGGTGGTATATTCATACAATAAAATATTACTCAGATAAAAAAGTTCAGTTCAAAACTTTCAGTTTTATCATTGCATTATTTGCAGTTGTAAAACATGGTAACATCACAACCTTATGTTACAAAGTTATTAAAAATATTAGCAAGGTACACTGATTGCTGTAGCCATGTTACAATTAAGCTAAAGGAATTTCTTGTTAACCAAAAGCAAAAAATAAGTTTGGTTTTTTTGGATCTTAATTGACTATTTATAATAGAACTTGCCTTTGGGTAGCGAACAGATTCACAAATGAAAGAGGAGATTCTGGAACTTACTGTATAATTCCAGGTAACTCTGTAAAGTTTGAAATGTAAAGACCATGCCTTAATACAATTGATAATTGGAATCGTGCTGGCATCTTCTTAACATCTCTTGCTTGTCTGTGGAGCATGGCATGATTACTTATACATTACTACATTTAGGAAACAGCCTTTATAAGACCCACTTTTTCTGAAGTTTTTGGTGTTACTCTTTTCTTAACCACCAGTACTGATCTCATTATGTTTTGGCCGACTTACTTGAGGGCATGCTAAAAAGTGATCTAAATACTTAATTTCTCCCTTCAATTGTGCATCGTGTTTTACAAATAAACCGTATCTTTACTTTCATTTACTTGCATGTCACTGAGAAAATTTGAGATCTTTAGCATTCATGTCCTTGCCTGAAGTATAAGGATTTCACATAATTTCAGCTTTTATCATTCAAGTCTTATAGATGCTTTTCTCTTGTCTCTGTTTTCAAATAATGGTGCTAATTATATTTAAGGGGCAGTATGTTTATTCAATATAGTTATAGTGTTAGCAGTGTAGGATTTAACAAGCTTTTCCTCTGGAATGTATACTAGTTCTTCATGTTCTATGTGATAACTTATACAGTGCTATGGTATTTTTGTTGTTAGATTTAAGTTTTCTTTGAATTTTTTTTCTGTCCATAATCTTAGGCTTTCTTTTTGTGCTTACTGTTTTTTTCTCCCCCAGAATGATACATGGCAGCGATTATAAATCTGTTTTATAAAACTTAACTTCATTAAACATATGAAGAACGTGGGATTATTTTTCTTGTCATAAAAGGTGACCTCCAGTGACAAATGGCTATTACATTATTTATGTGAGATTCCTTCATTTCATATACTGTTATCAATGTGTTTGATAATGGTTGAAGAACCAGTTGGTGTTGGTTTCTAATACTAATTAATAATTTGCCTTGAGCCTGATCAATCTTCTTATATCCATTATCAGATTTTTTTCTTCAAATCTGAAAATGTTTTCTTTTCTTTTCCTTTTCTTTTTTTTTCTTTTCTTTTCTTTCTTTTTTTTTTTTTTTTAGACGGAGTCTCGCTCTTTCCCCCCAGACTGGAGTGCAGTGGCGCAATCTCTGCTCACTGCAAGCTCCGCCTCCTGGCTTCACACCATTCTCCTGCCTCAGCCTCCTGAGTAGCTGAGACTACAGGCGCCCACCACGACGCCTGGCTAATTTTTTTTTGTTTTGTATTTTTAGTAGAGACGAGGTTTCACTGAGTTAGCCAGGATGGTCTTGATCTCTTGACCTCGTGATCCACCTGCCTTGGCCTCCCAAAGTGCTGGAATTACAGGTGTGAGCCACTGCACCCAGCTATTTTTTCTATATTTTTATGTAGTTCATTGAGGGTAATAATTTTATCCTACAACAAACATGTAAGTTATTGAAGAATATTGGAGTTTTATGATAATGCTGTCATAAATATAAAAGGTAGGGTAAGAGGGATCCAAATAGAGCTCACTTATATTGTCACTGATAGGCAGTCACGCTGTGCTGATAGAATGTGGCCTGACACTTGATGGAGTGCAGCATATGTATACTTGGGCAATTTGAGCAGATATATACGGTCCCGAGTTTAAAGAAGAGAACAAACACCAGTGCACAGCTATAGTATTCCTAATATAGGATGCATTTTAAAGAATTTCACATTCTACAAATGGAGAGAGATGGCAGGAGAAGCCTTATTTTAAGTCCTGCACTAAGGCAGGTTAACCTCATGGGTGTAATTACCTGGACCTTTTTGTAAGGACAAAATATTTAATCATTAAAAGGCCCTCTGTAGGGTTTGAAATATCTATATTTTATATATGAATGCTTCTTTTATTAATATTTATGGTAAGATATTTTATACTGCTGATAAACGGACATTAATGATATATAGCCTATTGTTTGAAAAAAGCATTTTGGATTATAGCCCAAAACTGGAAATAACCAACAGATAAATAAATGGTGGTATATTCATACAATAAAATACTACTCAGATAAAAAAGATGAACTTAATCTCATAAACATTATGGGCAACATAGTGAGAACCCATCTCTTTTAAAAAAAAAAAAAAAAGAAAAGGTGGGTGTGGTGATGCGTGTCATAGTCCCAGCTACTCGGGAGGCTGAGCTAGGAGGATTGCTTGAGCCCGGGAGTTTGAGGTTGTAGTGAGCTATGATCATGCCACTGGACTCTAGCCAGGAGCCTGGGCAACAGAGCAAGACCTTGTCTCTAAACAAGGCAAAACAAAAACAAAAAAACAAAAATCAATTGCATTTTTATATATTAGCAGTGAACACATGGAAATACATGCAATACCATTTATAACAGTTCAATCAAAAGAAATACTTGAGCATATATCTAACAAAACGTATATAGGACTTACTTGTATACTGAAAACTGCAAAATGCTGATGAAAGAAATCAAAGACCAAAATAGTGAGAGATACTGTGTTCATGATTGGAAGACTCAACATAGTAAAGATGTCAGTTCTCCTCAAATTAATCTACAAGTTTAATGCAATTTTTATCAAAAGCCCAGGAAGATTTTTTGTAGATATAGGCAAGATTATTATCAATTGTGTGTAGAAATACAAGGAAACTAGAATAGCTAAACTGAATAAAAAAATTGGAGGAATCACTCTACCTGATTTCAAGACTTATTGTATAGCTCCAGTAATCAAGATTGTGTAATATTGGTAGAAGGATAGACCAAAGATCAATGAAACAGAATAGAAAAGCAGGAATAACAGAATAGAGACCTATACAGATATCCTCAGTAAATTTTTAAATTGAGATATAACTTACATACCTGTAAAATTCAGTGGTTTTTTATTATATTCACAAAGTTGTATAACATTCACCATCATTTAATTCCAGAACATGATCATCACTTAAAAAATAAATGCTGGCCTGGTGCGGTGGCTCACGCCTGTAATCCCAGCACTTTGGGAGGCCTAGTGGGTGGATCACCTGAGGTCAGGCATTCGAAACCAGCCTGACCAACATGGTGAAACCCCGTCTCTACTAAATATACAAAAAAAAAAAAAAAAAAAAAAAAAAATTAGCCGGGTGTGGTGGTACATGCCAGTAATCCCAGCTACTTGGGAGGGTGAGGCAGAGAATCCCTTGAACCTGTGCAGTGGAGGTTGCAGTGAGCCAAGATCGCGCCATTGCACTCCAGCCTGGGAAACAAGAGCAAAACTCTGTCTCAAATAAATAAATAAAATAAAAATAAAATAAAATAAAATAAAATGCTGTATTCATTGGCCATTGCCCAACTGATTTTTGATAAAGATGCAGAAGCAATTCAGTGCAGGAAGGATAGCCTTTTAAATAAATGGTGCTGGAGCAACTGGACAGCTATAAGACAAAAAAAAAAAAAGGAAAAAAGGAAAAATCTGACCTAAACTTCACACCTTATAAAAAAATTAACTGAGAGTGGATCATGGACTTAAATGTAAAACATAAAACTAAAAAAAATTTTAGAAAATAACAGGAGAAAATGTTTAGGATATAGAGCTAGGCAAAGAGTTCTGAGACTTGACACCAAAAGTATGATCTAGAAAAGGAAAAATTGGTAAGTTGGACTTCATAAGAACTAAAACATTTTGGTCTGCTAAAGACCATGTTAAAAGGCTGAAAAGGCAAACTACAGACTGGGAGAAAATATTTTTGAACCACATATCCAATAAAGACTACTGTCTAGAATATATAAATAACTCCAAACTCAGTATTAAAAAACCCCAAGTAATCCAATTAGAAAACAGCAAAAGATGTTAAGGAACATTTCACTGAAGAGGATATACAGATGGCATGTAACCCCATGAAGAGATGTTCAACATCATTAGCCGTTAGGGAACTGCAAATTAAAACCACAGTGAGATATCTCAAAATAGAGTTTAATTTTTAAAAAGCCTGGGTGCACTGGCACACACCTGTAATCCTAGTACTTTGCGAGGTTGAGGTGGGAGGATCACCTGAGCCTGGAAAGTCGAGGCTGCAGTGAGCTGTAGTCCTGCCACTGCACACCAGCCTGGGCAACGGGAATGAGACTGTGTCTTAAAACAAATTGTTTTAAAGGAAAAAATAATATCATTAAATTCAGTAAATGCAGGAAAAAAGGCTAAAGCAGAAAAAAACCACATGTGATCTCAATAACTGTATATAACTTCCAGTAACATTTTGTTGTATTTTATACATTTTTTTGCCCTCTGCATTTTTATATTATATAGTTAACTGAATATGCAGTTGTGTCTTGCTTTTTTCACAATACTCAATATCATGAGTATTTTTATCACTTAAAATTATCCATGAATATAGATTTTAAATGGCTCATAATCTTTGTTGTATGGATGTACAGTAATTTATTTAACCATTCCTTTCATATGTTTAAAGTAGTTCCATTTTGTTGCTATTGCAAATAATGCTGTGAGAAACATTTTTGTATGTAAACTTCTGTCAGGATTTCTGATTCCTTCCTTACAATACATTCTTAGAGGTAGAATTACTGTGTCACGACGTGGGCATCTTAGAGGCCTTTGTTAACTATACATTGCCAAAATACTTTGCAGAAATATAGTTTCGATTTATGCCCCTTTTATATTCTTACATTTCTCCTTTCTCTAGGAAAATAAATGTTCATGTTACTCACCTTCACTCAAGGTTTCCAAACACTTTTTCTTGGCTCTCCTCCTACAACTCTGTTCTCAGCTTTCCAAAATTGTTTCTCTTTACTCCTTAGATATCTGGGTTTCCTTAGGTTCTGTGCTCTCCCTCTTCTCTCTATGTATATTCTTCTTTGAGCTAATCAGAACCAGCCCCTTGCCTTCAACTACAGTTTACATCATAATGACTCCTAAATCCCATATCTCTGCTGAGTTTTGGGAACCAGTTCTAACACCATACTAGATATTTTTACCTTATGCTACATAGCCATCACAAATGTAACTCCCTTATCCAAAACTGAACTCATTATCCAACCACACTAACTTCATCTCCACTGATGGCAGTATGACCCATCCAGTGGTAGAAGCCAGAAGTTTGGGAGTTAGCCTAGATTTCTCCTTGAATTTTGTGTACCACTGGTCAATCATTACATTTTAAGATTCTGCTTCCAAAATAGCTCTCTAATTTGTTACCTCCCCTTTCCACTGCCTTAATTTAGGCCCTCATATTTTTTGTACTGCTGCATTGGTGTCTTAACTGATACGCCCATTTCTGACCTAGTTCCATCCCTCAGTTTCATCCTTCACATTAAAACCATTTTGTCTTTTAATTTTTAATTTTATTTTTGAGACAGGGTCTGGCTCTGTTGCTCAGGCTAGAGTGCAGTGGTGCAATCTTGGCTCACTGCAGCCTCTGCCTCCTGGGTTCAATTCATCCTTCCACCTCAGCCTCCTAAGTAGCTGGGACTATAGGTGCTTGCCACCATGCCCAGCTAATTTTTTGTAGATCCAGGGTTTCACCATGTTGCCCAGGCTAGTCTCAAACTCCTGAGCTCAAGTGATCCACCTGCATCTGCCTTCCAAAGTGCTGGGATAGGCTGGGCACAGTGGGTCACACCTGTAATCCCAGCACTTTGGGAGACCGAGGTTGGCGGATCACTTGAGGTCAAGAGTTCGAGACCAGCCTGGCCAGCATGGTGAAACCTTGTCTCCACTAAAAATACCAAAATTAGCCGGGCGTAGTGGCGGGTGCCTGTAATTTCAGCTACTCGGGAGGCTGAGGCGGGAAAATCACTTGAACCCAGGAGGTGGAAGTTGCAGAGAGCCGAGATCACACCACTGTGACAAAGCAAGATTCAATCTCAAAAACAAAATATACAAAATGCTGGGATTACAGGTATGAGCCACCATGCCTGGCCCAGTTTGTCATTTTAATGCATGCATGTCAGCATGTTTCTCACCGTCACTGTCTTCTGTCTCCTGTAAAATAAAGCCTGTTCTCTGTAGCATGGCACCCATGAGCCTGGTCTTGATTTCCTTCCTCCAGGCTACTTTCATGATTTATCCCTGGCCATGCCTGATATGGCTCCCAGTCATGCTGAGCTAGTTTCCTCAACATATTAGAATTGTTTTTCAGGCCTTTATGCTTTTGCTCATGTTTTTTTTTTCCTTGACATGCTTCTTTCTTCTATCCATTTGCCAGATTTCTTTCACATCCTAAGATTCAGGTAACATCATAACCTCCTATGGAAAGCAAGCCCTCTATAGGAATTGTTAAGGGCTTCCTTGTCTGTGTTCCCACTGTGCCATGTACCTACTTCTTTCTGCCACCTCCTACATTGGTGTACTTTTGTTGTTGTTGTTAAGCTGTCCCTATTATACTAGATTGTAACACATGCTTTCTACCGCCTAGAGCAGGAACTGTGTACTCTTAATTGTTTCCTGAGGGCTTGAGATTAGCATCTGGCATGTAGTAGGTGTTTAATAAATATTTCTTGAGTAGATGAAGATATGAGTGAATGAATGAAGGGTTTCATGCTGAAAAATGAAAAAAGGGTTTAACTTTAAGAAAAAAGTCACAGATTTTGGAGTCATAGGAATTGAGTTTGAGTCCTACCGTCATTTCTTAGTGTTGATATAATTTTAAGCAGGTTGTTTCCCTCCTCTGATCTTTAGTTCTTTTGCAAAAGGGAGGTGGTAGTAGTAGTAGTAATACTATTAACAGTAGTAGTAGTAATAATAAAAGTGCTTTTAAAATAAATATTCTGCAAATTTTAGTTAATATTGTTAACAGTAATAAAAAGCATCTTCTATATGTAGGCTGCACATGCATAATGCATTGTCTTGAACGAAGTGAGAGGAGAATTACTTAAAACTTTGGGTAGACGTACTCATCAATTACAAGATCAATTTACTTGGTTTTGCTATAATTTGGTTGCCATTGTTGACCCATTGCTTTATTGTCCCATTGTCTCATCACTTGCTCAGACGCTGAAGATGGGTCAGGGGGAGTCAGTTTTAGAAAACAGCCTTCCCTGGGCCGGGCACAGTGGCTCACGTCTGTAATCCCAGCACTTTTGGAGGCTGAGGCAGGTGGATCACCTGAGGTCAGGAGTTCAGGACCAGCCTGGCCAACATGGTGAAACCCCATCTCTACTAAAAAAAAATACAAAAGTTAGCTGGGCATGGTGGCGGGCGCGTGTAATCCCAGCTACTCGGGAGGCTGAGACAGGAGGATTGCTTGAACCTGGAAGGTGGAGGTGGCAGTGAGCCGAGATTGCACCATTGCACTCCATCCAGCCTGGGCGACAAGAGTGAAATTCCATCTCAAACAAACAAACAAACAAACAAACAGATATAAAAAAAAGAAAAAAAAAGAAAACAGCCTTCCCTGAAAGTTGTTTGTGATGCTTATGGTCTAGGATGTGAAATTTACAGGATGATGAAACATGCAGATATTAATAGTGTTCCATATTATTTTTGAATGTGGTTTGACTTTTCTAACGATCAGCAGTGACAAACTTGTGTACTACCAGTCAACCCTGTTTTCCATGTTTTCTCTACAGAGATGTATAGTTAGAGCAGAGATGACTAATGTGTTTTCAAGAAATGCTACTATAACCTTTAAGTCTGATGGGTAGATTGAGCATTTAAAGCTGTTGCTTTTTCATCGCATCTGGATGACTGTATGTTCCTACCAAATGAATCACTTTATGAATATGCATGAGCTTATAAACACAACTTTTTAGAAAAAATTCTTGTGTTCTGAAACAAAATTACGTTGGTAGTATTTTCCAAGTTTTCCGTAAGAAGTAGCTTTGCATTAGCCCTAGAAATTCCTTGAATAATATGTTTTTACCCCCTTACTTGTATTACATTTAATGACATCTCTGGCTTTATTTTCTCCATTCTTTTTTCCATGGAGTTTCTTAATTTCACTGTTTTTGCCTTGCCCTTTAGACGGGTGAAACAATGATGACTCATTTTAGATTGATGAAAGGGACAGCTTAGCAGCTGGAGAGCTGGTAGACACTAGAGCACTAAATTGCCAGCACCAGCCTTCTCTTCATTGTCCACGTAAGGCTTGTGGCAGAGGTATGCCCATTCAGTCATTTATTAATATGTAATTTGTAGGTTAGATGACTTCATCAAATTATATTTACATCTGACCTGGAGGTTCAACCATGTTTTGCTTTGGGACATTTTTAATTGTTAAAAATCATAGTTGGGTTCTGATCAATATGTACATGCTGAAGTTCTTATTTAGCCACATTATGGGCTTTTTTGGTTTTCTTCAGCATGTCAATAGTACACAGCAGCTCAGAATGGTCAAAATTGTTTCATTAGTGCCTTAACAACCATTCATGATATATCATATTGTAGAATGCAAGTATAGTCACGCACTGCTTAGCGATGGGGATACATTCTGAGAAATGCATCATTAGGTGATTGTTTCCTTGTGGGAACATCATAAGAGTGTACTTACACAGACCTAGATGGTATAGCCTACTACCCACCTAGGGCTATGTGGTATGGTCTGTTGCTCCTAGGCTACAAACCTATACAGCATTTTCCTAACTCAATATTGTAGGCAGTTGTGACCCAACGGTTAAGTATTTGTGTATCTAAACACAGCTAAACAGGAAAGGTGCAGTATAAATACAGCGTTATCATCTTACAGGACCTCTGTTGGTATATGGTGCACGACTGTATATCCTTTATCTACATTTCCCCCTTTTGGCTTGGATAGACCATCAATTCCTTGGGTTTACATTTATTTCATGTAATCTTAAAGGATTTTGTTTTATGCATGGCACCATTTTTTTTCAATACAAATGGTTAGTATAAAACCCAAATTTGAGAATTTGATAACAATGGCTTAGTATTGAACACAAGTGTTACATAAAGTTGTGGAAAAAGCCTTAGAGAGGTAGTCAGGGGATTTGAGTTCCAGGTCTGACTGTGCACTTGACTCACCACGTCATCTTGGTTAATAATCACCTAACAATAAAAATAATAACCTTAATTTATATAATGCTCTGCAGTCTGCAGAGCACTTTTAAAGAAAGTATAGGCTGGGTGTGGTGGATCACATCTGTAATCCCAGCATTTTGGGAGGCTGAGACAGGTGGATCACTTGAGTGATTAGGAGTTCAAGACCAGCCTGGACAACATGGTGAAACTCTGTTTCTACCAAAAACACAAAAAAGTAGCTGGGTGTGGTGAAACATGCCTGTGGTCTCAGCTACTCCAGAGGCTTGAGCCTGGGAGGCAGAAGTTGCAGTGAGCTGAGATTGTGCCATTGCACTCTAGCCTGGGTGACAGAACGAGATCTTGTCTCAAAAAAAAAAAATTGTATTGGGCATAGATATGATTATTCACATTTTGTGATGAGGAAACTAAAATTCAAAGACTTTAAGAGATTTGCTCAAGGTCACATACCGGTAAGGGCTAGAACTAGCATTGATTTTTATCACTTTCCTTTCAGTCATACCATGCTGTCTCTCATTTTACTTTTATGGGTATCAGTTATGAAATAAGGGGGTTGGACCGGATCAGTGATTTTTTTCAAGCTACATTTACAGAGAGTCTTAGGATTCTTTTGAGTGGCCTCCAGGTTTGCTTGTGGAATGAAGATTGAAATATAGGGAAAGGTGCTTAGCTTTGCACCAGAGTATCCACACTGAGTGAGGTAGTAGTTGCTCATTGACAGTTGAGAAACTACTGCATGTTATTACCGATGGATGAGTTTGTGTCCCTTTAGTATGACTGGACAAAAAGAAAGTGGAAAGACATCTGATATAAACTTTTGAGGTTTTGTTTTTGTTTTTTAAAGAATGGGGTAGAATTCCATAGCTACTTAAAGCTTGCAAACTACTGCATTAGATGATTTTTTTTTTTTTAAGGTAGGGTCTCACTCTGTCACTCAGGCTAGAGTGCAGTGGCGCTGATCTCAGCTCTCTGCAACCTCCGCTTCCTGGGTTCAAGTGATCCTCCCACCTCAGCCTGCTAAGTAGCTGGGACTACAGGCACATGCCACCACGCCTGGGTAATTTTTGTATATTTTGGTAGAGTTGGGGTTTTGCCATGTTGCCCAGGCTGGTCTTGAACTCCTGAGCTCAAGCAAACAAACTGCCTTGGCCTCCCGAAGTGCTGGGATTACAGGTGTGAGCTACCATGCCCAGCCAGATGGTTTTTAAGGAATTTTTCAGCCTGTGAGTTTGTAAAATATTGCAACCTTAACTTTGGTGGTGTTACCTGATGAATCCCTGATGACTTTACAGCTGTTGCAGGCTTACATCAGTTTAGAGTTATGGGGCATTATTGAAGCCCTGTTTATCTTCCAAGATAGTCTTTATTCTTCTTTGCTAAGGTGGCTATTTTTAGTAATCTTTAGGGAAAAGAGGCACAATGGCAGAAATGAGCATGTGTTATTATTAGTATATTTATGCAGCCAATATTGGTAATGCTTTTTTTTTTTTTTTTTAAAGACTGTGTAGGAGTGAAAGGGGAGTTTTCCTTTCCGCCTTTGAGGTTAGCTGAAAATCAACTGACAAAAGTCAGATTAATAGGAGAAAAGGCATAAACATTTTTATTAACATGTATGGAGGAAAATCACAGAGAGATTGCCCACAACCCAGTGGGGTACAGATGCTTATGTACCCTTGTTTTTAGAGGAAGGGAGATGGGGAGGTATGGATGATTTTACAGGGCTAGTAAATGATTTTTAAAGTTATTCAGTGGGCTTGGAGAATATACAGTGGTCTGGGACAAAGTTTTTTGGGCCTACAGAGCAGATAGTGGTTTGTGACAAAAGTCTGTCCAGGCCCGGGTGTGGTGGCTCATGCCTGTAATTCCAGCACTTTGGGAGGCTAACGCAGGTGAATCACTTGAGGCCAGGAGTTCAAGACCAGCCTGGCCAACATAGCAAGACCCCGTCTCTACTAAAAATACAAAAAATTAGTTATGCCACGGTGGCGCACATCTGTAATCCCAGCTACTTGAGAGGCTGAAGTGGGAGAATCACTTGAACCCTAGAGGCGGAGGTTGCAGTGAGGTGAGATTGCGCCACTGCACTCCAGCCTGGGTGACACAGAGAGACCCTGTGTCAAAAAAAAGATAAAAGTTACTCCCAAGCACTGGCATAGTGCAGTGTGCAATATATATATATATATATATATATTTTTTTTTTTTTGTTTGTTTGTTTGTTTGTTTGTTTGTTTTTAAGAATATTAGCTGGGCATAGTGGCACATGACTATAGTCCCATCTACCAGGGAGGTTGAGACTAGAGGATCACTTGAGCCCAGTAGGTCAAGGGTGCAGTGAGCTGTGATTGTGATTCCAGCTTGAGCGACAGAGTGAGTCCCTGTCTAAAAAAAAAAAAAAAAATCATCAGGTGTATTGACATACTTCAGTCTCTCTTCCTGCAATATTAGTTCAGTTAATGAAAACTCGGGGAAGGGACAGAGATAACTATTTTCTTCTTTGGCAGGTCCAGATTTAGGCAGATAAGGGAACTTCAGAGAACAACTTCTCCCTGTGCTTTGGGGGTGGTGAGGGGATGGTCAGAGAGGCCTTGAGGATTGTACAGTTCAGCATGTCAAAGTGCCATATTTTGAGGTATCGGTTTCTGGGCCTCAACAACTGCTAATAAGAATGATTGACTTTGGAGTTGCCTTGGAGTTATTTCAAAAAGTGAAAATGTTATTGTTTAGCCCACACTAGTTATCTTAGTTGTCATTTGTGTTTTCTACAATCTGCCAATGGTTAAACCTGGCATTTCTATCAAGAAGGAACTCTTTTTGCTTCCAGAGTAAAGGTATTTTTATTATATTAACCCTTGAAATAGATCCAGTTATGTATTCACTTTGCGTTTGTTTCTGAACAAAATAAACCTGTGTGGTAAGATGGAAGTGGGTTTTTCACTTACAATATTAGTTACTTACATTTGTACCTTTTTTTTTTTTTTAACTTCTTCACATTTCCTCCCTTGCCCTCCACAATCTGATAAGCATCTCATTGATGACTATGAGAGACTAATTTAGGCCGTGTGGTTATAAATGAGATTTCAATTCATTTCTTCTTCTCTTAACCCGTCTCAGAGGAGATATCACAGGGTGACTTTCTATGTTGCGTTTTGACACAAGGACAGTTTGTTTTTGCTTTGGCTGATGGATGGGGCAGCTCTAGTTGATGAATGTGGTTTATATGCTCACAGGCAGATGAAAGTGTCCACTCTGCCCTGAGACCCTCTCCTTTCTGCTTAGTGGTGTTATGAAAGCCCCATGGGTATTTGATTTTTCAAGAATTAATCAGTACACAGAAGTTGAAATGTAGACCAAAGGAAAGAATATGTTTTTTCAGTTAGGCTTTTTGTCTTTTTTTAATTATATGGGGTTTACCCTTTGTGTTTCCCAACTCAGGGGTTTCACTATTAAATAATTGTCTTTGACTCTTAAACTTTTTAGGTAAAATTTATATACCAGGAAATGCATAGATATTAAATATACAGTTTAATGAGATTTGATGAATTATTATAACCACCACCTTAATCAATAGAGAAAATCTCTATATCCCAGATAGTTCCCTTGTGCCTCTTTCCAGTCAATCTCTAGACACATTTACTTGTATAATAAAAAGATTTTGACATACCCAACTACAAAATGATCAGATCTTTGTTTCTGTAGCAATGGGTAGAATAAAATAAAGTAGGATTTACTTAAAACTAATATTTTCTTTGTAGGCAGGCCTGTTGTTACAGGTAGAAGGTGCTCAAAAGCTGGTTTCTTAACTAATTTATGGATTATTTTTATTTTTTATTTGTTATTTTGTTATTTTTAGGTTTTTTTTTTTTTTTTTTTTTTTTTTTTTTTTTGTAGAGACAGAGGCTCACTGTGCTATCCAGGGTGGTCTCAAACACGTTGGCTGAAATGATCTTCCTGCCTCGGCCTCCCAAAGTGTTGGGTGTGAGCCACTGTGCCCAGATTTATTTTATTTTATTCTGTTTTTTTAGAGATGACGTCTTGTTACGTTGCCCAGACAGGACTCGAGTTCCTAGGGGATTCTCCTGCTTCAGCCTCCTGAGTAGCTGGGACTATAGGTGCACACCATGGTGCCTAGCTTAATTAATGGAGTTTTTGATAATGGTTGACAAAGATAGTGGTAAGCAAAGCAGCCCTTATATAGACTTTACATCTTAAAACATAATCCCCTATGTGTGAAATTGAGAACAGCTTTCTAGAATAATAAACAGAGATCTGTATGCTAACTAAAAGGCAGAGAGAATATTGGCTCAGCCAGGCCCTCACTTTTTTGTTCCTCCCTATCTGTAAAACATCATTTACCTCATCAGCGTGCTACGGACATGGGTTAATGTTTGGAAAATTCTGTGGAAAGAGTGGGGTTCTGACAATGTGCTCTGACCAAGGCAGTTTAGCAAATTTGTACTAAGTGGCTGACCTTTGATAAGCACCACTCCTTCCCCACCTGACCTGTGATTCCATTTTTCTTTTGTGCAAATAGTTCTGAAGGTTTAATGTTTATTTTTTACTACGATGCAGTAGACTTTCTTCTCTCGTGTAGAAACTGCTCGAATGACTGTGGATGACTCCTAGAATATAGGAATAACAGAATTGGTTTCTCCTGTACTCTCAACACAAAATACTTCTGTGACCAAATGTGTGGGAGTGTGTCCCCACACACCAAGCAGTCAACCAGTTCTGCAGCAGCTGCCAGCTGGTGTCCTCTAATGCAGTTCAGTTCAGTTCAGTTCTGACACTGTCTACCTGGAGATAGCGTCAGATCTCACAGATTGAGGGCTCAGTCCCACAAGTCTGTCCCCAGTCTTCAGTGCCAGTCACAGGCTCCAGGTGGTTTTACCTGTGCTTCTGACCTGCTGGCTATAAACTGGTTTCCCAATATCCCCTTATTGGGTTCCATGAAATTGTTAGAGTGGCTCACAGAACTCAGGAAACATACTGACCAGTTCATTAGAAAGGATGTTTTAAAGGACACAAGTGAACAGCCAGATGAAGAGATACCCAGGGCAAAGCCTGGAAGAGTACTGAACGCAGGAGCTTCCATCCCGGTAGAGCTGGGGTGCCTCACCCTCCCAGCAAGTGGATGTGTTCCTCTTCACTCTCCTGGATGCCCCCTTTTAGGTTTTTATGGAGGCTTCATTAGGTAAGCATGATTGATTAAGTCATTGGCCATTGGTTATCAGTGCAACCTTCAGCCCCTCTCCTTTCCCTGGAGGTTGAGGGTGGGGTTTTGAGTTCTAACTGTATGAGCACAGGGTTGATTCCCCTGGCAATTGGCCACCAGTCCTGTGGTTATCTAGGGACTTTGCAAAAATCATCTCATTAACATAAGCTCAGGTGTGGTTGAAAGGGGCTTGTTATAAATAGCAAAAGACTGTCTTTTGCTTTTATCACTCTGGAGCTGTTCAGGAACCAGTGGCAAGAGGCCGAATACAGTATTTTAACCAAAGTCACTTAGGAAATTACAAGGGTTATATAGGAGCTTTAAGCCAGGAACCATGGAGATATATGTATGTGTATATATATATGCACATATACACATACAAATATCACCGCGACCCATGATGCTCTTCTCAAGGGCCTGTGCCTTCTGATAAACGGCTGAGTTGGCTGTTACACTTACTTTTTCGAGCAAATGAATGTGTAGTTTCATCTGGCTCATTCGTCAAACCCCGGGTTTGGAAGGTTGTATGTTTTTATTTAGCTAGTAGCAGTTGATGTGGTTGAGGTGGGGCTTTTCTTTGGGGAAGGTACAGCTTTGAATGGCTGTTATCTTTCAAGTACAAATAGTGTAGCTCCTTATGGCTCAATAGTATCAATAAACTGTTTTATTTGCTTTCCTTTTCTCTTCCTTTTTTTCTTTTTTTTTAAACGGAGTCTCTCTCTGTTGACCAATCTGAAGTACAGTGGTGTATCTAAACTCACTGAAACCTCCGCCTCCTGGATTCACGGTGAAATCCCGTCTGTACTAAAAAATACAAAAATTAGCCGGGCGTGGTGGCACGCGCCTGTAGTCCCAGCTACTCAGGAGGCTGAGGCAGGAGAATCACGTGAACCCGGGAGGCAGAGGTTGCAGTGAGTCAAGATCACGCCACTGCATCCCAGCCTGGGAAACAGCGAGACTCTGTCTCAAAAAAAAAAAAGAAGGGGTTGACTGCCAAGTTTAAATATTGGCAGGAGATGAGGAGATTTCAGTTTTTATGGAGCTTTGTTAATGAGCCGTGACTGTTTATTACAAGACTTTTACTTTTAAAATTTACTTAGTAATTATTTACTCATAAAACAGCTACTTACTGTAACCAGTAGGTCAGTTCTACTCTTGAGGCTTCACATTTCTTCATTTGTAAAATTAGTACTTGTATTGGTGTCCATTCCCTTTCTGAAATTCTGTGATATATACATTTCCTTTAAAATGTTACAATTGAAAAAAATAAAGTTACAATAAAGACCGTGTGCGGTGGCTCACCCTGTAATCCTGGCACTTTGGGAGGCTGAGGTGGGTGGATTGCCTGAGCTCAGGAGTTCGAGACCAGCCTGGGCAACACGGTGAAACCTTGTCTCCACTAAAATATGAAAAATTAGCCAGGTGTGGCGGTGTGCACCTGTAGTCCCAGCTACTTGGGAGGCTGAGGCAGGAGAATTGCTAGAACCCGGGAGGTGGAGGTTGCAGTGAGCTGAGATCATGCCACTGCACTCCAGCCTGGGCCACAGAGTAAGACTCTGTCTCTAAGGGAAAAAAAAAAGTTACAATAAAAGCCAGGTGCAGTGGCTCACCCTGTAATCCCAGCACTTTGGGAGGCCAAGGCGGGTGGATCACCTAAGGTCAGGAGTTCAAGACCAGCCTGGCCAGCATGGTGAAACCCCTTCTCTACTAAAAATACAAAAATTAGCCGGGCATGGTGGCAGGCGCCTGTAATTCCAGCTACTCAGGAGGCTGAGGCAGGAGAATCACTTGAACACAGGAGGTGGAGGTTTCAGTGAGTTGAGATGCACTACTGTACTCCAGACTGGGTGACGGAGTGAAACTGTTTCAAAAAAAAAAAATAAATAAAATAAAATAAAAACAATGATACAATAATTCAGTCTTGTTTAGAGTTGCCATTTTCTGAGTGTTCTGGCCATAGCATTTCTTCTTCTTGCCTCCTTCCCAGCAACATTTGCCCACTTGCTGTGGACTGCAGTTAATTAGGCTGGTTTGGAGCTCTTTCCTTCCTGTTCCATTTGTGTTACACCTAAAGCATCTCATGAAGATGATTTAGATTAGTTCCTGCCATCAAAGATAATCCAGTTTAGGATGAAGTCAACAGTATTTTAAGGGTGGAGTTCTCTTTTGGAACTGTCATTTGGTCAGAATTAGTGAATGCTGTTGTAGAGCTGACCCCTGCACAACACAGGTTTGAGCTGCGTTTTTTCTTTTTAAAACAATCCACTTATATGTGGATTTGTTTTCATCCCAATGCTGATCAAAACAGTGGTATCTGCAGGATGTGAAACCTGTCTGTACAGAGGGCCAACTTTTTGTATATGCAGGTTCCTCGGGGGACTGCAGGACTTGAGTGTGTGTGTAATTTGGTGTACTCAGGGGTCCTTCCTGGAACCAGTCCCCCAGTATACCGAGGGACAACTGTGTTGAGATATCAGCTGCGGGTTTCCCCCCAAGCTGTTACTCAATTTTCACATTATCTGGGGTTTCCTCTGTTCTCATATTACCCCCGAAGATTTTATACCAATTTAGGGACATCGTGTTTTCCAAATCCTAAATGAAAAGCAGGATATGAAGTGTTCGTATTTTCATGTTCTATGGTATTTCCTCTCATGCTCGATTTATTTATATCTAAAATCATGTCATGTAATAGTATATTAATAATGCTATACATTTGGTACTTTGCCATTCATAAAGTGTTTTTACAAATATTGTTTAATTTGAACCTCATGATAAGCTATCTAGACAGGTATTTTCTCAGACAGATGAGGAAACTGAGATTTATAGAGATTAATTTGTTCAATTCCAAGTAGCTAATTGAAATCCATACGACCTTTCTCATTTATAGGATTTGTAGATCCTACCTCCTTTAGGTGCAAAGGAGTTGTATAACCAGTTTTTTTTCTACTAGAATGATGACCTAATCAGGAGTAAATGACTTTTACTTCATGTGTGACTTCTTCATACTCACAGGTACTTTGATTCTTTCAATGTGTGTTACACCAATTTGATAGTATCTTGCCTTAAAAAAACATTTGTTTTATTGAATGTTTACTATGTACTAGGCCTGTGCTTAGCACTTTCAAAAACCTTTTTGTTTTGAAAGAAAAGAGGTATACTGAAAAGTGTATAATAAAATACACAGCTTAATGAGCTGTTATAAATACTCCTATATACAACACACAGATCAAGAAATAGAACATTTTTAGCATGCCTAGGAGCCAGCTTTTTGTGTGCTGTGTCCAATCAACATGCTAACTTTTTGATATTCACTTCTTTTTCTTCTTCTTATTTATTATTATTTTTTTAGAGACAGAATCTTGCTCTGTCACCCTGGAGTGCAGTGGCATGATTATGGCTTACTGCAGCCTTGGCCTCCTGGCCTGAAGTGATTCTCCCACCTCAGCCTTCCAAGTAGCTGGGACTATAGGCACGTGCCATTGCACTCAGCTAATTCTTTGCTTTTCTTTATTGATTTACTTCCTAAACAAGCATCTTTAAACAATATAGTTTGCCTAGTTTTTAGCGTTATATAATTGGCATTACACAATATGTATTCTGTTGTATCAGCTTCTTACATCCTGTTTTATATTTTTCTCTATTATGTGTAGCAGTAGTTTGTTCTTTTTCATTGCTGTATAGTATTCCACTGCATGAATATGCCACTATTTCTTCATTCTATTGTTGGTGGACATTTGTGGGTGTTTTCCTGTTTGGGGATACTATGAATTTGCAGCTGAGAACATTTCCTCACCCTCCCAGCTTTATTGACGTACAGTTAACAAAATTTGTGTATATTCAAGGTATACGCCATGATGTCTTGATAGATATATACATTATGCAGTGATTACCATAACCTAACTAATTAACATAAAGAACATTATTTTATTTTTTAAATTAAAACAATTTTTTCGGAGACAGGGTCTTGCTGTTTTGCTCAGGCTGGTCTTGAACTCCTGGTGTCAGATTATCCTGCTGCCTCAGCCTCCCAATTAGCTGGGATTACAGTCATGAACCACTGTGCTTAGCTCAAGAACTTTCTTATGTGTTTATTCTGGCACATCTCAGCACATATTTGTGTTGGGGATATACCCAAAAATAGATAGGTCATGGGATTCCTTCCTTCCTTCCTTCCTTCCTTCCTTCCTTCCTTCCTTCCTTCCTTCCCTCCCTCCCTCTCTCCCTCCCTCTCCTTCCCTCCCTCCCTCCCTCCCTCCTTCCTTCCTTCCTTTTTTTTTCGCAGAGTCTCTCTCTGTCGCCCAGGCTAGAGTGCAGTGGCGTGATCGCGGCTCACTGCAAGGGCCGCCTCCTGGGTTCGAGCGATTCTCCTGCCTCAGCCTCCTGAGTAGCTGGGATTACAGGCATACACCATTACACTAGGCTAATTTTTGTATTTTTTGTAAAGACGGGGTTTCATTACATTGGCCAGGCTTGCCTTGAACTCCTGGCCTCAAGTGATCTATCTGCCTTGGCCTCCCAAAGTGTTGGGATTACAGATGTGAACCATGATGCCTAGCCAGGATTTCTTTATCTTCAGTTTATTAGCTACTGCCCAACTTTTTTCTTTTTTAAAAGCCAGTCAAATTTAGCAATGGGGGGTTGTATACCAACTTTAGTGACACTAAAGTTAATAAGTTCTGATAACCCACTACCATAGGACCAGCCTGTCAAACATTTTTCTAAAGTGGTTGTAGGCTGGGCACGGTGGCTCACGCTTGTAATCCCAGCACTTTGGGAGGCTGAGGTGGGCGGATCACCTGAGGTCAGGAGTTCGAGACCAGCCTGGCCAACATGGTGAAACCCCGTTTCTACTAAAAGTACAAAATTAGCTGGGCATGGTGGCACATGCCTGTAATTAGTTTGGGAGGCTGAGGCAGGAGAATCACTTGAACCCAGGAGGCGGAGGTTGCAGTGAGCTGAGATTGTGCCATTGTACTCCAGCCTGGGCAATAAGAGTGAAACAACGTCTCAAAAAAAAAAAAATTAGCTGGACATGGGGTTGTATGTCTGTAATCCCAGCTACTCCAGAGGCTGAGGCAGGAGAATTGCTTGAACCCAGGAGGTGGAGGTTGCAGTGAGCCAAGATCGTGCCACTGTACTCCAGCCTGGGTGACAGAGCGAGACTCTGTCTCCAAAAATAAAAAATAAAAATAAATAAATAAAGTGGTTATAGCAGTTTAAGGTACTCACCAGCAGTATAGGTGAGTTCCCATTTCTTCAGATCTTCTCTAACACTTGCTGTTGTCAACTTCTAAATTTAAAATTTTAAAATTTAAATAATTAAATTAAAAATTCCTAATGTAGTAGGAATATAGTGGTATCTCATTGTGGTTTTAGTTTGCATTTCTCTGGTTAACAATAGGAGCACCTTTTCATGAGTTTATTAGCTGTGATATTCAAGTCTTTTGCACATTTTTCTTTTGGGTTATTTGTCTTTTATTGACTTGTGGTAGTTCTTAAAAAAATTTTTTTTAAATTAAAAACTTTTGTGTATTTTGGAGACAGGGCCTTGCTCTTTTGCCCAGGCTGGAGTGCAGTGGCGTGATCACAGCTTGCTACAGCCTCAACTTCCTGGGCTCAAGTGATCCTCCTGCCTCAGCCTCCTGAGTAGCTGGGACTAAAGGTGCACACTATCGTGATCGGCTAATTTTCATATTTTTAGTAGAAACAGGGTCTTGCCATGTTGCCCAGGCTGGTCTCAAACTCCTAGGCTCAAGCCATTCACCTGCCTCGGCCTCCTAAAGTGAGAGATTCCAGGTGTGAACTACCCACTTAAAAATCGTTTTAATTTAAAAAATAAAATGAAAAGAATGTTCTTCATGTTAATTGGTTAGGTTATGGTAATCATTGCATAATGTATACATCTATCAAAACATCATGGTGTATGCCTTGAATATATACAAATCTTATTTGTTAATAAATTGTTGAGGAAATACCTGGCCGGTAGTTCCCTCTATATTTTGGAGATGAGCCCCCCTTTTTTTTATTGTACTTGTTACAGATATCTTTTTTCCCCTCTGTAGCTTGTCTTTTCCCTGTTAGTTGTGTCTTTTGATAAATAAATTCTTAATTTTAATGTTGTAATGAAATTTAATCTTTTTTTCTGTATGATTAGTGCTTTCTGTGAGTTATGACATAAAGTCATAAAGATAATCTCTAATATTATCTTCTAAAAGTTTTATTGCTTTGCCTTTCACATTTAGATTTCTTAAGGGCTAAAATTATTAGATAACTAGGTATTAGTTGATTATATGTAATTAGTAAACAAATATTTATTGTGACTTCAGCTATGTAGAAGAGTCAGTGGTAGATACTAAGAGATGTAAGACTTGGTTCCTGCCCTAAAATAATCAACATTCTGTTTGTGTAAGTAAGGCCCTTGGCATCAGCACGATGTAATAGAAAGAACACTGACTGGACTGGGCCTGGTGGCTGATGCCTGTAATCCCAGCATTTTGGGAGGCTGAGGTGGGAGGATCACTTGAGCCCAGGAGGTTGAGGCTGCAGTGAGCCGTGAGTACAACACTGCACTCCAGACTGGGTGACAGAGCAAGACCATCCTGTCTCAAAAAAAAAAAAAAAAAAAAAAGAAAAGAAAAAAAGAAATAAAACACACACACACACACACACACACACACACACACACCCTCCCCCCCCCCCCCTCAGAATCTGGAGACTTATATCCATGTCCTTTTGGGGACCTGGCTGTGACACCACCTTTGTGATTTTAGAAATCTCCTTTCCTTCTCTGGGTCTCAGTTTTATCAGTAAAATAAGGGATTGGCTTAAGTATGTAGTTCTTGATTTTGGTTCCTCAGATTGATAAGGGGTCTGAGTAGATAGCACTGGAAGCATTTTTTTTTTAAAGCTAAAAGTATACATTTTTAGCCATGGTGATGCCACACAGGTTAACCAAAAAATAAAATATCTTTGCTTTTAACTGGAGTCGTGTGTCCTTTCTGTGTGAGAACTGAGTTTAACAGCTTTGATTTACAATAAAAGTTTTAACTTAGTTTTTCAAAAAAATACACTTCGTTTATTGATAATCCCAGTTTGGTATACAAAGTTTTTTTATGTTTTTTTGAAATGGAGTTTCACTCTTGACGCCCAGGCTAGAGTGCAGTGGCACAGGCTTGGCTCACTGCAACCCCTGCCTCCTGGGTTCAAGTGGGTCCCAGCCTATCTAGGATTATAGGCGTGTGGCACCATGCCCTGGTGATTTTTTGTACTTTTAGTGGAGACGAGGTTTCACCATGTTGGCCAGGCTGGTCTCGAGCTCCTGACCTCAGGTGATTTGCCCACTTTGGCCTCCCAAAGTGGTGGGATTACAGGCGTGAGCCACTGTGCCTGACCTTATACAAAGTTTTAAATAACATGGCCTTCTGACTTTAACTTAGAAACCAAAGAGTGGTAGGAGTAGGGGGAAGGTATTAAATAACAGAAACTATCTTTGGTGATTAAAAAGTTGGGTACCTACTATTCTAATAACTTTTAAGGGCTCTTCTGTAGGTTAGTGTAAAAGTAATTGTGGTTTTTGCCATTAAAAGTAATGGCAAATGGCGGGCGCTTGTAGTCCCAGCTACTCGGGAGGCTGAGGCAGGATAATGGTGTGAACCCGGGAGGCAGAGCTTGCAGTGAGCCGAGATCACGCCGCTGCACTCCAGCCTGGGCAACAGAGCGAGACTCTGTCTCAAAAAAAAAAAAAAAAAAAAGCAGTAATGGCAAAAAAAAAAACCCTAAGAATTTCAATATATTATGAGTCAGTGAAAATATAGTATTTGTTGTTTTGTTTCCCTAAGTGCCCAATTGAGAGATCTGGACAATTACTATTATAGAGATTGTGAGGATGGACAGAGAACCTTTTGTTGACTGAGGTAGTCAAAGAAGGAAGGCTACCAGGGTGAGCTAGGATTGAGCAGTGAGAAGGATTGTTTCTATGTATGGAGAAAAATGGGAAAGAGGGAATTGTGGACAGAGCAGTGTAAGCAAGGATACGGAAATAGCAAAGTACAGGTCATTTTTAGGGACAGAAGATGAATCAGTTTAGCATTAGAAGATGATGAAAAAGTAGTCTGAAGTTAAAGTATGGAAAGCCTTCTTCAAACATAAGGTCAAATACAGCTTTGGAAAAGTTAACAGTTACAAGTATGATGGTGTAATGAAGATTCTAGTTCTTCTGTAAGCCAAGCAGGGGCCATTGGCTTTAGGATGCCCTCTATGCTCCAATATAATGGTGCTGCCTGGCATCATTGAAAACATTAAAAAAACTTTTCTAAAAAGTATTTGAGGACTGGGCATGGTGGCTCATGCCTATAATCCCAACACTTTGGAAGGCTGAGATGAGAGAATTGCTTGAGTCCGGGAATTCGAGACCAGCCTGCAACATAGGGAGACCCTGCCTCTACAAAGAAATAAAAATAATTAGCCAGGTGTGGGGGTACATGCGTGTAGTCCCAGCTACTTGGGAGGCTGGGAGGATCACTTGAGCTTGGGAGATGAAGGCTGCAGTGAGCTGTGATCATGTCATTGCACTCCAGTCAGTGATAGAGTGAGATCCTGTTTCTGAAAATAAAAAGTGTTTAGGGGATAACCAGATTGGGCTTGTATTGATAGCCAGACCGCCAAGCAGGAAACTTTATGTATTTATTTTTTAAGAGTTGGAGTCTCTTTCTCTCTATTGCGTAGGCTGGAGTGCCACAGTCGTTGGGACTACAGGTACTGCCACCATGCCTAATTAAAAAAAATTAAAAGATGGGGTCTTGCTGTGTTGTCCAGGCTGGTCTTGAACTCCTGGTCTCAAGCAGTCCTTCTGCCTCAGCTCCCCAAGCTCCCAAGGGAGTATAGGCGTGAGTCACCATGCCTGGCCAGAAACCTTATTTTGTGGTAGTTGTTCAGCTATACCTTGCAGAATTTTTTATGTGAATCCTCAGTAAATCCCAAACAGCTTCTCTCAGTACTAACACATGGCTGATAAATGGTACTGAATTCTTTGTAAATCTCACCAATCTCAACAGAATTTCTGGTTCGGGGTAAAAAAAAAAATTTCCGTTTAATTTCTGTAGAAAATAACCACTCAGAATCCACTCTCTGTTATGTGTAACAATGGACAGAAATTTTACTGTTGTTGGTACAAAACAATGACTCATCCCAAATCATCTCTTGGAATTAAGAATGTAATCGTAATACACTCATACTCATATGTACGTGCTCAGACAGTCCCTTTCTGCCTTTCTTTTTATTACCCCTTCTCACTCCGCTGTGGTTTAGCTTGACTAATCTATTTGCAGCACATCAGCATCCTTAATGCAGAAAGTTTGCAGCTTCTGTTTACAGGGGGAAAAAAAAAGGAGTGTGGAGATTGCAGATTTCATCTCTTTTTTCTTCTTTTAAAATTTATAATTTCCTTTTTTCAGGAGGAGGGTGATTATTTTCGTTTTTGTTTGAGACAGGGTCTCACGCTGTCCCCCAGGCTGTAGTGCAGTGGCGCAATCTTGGCTCACTGCAACCTCTGCCTCCCATGCTCAAGCGATCCTCCCACGTCAGCCTCCTGAGTAGCTGGGACTACAGGCATGCGCCATCACACCCAGCTGATTTTTGTAGCTTTTGGAGAGACAGGATCTGTCCATGTTGGCCAGGCTGGTCTCGAACTTCAGAGCTCCAGTGACCCAGCCACCTCGGCCTTCCAAAGTGCTGGGATTACAGGTATGAGCCACCGTGCCTGGCCTACATTTTGTCTCTGACATTTCTCAATCTAAAGTATATGTATATGTACATTTATACATATGTTATTTACATATATTTTTTTCTTTAAAAAATTATTTTTTGGTGGACTGAGTCGCTTTAATTAAGACTCAGTCATTTTAATGAAGTGGGGTTATTTACTTTGACCTTCCTCCCCAGGAAATAGCACTTAAATACTTAAAGGAAAAATTAAAGAGGACCAAGGCCATGGTGGCAGGGACTGGGAGCATGGTGGCCATACAGCCTGATAAGCCAGCAGAGAAGAGTCCCACAGTAAACTGACACAACCCTGGTGATGTAGGTGGTTTAGGCACAGAAAAAAGGAAAGTCAGATTTGAGTACCCTCAGCAGGCCTTGTACTGGTCACCCCCAATACCCATGAGAACACAGCATCCTAGTCCTCCCTGGCTTATCGGTGCTCTCCACATGGGGGATACCTGTCACAGCTTTTATTCCAGGACTGGGGAAGTCACACTTTTCTGCCCACCCCACCCATTGTTTTGCAGAGAAGAATCTCTAAAACCTTCATTACTCATGCTGAAAGTGCTATAGGTATTTGGAATGGGAGAATGGGAAAGAGTAAATTCTGAATGCATTGGAGCCTTAATTTGCTGCCCTTTCTTTCCTTCCCTCTCTCATCTTCATGAAGGAGGGCCCATTGTGAATAAGGAAGAGGGGAAGCCTGTCTGGGAGAGGCTTTTTGGGTACTGGGCTTCCCAGGAAGAAGCCACTTCCCACCGTCCCCTTGATGATCATGTGACCCTTTTCTCCATGCAGCCAGAATCAGCTTCTTTGGGGATGAACTGGTAATAGATGTTGTCGTTAGTGTTATTTTTAAATTTTTAGATATTTTTTTCCAGATGCATCTTCAAAATGTAGGCTTTGGAGGTTGATAAGGTTTTGTGGGATTGGTAAGTGTTAATCTAGAAGTTGGGCAGTAAACAAGAATAGTACCTTATCAGCATTAAAACAAAGCATCTGAAAGAAATGTTTTTGAGGAGTAGTTGAATATTTAGTTGGTTAAAAATTTAGACTCAGAAAATTTTCAGGAAGGTGATAAAGATTCACTAATCATTAAGTAGGGAATCTCTTAAAGGTTTTATATTGATTTGATACATTAGAGAATGCTATAATAATAGTGTACTTTGATTGGTGGCCTATAAAGTAATTGTGCCTTTTATGGTATTTATGAATTGGTTATATTTTAAACAATAAATCTTGACTTTTGCGTCAGAGTTTCTCTGTTTTGTTTTTTGTTTTTTTTTTTGAGACCTGCTTTGTCACCCAGGCTGGAGTGCAGCAGTGCTGTCATTGCTAACTGCAGCCTCAACCTCCTGGGCTCAAGTGATACTCCTGCATCAGCTTCCTGAGTAGCTGAGAGCACAGGTGCGTGCCACCATTCCCAGTGCCTCACTTTAGGCTAAGTTTTTCATTTTTTGTAGAGACAGGGTCTTGCTTTGTTGCCCAGGCTGGTCTCGAACTCCTGGGCTCAAGCAATCTTCCCTCCTTGGCCTCCCAAAGTGCTGGGATTACAGGCATGAGCTATCATGCCTGGCCCTGCATCATAGATTTTTTTTTTTTTTTTTTTGAGACAGTGTCTCACTCTGTCGCCCAGGCTGGAGTGCAGTGGTACAATCTCGCTCACTGCAACCTCTGCCTCCTGGGTTCAAGTGATCTCCTGCCTCAGCCCCCCAAGTAGCTGGGATTACAGGCGCACACCACTACACCTGGCTGATTTTTGTACTTTTAGTAGAGATGGGGTTTCGCCATGTTGGTCAGGCTGGTCTTGATCTCCTGACTTCAGGTGATCCACCTGCCTCGGCCTCCCAAAGTGCTGGAATTAGAGGTGTGAGCCACCGCACCTGGCTACATCATAGTTTCTTAAAATCACCAACTGTTATCTATGTTTTCCTATTTTAATTAGTCTAATTTTTAATAATTTATTTCTGGGTTAGTTTCTGTACTTTTGGTAGAATTGCAGACTCACAACAGGCTTCAGGAAAGTAATTTTACCAAATGCAAGGCTATTTGCAATTTAGTTTTCTGATTCAGAAGCCATAACTCTGTGCTGGATTTGATTATTCATTATTTAACCAAACATTTTTCAAATGCCTTCCTTATTTTCTGTCTTAACTGCGTAGAATTAAGCCCATTTCCAAAAGGATTTTGAGGTAATTCTGGAGTTTGAGATTAATATTTTTAAAAAGAAACCAGAGTTCATTTTCTGCAGAGAAAGCTTTTAATCAAATATACATATAGTACCCTGTGTCCTTAATTGAATTGAGGGTTTGACTTTTCTCCATGCAGAATTCGAGTTGATATTTTTGTAGTTTAGGAGTTTTGACTTTTCTCTTTTGCCTTTATGTTAACAAACTTGTGAGTTTGCAAGGTTATAATAGAAAGAGTATATAGGGTTTGGAGTCAGGAAGTCCTAGGTTCAAATTTTAGCTTAATGAGCAAGTTACTTAATTTTTCCAAGCCACAGGTTCCCCAGCTATGAAATGGAATAATATTACCCATCTATTGGGGTTCTTGTGGGGATTAAATCAGATGAAAGTGCTTAGCATAGCATATAAATGTTAGTTTATTTTCCTTTGGCAATTATTTAGGCTTTAGGGCAAAATTGCCTACTTGTTTTGGAATGAACCCAAATTTTATGGTTAATTTTAGGCTTTTTCTTCAGTTAGACTTTTGATATGTCTAACTCCTTCCCAATTTTTTTTTTTTTTTTTTTTTTTTTTTTTTGAGATGGAGTCTCTCTCTGTTGCCCAGGCTGAAGTGCCATGGTGCGATCTCAGTTTACTGCAGCTTCTGCTACCCGGGTTCAAGCGATTCTCCTGCCTCAGCCTCCTGAGTAGCTGGGATTACATCACTATGCCCAGCTAATTTTTGTATTTTTAGTAGAGATGGGGTTTCACCATGTTGGCCAGGCTGGTCTCGAACTCCTGACCTCAGGTGATCTACTCGCCTCAGCCTCCCAAAGTGTTGGGATTACAGGCATGAGCCAGCACACCTGGGTGGCAGTGCATTTTTTAATGAGGAAGATTGAACAACTTGACAGAAGGGTGAGCTCATATTCTGAACTCTTACAGTTCATCTAATGTCAAATTTCTAGAAAAAAATTATCTAAATCTAAAAGTTAGTATGACACTCCATAACATTAATTGTGAGTCCCTGAGGGGGCAGCTATAAAGATAAAATGGAGTATAGGATCCCCCAACACACATAACACAAACGCTTGTGATTGAGTGTGCATTGGCACATGTACACCTGTGTGCTCACCCCTCCTCTCCCTTCCTTCACCTCTATCATGAGTACAGGTGTGTTGCTTTGAATTGGTGAGGAGTGGGAAAGAGAGTCCTTTTGGTGACAAGAAAGCAAACTGGTTTTATTTAGTTCACCAAAATATTGTTTTGATCCTTTTTTGTTTGTTTGTTTGTTTTGAGACAGAGTCTTGCTCTCTCACCCAGGCTGGAGTGCAGTGGCGTGATCTTCGCTCACTGCAACCTCTGCCTCCCAGGTTCAAGCGATTGTCTCACATCAGCCTCCCAAGTAGCTGGGATTACAGGTGCTCACCACCCAGCCCGGATAATTTTTATATTTTTAGTAGAGACAGGGTTTCACTGTGTTGGCCAGGCTGGTCTCAATCTCCTGACGTCAGGTGATCTACCTGCCTCGGCCTCCCGAAGTGCTGAGATTACAGGCGTGAGCCACTGTGCCCAGCCGATCCTTTTATTTTCAATATAAAACTGTTGCTGTAAGCACGAGCATGTCCAAAGGGAACACCATGGGATAGTAGTGAATTGAGGGTGATAATCCAGTTTTGAGGCTTAAGTCTGCAATTCCTGGATTAATTTGGCTGCTCTGTTATTGGTGGCTTTGCTAGGATCATTTTCAAATCACTTTATTTTCCTTTATGGTAAGTGTATTAATAGTATTTAATAACAAGATTAATCTGGGCCAAGGGCTTTCCTGTGAAAGTTACTATTTTCATTATGGGAGAAAAATAGAGCAGCATGGCCAGTGTGCATTTTTGTTATCCCATCCTTAGGTAAGTGAGTTTAGACAGCCTGAGCTAAATACCTAGATTTGCAAAAACACCTCCTACCCCCATGCTTTCCTTTTACCATTTAAAATTGTTTGTGAAGATCTTTTTTTTCTTTCTTTCTTTCTTTTTTTTTTAAACACAGAGATAGGGTCTCACTGTGTTGTTTGTTTGGGTTTGCAACTCCTAGGCTAAAGGGTTCCTCCCGCCTCTGCCTCCCAAAGTGCTGGGAATACAGGTGTGAGCCGCAGTGTGCAGCAGCTTAAGTTTCTGATCTCCCTCACCACCTCGCACTTTCACTCCTCATACCCCTTCCTTGTTTAATAGAAGGATCCTTTGTTTTGAGTAGTCTCCAAGTGGAGTATTTTGGAGAGACTTTGAATAAATCCTGGCCCAAGCCTGATCACAACACTTGGACATTGAGCTTACCTGCATTCTGCTGTTGGGTAGATATGGAATCTCTGCCCCTCTTGATCAAAGCTACATAGCCCATAAGGAAACATCCATTGAGCAGCCTTCTTTCCTTTCACTTAATCAATTTCAATGTATTGTGGTAGAGGTCTTTGTGATATTCCATTTTAGACTATATGATCTTTAGGAATGCTTAACCCTGCTGTGCCAAAGACCAGGGGAAGGCTGTGTATTCAAACTCATTTGTTCTCTGCTTTTTTCTTTTTAATTATTAGTAGTTAACTCTAAATGAAAGTATAGAACTGTTTAGTTTGAGCAAGGAACACTATTTGTTGGCCTCTGCTTTCTGTTCCCCTTCCTTCCCTTCCCTCCCTTTACTGTGGCATCATGATTCTTCCTTCCTGTATTCTTGGTCATTCTCCCAGCACCTCACTTTAGCCCTACAGTGGAGATTCTTCTGTTCACTAATAACTGCAGTGGTGTCAGTTTCAGTAGATCAGCCTTCGTCTTCCTTTGCTTGAATGGAGTGTTTAACATGCTGGATATCCTGCCTCTTTCTGCTGAAGCATCTTTCCTGGGGTCATTTTGACTTGCTGCTTATATAACTATTATGTCCTTTGGGTTTGTGATACTTTATATTATCAAAAGCAGCAAAAGATAGTAATAGAAGTAAGATTTTTATTACTCTCATTCTATGAATCAGATGTTATTATCCCATTTTAGAGATAAGTAAATTAAGAGAGTGGTTATACCTGAAGTTCCAGAGTTATTAAATGACATGACTGGATTCAAACCCAAGAGAGCCTGACTTCAAAATCTGTGCATTGATCTCTACTGAGTCTGAAGGTTACTGACCCAGTGAACCAGTCACTGTTCTGTTTCTAAGAAACGTTTAGGTTCTGGCTCTTGCAGGGATCTTTATAGTCCTGTATTTGCAAAAACACCTCCCACCTCCATGCTTTCCTTTTACCATTTAAAAATGTTTGTGAAGATCTTTTTTATCTTTTTTTTTTTTTTTTTTTTTTTTTCTGAGACGGGGTCTCGCTCTGTCACCAGGCTAGAGTGCAGTGGTGCGATCTCGGCTCACTGCAGCCTTCACCTCCTGGGTTGGCCAGGCTGGTCTCGAACTCCTGACCTCAGGTGATCTGCCCGCCTCAGCCTCCCAAAGTGCTGGGATTACAGGTGTGAGCCACCATGCCCAGCCCACATTTTGTTTTTATATTCTGAGTATTATATAGTAAAAAAGGAGAAGAGTTCATTGATACAGTCTTTTAAAAACTGATCTCAATGATATAGTAGGAAAAACACTGGATTAGGAGATAGGGGTTTTAAGTTCTAATCCTGCCTGGCTGTGCCCTTAACTAGCTGTATGAGACTAGGCAACATTTACCATTTCCTTCCCAATTAAATTGAGGTAGCCGTACTAGATTTATCTAACATGCCTTTCATTGCTCACATCATGCGACATTAAGCTTTAATTAGAAAGCTTTGGTTTTGGGACCTCTTTGTTTTCCCATAGGCTTTAACCTTGTTTCCTTTCTTATTGCCCAGCAGGAATTGGACTAGAGTTGGCCAAAGGTGGGATGAGGAGAAGAGGTAGGAATCTTACAAGAGTTGGTTGGAGTAAAGTTATTGACAGGTGGGAAGAAGTATTCCTGTGACTCTGTGGTTGTTCCCTTGTAAGATTTGAAGGAAAGTAATGAGTCAGGTCTTAATAATAGTGCCTCTATGTTATTTCCTCCACCCCATTATCTTTTGTCAGAATTGATTAGCAAAATGCACTTACCCAAGTATTTTCAGGGTCCCTGTTTGGATAGTCTAAATAACGTTGTTCTTTTTTTTTGTTTTGGAGACAGGGTCTCACTTTGTCACCCAGGCTGGAGTGCAGTGGCACAATCTTGGCTTACTGCAGCCTCGACCTTCTGGGCTCAAGCAATCCTCCCACCTCATCCTCCTGAGTAGCTGGGACCACAGGTGTGCACCATCACGCCTGGCTAATTTTTTGTATTTTTTGTAGAGATGGGGTTTCACCATGTTGCCCAGGCTGGTCTCAAACTCCTGGGCTCAAGCGATCTGCCCACCTCGGCCTCGCAACATGCTGGGATTACAGGTGTGAGCCACTGCTCCCTGCCTTTAGTTACCTTTATCAACCTATGGTCCTAAAGGTAGATTCATTGAACTTGCCTGTCAGTGCTTAAGGATCAGTCCTGTCTTAGTTCAGACAAGTTAAATTCAGGGTTGCATTCTGTCAACTTTGTTTCTAATCAGTGGATGATCAGATGATATTTGGAGAGGATTTTTAATATATGTGAATCTTATGGTGGCATTCTGTTACTTAATAAATACTTTAATTTCTTAGCTTTTTTCCCCATATTCTCCATAATTTTTGTAGATAGATGCTCAGACGAAGGCAGCAGTAGCACATGGATAATCAGAGTTTTTTGTTTGTTTGTTTTAACATTTCTCGTTAAAGTATAATGTTCAGCAATGGGGACCAATCTATACTCCTCATCTGTAGTCTGTCAATAAATAGGTTGCTCCGACTTTAAATTCTCAGCTTGAATTGTTTCTTTTTTGTGTGTGGAATTTATGACCCTCTGTGATGTTGACCCTACCTAAAGCAAGTAGAATAGCTACACCAGCAAAATGAAATACCATAACAACAACGTATGCTTATGTTTATATAGTGCTTACTGTGTGCCTGGCATGGCATTGAATAAATATATATATTTAATAAATAGAGTTGGGGTCTCGCTTTGTTGCCTACCTTGTGTTGAACTCCTGGCCTCAAGTGATCCTTCTGCCTCCGCCCCGTCAAAGTGCTAGGATTACAGGCATGAGCCACTGCTCCCAGCCAGCATTGAATATATTTTTTTTTTTATTTCATCCTGAGAACAACCTTATGAGGTACTTTCAGGTCATACTTTTATTACCCTCATTTTATACTAGAAAAATTGTGCTTTAAGATGTTAAGCAAATTGCCCAAAGTGCAAAACCAGTGTGTTGGAGCTTGAATTCCAAACCAGATCTGCCTGAGTCAAGCTTTTCTTTTATGTTCTTATTTACTAAAGGCTTCTTGAACAGAAGTATGTGAGAGTTGGGCACATGCAGCTTGGTCAATTCTATGTAAACCCGGTCAGATTCTGAGTAGTGTAGATCTGATAAAGTCAATGTGAATTTCTTATCATTCGTTGCAAGAGACTTAATGTAGCAAAAATCAGTATCATAGGAAACGAGATGTTACTGTGGTAGGCACACTGTTCTCTCTCAGCTACCTCATTTTTGTTGTTATTGGTGGTGGCTATTGCTCTGGCAACTACAAAGGCAGCATTTACTTGACACGGCGTGTATGCTTAAGGCAGAACACTGACTGCTTTTCATTGCTGGCAAATCCGGACTTCATCAGTACTGGCTACCTGTAAGGAATGTGAGCATGTTGGATTTTAGAACAGGAAAAACACAACTTCCACCTCATTTCACAGTAGAGTTCACTTAGGGATACAGACTTTTTGGTGACAGTAACTGTTACTTTCTGCTTATTAATTCAGATACTTGCATAATGCTAACCTGGTAGATATTGTCAGATGACAAGCCTTCCTCCTACATGTTCTCTATAAAAGAACTGCTAGTGACAAGCATTTTATTATATTAAAAATTCTACTTCATACTGTTTTAAGTTAAAATGTATTTATTATGAAGCCAATATTGTGAAATGTTTTTTTCTTTTTCCAGAATGTGGTTTTTTTTTCTTGTAATGGACTAAGATGCAGGCTTATTGTGTAGAATGAGGAGCTATTGCCCAGATGGACCTTAGTGAAAGTAACTTAAATAAGCAAGTAGATTTTGCTTCTGTTTGGGAAAATGATCTAAGACGGATGCTGGTATTTTGGGCAGGTGGAGACTAATGTTTTATCTCAATGTTTGCAACTTAAGTTCAGCCTACTTAAGGGCTGTCCCTTAAGGGTGTCCAATTGTTTGGCTTCCCTGGCCACACTGGAAGAATTGTGTTGGGCCACATATAAAAATACACTAACACTAACAATAGCTGATGAGCTAAAAAAAAAAAATTGCAAAAAAGTGTGATAATGTTTTAAGAAAGTTTATGAATTTGTGTTGGGCCACATTCAAAGCCGTCCTGGGACGCATGTAGCCCACAGGCTGGGTTGGACAAGCTTGGTCTAGAAGTTTTCTAGATTTTACTACAATGTTCAAATGGCAAACTTTAAAAGTGGGGAAAGGAATTTTGGGTGAGATAAAAAGACAGGTTTGAAAAAGCATACAAGTTCAGGGAACTGCAAATGGTTTCTTAAGACCAAAGCGCAATGTCAGTGTGAAGAAGTGGCAGGCAATGGGAAAGGATAAATCAGTGGAGCCCAGACAATGAAGGAGCTTTGTACTTGATGCTGAGGAGTGTGGATTTGTTTCTGCAGATAATGGGGAACTTCTGATTTTTCTTTTTTTAGGTGGACAGATAGAATCAAGTTTGCTTTTGTTAATTCATGTGACAATGTAGAAGGTGGACTGAAGGTAGGGAGAGTATTGTATTCATTGGAGACTCATTAATTGTTAGAAGACTATTGTAATCATTCAAGCAAGAAATAATGACCTAGGCCAGGTACAGTGGTTCATGCCTGTAATTTTAGCACTTTGGGAGGCCGAGGTGGGAGAATCGTTTGAGGCCTGGAGGCAGGGTCTTGCTCTGTTGCCCGGGCTGGAGTTCAGTGGTGTGATCATGGCTCACTGCAGCCTCCAATTCCTGGGCTTGTGATTCTCTTGTCTCAGCCTCCCAAGTAGCTGGGACTATAGACGTGAGCCACTGTGCCCAGCTCAAATTACTTTATTTTAAATTTTTTTTTTTTGAGATGGAATCTTGCTGTGTTGCCCAGGCTGGAGTGCAGTGGGGCGATCTCAGCTCACTGCAACCTCCACCTCCTGGGTTCAAGTGATTCTCCTGCCTCAACCTCCCAAGTAGCTGGGAATATAGGTGCACACCGCCATGCCTGGCTAATTTTTGTAGTTTTAGTAGAGATGGGGTTTCACCATATTTGTCAGGCTGGTCTTGAACTCCTGACCTCAGGTGATGCACCTGCCTTGGCCTCCCAAAGTGTTGGGATTACAGGCGTGAGCCACTGCACCTGGCCTCAGATTACTTTTTATACATTGAAAGATGACCTAGAAATTAGTCAAGACATTAATTTAGATAGTCATACAGTCAAGTGACATAAACCTCAGAGAAGAGGAAGGTTTCCGTGCTATCGCCCCACCCACTAGAGTGGAAGAACTTTGAGGGAGATAGAATAGTGATATTATAATCTAGTTCCTATAGATAAAGAATGTTTGCCAAGAAGGTTAACTTCTGTAGCTGAGCTCCTTTGCTGAGAAGA
The DNA here is from genome assembly GCF_000001405.40 of Homo sapiens. NCBI lineage: Eukaryota > Metazoa > Chordata > Mammalia > Primates > Hominidae > Homo > Homo sapiens. The sequence goes on along the minus strand of NC_000011.10, from coordinate 117,000,980 downwards.
TGAAGGAACACTGTTTAATGGATAGATTTAGTCTGTGATTCTCTGTGGAGGTGATTACTGTCAGTTCTCTTTATCCTAGCAGCATTTGGAAAACTGCAGCTAAGCAACCCGTCGTCATTTCCTAATGTTACTATAATCTGGTGTCAATGACTAATGATCTCATTGGGCTAGTTATTCCCTTCCAGCGATGCTGGCATCAGGAAGCACATTAATAGTCTGTAAGAAATGCATTCATTAAAAACCAGGTAATCACTTTGGAGCTGGTCCTGGCAGTGTCTGAATAAATTGGACAAGTTAGAGAAAATCTTGAACCTGAAAGCTACTTTGTCTTTCAGCTTGGTTTGGGCAAGGTAGGAAGAGATGAATCAGTTATAATTTGATGGGATCTAATGTTACTTTTATAAGATACATCACTTTAATATGATGCTTCATCATTAATGTTTTAGTAATCTGACAGCATTAGACAGAATTGATATTCCCCTTATTTTATTATTTCTTGGCTTCATGACAGAACTGTGCATTAAAAGGCACTTAAGATTTTAAAAGGGATATCTAAGAAAGTGGTTAAAAAACAAACAAATCCCAAGTGGCTTGATCTGACTTACAAACTCTAACAATGTGTAGCTAATTGCAGATAGATTTTATTATTCACAGTATTGTGTCAAGTCTCCTGTGCACATCTTCTGTATTGGAGCATAAGTAATGGAGATGTTATCTTGCCCAACATTAGGTTTGAGGAAGTCGTTTTTAAGACAGAAATAGTAGAACAGTGTTATTCCATACTGTACTTTCCCCTTTTATATAAGCTTGCTAAAATTAAGGTTGGGCAATAGGCCCTTGAGCTAAATGTGACCTGATAGAAAGTTTTAGCAACAATGAAAAAAATTATAACTATCTAATATACATATCTAATATTAGATATTTACCTTACTTACATATCATGCACAATCAAACAAATGGCAATTATAACTACATTCTTTTTTACTTGCCATAATGGAAAAACTTTATTAAACAAATTATGCCCACTGTTGCTCTGGGATTTGGGGACTAGGTAGGCATGATTTCAATGGAAAATAATTTAGTAATGGTATGTCTCAATAATGTATCAACAACCTGGAAAGTATATATTCTTTGACTTAGGATTTTCATTTCTAAGAATTTGTCTTATAGAAATAATAGTAGGTCAAAACAAGAATGTAGTCATAAGAGTATTTACTGCAATGTTGTTTAGAAGAGGGAGAAAACAAATGAAAATGGGCTGGGTGCAGTGGCTCACGCCTGTAATCCCAGCACTTTGGAAGGCTGAGGTGGGTAGACCACTTGAGGCCAGGAGTTTGAGACCAGCCTGGTGAAACCCCATCTCTACTGAAAAAACAAAAAAGAAAAGAAAAGAAAAGAAAACAAAATGCCACAAAAAACAAAGAGATGAAAATGAAAAGAGATCTCACAAGACATATGAATATGTTGCACTTCAAACTGATGCAAACAGGTGTCCATCTAAATTCAATAGTGGGCAGTTAGAATTTGAAACTTAGTTGTCATTGATGATTGCCCTGTGCTCAGAGGAATCACAGATTAAAAAAATTTTTTTTAGAAAGAATTGAAGTTGAGTTTCAGAAAAGTCAGACATTTAAGTTTACAACCGTAGTTGGAGTGCAAACACATATATGTCTTAATTACAAAATGTCTGTTCTGTTAGTACAACTTAGCATAAAGAAGAGATGGACCTACAAGTGAAGTATATCAACTGATAAGAAACAAAATGCTTTAAAACTTTGGATTCAAACCTATGATTCCAGAACTGTTCTAACATTTTAAACAATATGGTCAAACTCTAGGCAAGTTTGGTTCCCTTGTGTTTGTGAAACTATATTTTTCATACATCTTCTGAAGTAAAAACTAAACACTCTCATTAGTTGTTTAAATCTGGAATTGGATTTGGAATTTGCCTTGATTTTATATACCTTTGTTCTTGAGGCTACCTGTATTTGTCAGTTTTATCTTAACTTACTCAAAATGGGTCACTTAGTAAAAATAATTGTCTAACTATACACTTTTAGTTTGATTAAGCTTTTTGGATTAGTTTGGGATTTTGACTAAGTTTCTATATTTGTATGATCAATAATTTCATACTTATAGTAAACAAAAATTTATATATCTGTACTCCTATAGATTTATGATTCTGTGGCTCTAAAAATTTCAGTGCTCTTAGAGTTGTGGAAAGAGCAGAGCACTAGATTAAATGAAACCTCTGTGTGCCAGGCCCTAGCTGGGCTTTCTCGAGGCATTAGAGTGATAAAGTTGGTTGAGGAAATGGTGAAAGCCATACCTTTGTCCTGCCATTTTTTTTCTTTATGAGATCATGGTTGAAGTCCCTGACTCTCATGATAGTGAAATTGAGATTTTAAATATTTGTTTCTCTTTACATCCCAAATCCATTATAGCTAAGAGGAGGAATTTCAGATATTTTTCCAAGAGCGGTTGTCAATTTTTTTTTTTTTTTTTTTTTTAAGACGGAGTCTTGTTCTTTCGCCCATGCTGGAGTGCAATGGCATGATCTCAGCTCACTGCAGCCTTCGCCTCCAGGGTTCAAGTGATTCTCCTGCCTCAGCCTCCTGAGTAGCTGGGACTACAGGCGTGCGCCACCATGCCTGGCTAATTTTTTGTATTTTTAGTAGAGACGGGGTTTCACCATGTTAGTCAGGCTGGTTTCAAACTCCTGACCTTGTGATCTGCCTGCCTCAGCCTCCCAAAGTTGTCAGTATTTTACTTACTTTTCTTTCCTTGCATATTGGAATAGCTTTTTTTTTTTTTTAAATTATCATATACACTACCTGTGGAGGTAAAAACATAAACTGTTGTTTTCTTGGAGGCTGAGGCAGGAGGATCACTTGAGCCCAACAGTTTGAGACCAGCCTGGGTAACATAGCAAGACCCTGTCTTTATAAAAATAAAAAGAATTACTGGGTGGTGTGCACCTGTAGTCCTAGCTACTTGGGAGGCTGAGTCAGGAGGATTGCTTGAGCCCAGGAATTTAAAGCTGCAATGAGCTATGATTATGGCACTGCACTGCAGTCTGGGTGACAAAGTGAGACCCCATCTCTAAGAATAAAATAAAATGGAATTAACATTCACTGTCAACAAAGGCACTCTTGTGCCGTTTTTGTCCCCTTCTTGACTGTCCTGGTCGTATGAGATCTGTTTTTCCTCTAAATTCATTGTATACTATTTTCTTTACATTGTACATTTGGCCATCTCTGGGAAAATGTTAAGAATGTTAATGTTCTCATTTTAGTATACTGATATCTCACTTTTCAGAATATCACCTTCCTAATCTTTTTCTTTAGTCATTTTATCCAGTTGTACTTATGTAAGCTACCATAAACTTTTTCTGAATCAAAGCAAAATATAAATTAATAAATGTTTGCTTCTTTAATAGTGTATATTTTATTCCTTTTATCAAATTTTTAAGTCAGTAAGTACTGTGATTTAAGAACTTTTTATCCTATAATACTGAATAAAGTGTTTTGATATAGAATACGGTACATAGATGTAGATATGCATTTAGTGCCTTGCATATTTGTTGAATGAATGATTACTACACATATGAGCTAAGTCAGCTGTTTGGGGTCTTCTTTTTGCCTGCATCTGATTGGCTTGTCAAGCAGACTGACTGCCCACCTGTTAGACCCATATGGGCTGGCTGAGTATATAGCTAGTGTTTTGCTCAGCACACCTGCTTGTGCGCATGGATTGATGTCTGCTCTTAAACTAGTTGCCAAGGAGTCAAGTGTATGGCAAGGTGAAGGAAGACTGGCAGTGAAGATATCTTAAAGAGGTAATCTAATAATAATGGCCAGTGGTTCCCCTGAATCTTGTTTGCTCAAGTTGTTCACATCAGAGAGATGTAAAATTGCTTTCATTTGGGTGGATTTGGGAATTCTTTTTTGATAATGGGAAAAAATGAGAAGGTCCTCTATGATATTGTTGTGGATGGATGTGCATATGGTCAGAGAACATGAACCTGTTAAATTTTGAGCTTGAATACTTTTCATTAACAACTTAATTGAGAATAGCTAGATAGCATCTATTGTTTATTCTTTTTATAACAAGTAGAGAAATAGAGAAATGTCTTTTTTTTTTTTTTTTTTTTTTTTTTTTGAGAGAGAGTCTCCCTCTGGCGCCCAGGCTGGAGTGTAGTGGCGCGATCTTGGCTCACAGCAACCTCCGCCTCCCGAGTTCAAGCGATTCCTATGCCTCAGCCTCTTGAGTAGCTGGGATTACAGGTGCCCGTCACCACACCCAGCTAATTTTCATATTTCTAGTAGAGATGGGGTTTCATGATGTTGGCCAGGCTGGTCTTGAATTCCTGGCCTTAGGTGATCCACCCGCCTTGGGCTCCCCAAGTGTTGGGATTACAGGCGTGAGCCACCGTGCCCGGCCTGAGAACTGTCATATTTTTAATCCTGTTGGGTCTCCCCCTTCTCCTGTCACTGTATTTGAGCAAGTTTATATAAATTATTGATATTTTTCTGGCCACAAAAGTGCAGCTATATTTAAGATAATATTTTTTTATTTTCACCCTCTTGACATAATCAAGCCATAACATGAAATGGAGATTTATTATTTATTGTTTATTGAATAAAATTTTGTTCCTTCTTCTATTTTTTTTGGAGACAGAATCTCATTCTGTCACCCAGGCTGGAGTGCAGTGGCACAATCTCGGCTCATTGCAACCTTTGTCTCCCAGGTTCAAGCGATTCTCATGCCTCAGCCTCCCGAATAGCTGGGATTATAGGCACACACCACCACACCTGGCTAATTTTTGTATTTTTAGTAGAGACAGGGTTTTGCCATGTTGGCCAGGCAGGTCTCGAACTCCTGGCCTAAAATGATCTGCCTGCCTTGGCCTCCCAAAGTGCTGGGATTATAGGCATGAACCACTGCACCCAGCCAGAATTTTGTTCCTTTTTAATAATTAATTAATTAATTAATTAAGATGAAGTCTCACTATGTTGTCCAGGCTAGCCTTGAACTCCTTGGGCTCAAATGATTCTCCCATCTCAGCCTTCTAAGTATTTGGGACTACAGGCAGGTTCTACCACACCTGACTTGTTCCTTATTTTAGATGTTGAAAATAAGCAAGTGAAATAAAGGCTTATCAAAGTGTACACAGCACTTTGCTAGATACTGTGGATGATTTTTCAGGGAAGATGCCATTCCTCCCCTGAAGAAGATAATTATTGTAGAGTTAGAGCTAACAGACAAAATAGATGATATATAAATTTATTCTTAGGAGCCAGGTTGTTGAGAGGATTAAGAGCAATCACTAGACGATTAGAATATTGGGGACTTCCAAAACATCTGAAGTGTATCTAGAATAGTAGATAAGATCTGCACAGGTAGGAAGTAGGGTGAGCCGGGTGTGGCGGCTCATACCTGTAATCCCAGCACTTTGGGAGGGTTGAGGTGGGTGGATGCCTTGAGCGCAGGAGTTTGGGACCAGCCTGGGCAACATAGTGAAACCTTGTCTCTACAAAAATACAAAAATTAGCTGGGTGTGATGGTGCACACCTGTAGTCCTAGCTACTCGGGAGGCTGAGGCGGGAGGATCTCCTGAGCCTGGGAGGTGGAGGTTGCAATGAGCCAAGATCACGCCACTGCACTCCAGCCTGGGTGACAGAGTGAGACCCTGTCTTTTTTTTTTTTTTTTTGAGACGGAGTCTTGCTCTGTCGCCTAGGCTGGAGTGCAATGGTGCGATCTTGGCTCACTGCAACCTCCACCTCCTGGGTTCAAGCGATTCTCCTGCCTCAGCCTCCTGAGTAGCTGGGATTACGGGCATGCGCCATCATGCCCAGCTAATTTTTGTATTTTTGTAGAGACAAGGTTTCACTATGTTGCCCAGGCTGGTCTCAAACTCCTGACCTCAGGTGACATACCTACCTCAGCCTCCCAAGTGCTGGGATTACAGGCGTGAGCCACCATGCCCGGCCTGAGACTCTGTCTTAAAGAAAAAAAGAAAAAAAAAGGAGTGAAAGTAGAGGTGAGAAGTGCCTGGAAAACGGGACTTTTAAACTGAGCTTGCTGCAGAGGTGGACACAAAAATTTGGGGCTGTTTTGTTTGAGGAATGAAGAATAGCAGGACAAAAACAGATTGTTTTGGGGTTGGTATTAATAATTGTATAGGTAGCGTGGGGAAAACTTTTAGAGAGCCTTAAAAGCTGAACCCGTATGTTTTAGTTTGGTGTGAGTAAACGTAGATTCCTGGTGCTCTGTAACAGGAGTGTTTGTCGCAGTTTAGTCCGACAGTGATGGCTTATAGTACATATGATTGTGGTCAAGATGAGGAGATTAATTAGCTAATCCCAAAGGGATTTCGTGATCATTTATTGAATCCTTACCACCAAGCACTTTTTGTCATGAATCATTATTTCATCTAAACCTGGCAACTGCCCTGTGAGTTTGATATTGTTATAATCCTCACCGTAACAAGTGAGAATGCTGATACCCAGCAAGGGCAAGCACCTTTCTTAGGGTCACAAAACGAGGAAGGAGTAGAGCAGTCAGTGTGGCTCCAGGAACCAGAATCTTAACCACTATGCTCTAAAGTGTTTTTCAGAGAAAGGAAGATTAACATTCTTTCCTTCGATGTATTTTTTTCCTTGCTAATTCCCTATCTCCTTACCTACAATGTGGCTTAGTGATCTTAGGACAAAGGTTTGGCTTGGAGACTTCAAAGAGGTTTGTCCATTTCAGACTCTTCAAAAACAGTTACTGGTTACTTACAAATAACACTTTGTAATTCAATAACTGAAAAATCAAAACAACTTTAAATAGATTTTAAGGCTGGAGAAGGGAGGCTAGCTAATTTCATAAATTTGTTGAAGTTTGATTTTCTTTACCCTAGTTGTATCATAAATAGGAATGGTTTTTTATATTTATACTTGTTTAAATATACTGTTTATACCTGTTTAAATGCTAAGCCAACAAAAGCTCTCTGAAAGAATACATGCACACAAACACATGTCTGTTTCGTCACGGATGTGTAACTCACTCATGGTTGCTCCTCCTGATGTCTGTGTGCCACACAGTTCGGAAAAGGCACTTGCTTGGCTGTCACGCTGTAAGTTCCCTTTGTCATTTGTGACAATTGGTCTCTTTGCTGTACATCTTTTGGGATGAAGGATTGAGCTCTTGTAAAAGCATTTCAGAGGTTTTTCAGCTAATGATTTTTCCGCTCATTCTTTACTGTTTGGTTTCCTAGGCAACCCATCCTCCCCTTGCACCCTGCTGACGTCTGTTCAGCCCCTCTTCCTCTCCACTACCCCTCCCATTACTCAAGTTGTTTTTTCATTGCTGCTTTAGGATTGCACTAAAGGAATATACATGTTTTCCTAAATATCTGCTCCTCTATACTTTTTAGAATATATTAGAAGGATGGGAAGAAAAAAAATCATTTTTAGAAGCTAAGTAACCTGTATTTTTAGGTCAGTTATAACAGGGTTTCATCCATATAAGGCTAAATTTATTCTGTTGTTTCTAGGTTGGTTTTCTTTTTTAAAGTTAAACAATAATAAAGAAATTGTTGTCCATTTAAACCAGGAATTCCATAATTAAGCTATTTTAGGAATGTAAGGTGTTGTATAGGAAAAAACAGTCTGAAAATGGTGGGCATAGTTGCGTTTCTAGATGGTTATGCTGTGATTTATTTTTTTAAAAAATCAGTTGTGTCTGTTAAAAGCATTTCTGTTACTGTGGGGAGGGGTTTTTAAAGTTTTAAAAATCTAGCTTTTGGGTGAGTGCAGTGGCTCATGCCAGTAATCCCACCACTTTGGGAGGCTGATGTGGGAGGATCACCTCAGGCCAGGAGTTTGAGACCCATCTGGGCAACATAGTGAGACTCTGTTTATTAAAATAAAAATAAAAGTAGAAATAAAATAAAATAAAAATCTGTTTAGTTGTTGTTCACATTTGGTCCTTTAGAGATACTTTTTTGAGACAGAATCTCACTCTGTCACCCAGGCTGGAGAGCAGTGGCATGATCACGGCTCACTGCAGCCTCTATCTCCTGGACTTAAGTGACCCTCCCACCTCAGCCTCCCAAATAGCTGGGACTACAGGTGCATGGCACTATGTCTGGCTAATTTTTAAATTTTTCTGTAGAGATGAGGTCCCTCCATGTTGCCTAGGCTGGTCTTGAACTTTTGGGCTCAAGAGTCCTCCTGCCTTGGCTCCCCGAGGTGCTGGGATTATTATAGTCATGAGCTACTGCTCCTGACCTAGTGATAACTTTTTGAATTCCAATTCCTTGATCCTTTAGCATCCTAGGCAAAGACAACCATTTCTGCTGGGTAAAGCACAGTGAAAAGCCCTGCTTCTCTGTATACAAATGAAACAGATTGTACAATTAATATGTATTGGGTGCTGCATGGTCCATCCTAACAGTAGTGCTAATTGCCATATCATTTATTTTTACATTTGGAAGTATTTTACTTTGGCCTCAATGTAATTTTGTTTTTTTAATGCTGTAGAGTGTATGGGATATAGGTAAGGAGTGGATAAGAAAGGAAACAATAGAATCAGAAATAGTAAGAATTGCTATATAAATGCCTTTCCCTGTAAATGCACACAAATATATGAGGTGTTTTTTTTTGGGGGGGGGGGTCTTGCTCTGTTGCCCAGGCTGGAGTGCATTGGTAGGATCTTAGCTCACTGCAGCCTCCACCTCCTGGGTTCAAGCAATTCTCTTGCCTCAGCCTCCTGAGTAGCTGGGATTATAGGCGCCCACCACCACGCCTGGCTAATTTTTTGTATTTTTAGTAAAAATGAGGTTTCACCATGTTGGCCAAGCTGGTCTCGAACTCCTGACCTCAAGTGTTCTGCCCGCTTTGGCCTCCGAAAGTGCTGAGATTCCAGGTATGAGCCACCATGCCCGGCCACGAGTTTTTTGTATGTATGTCTAAATACGTAGAAAGACAAGATTTACCCCCTTTTTTGGTGTCTGTAATAAATTTAGTGATATACGTGTATGGGTGTATATGTATATAGATATGTATGCTATGAGTTAGAAATGAAAAACCTGCCATAAAAGCAAGAGGAAGGAGGAGTTAATTTTGCCTGAAGATGTCAGAGAAGGCTGCATTGAAAAAATTTGCCATAGACCTGGTGATAGGAGATTGAATGGGCCTTACTAGCTGTGTATAGTGGTTTGTACCAAAAAGTATGGGGATAGGAGGGGAAAGTGGCTGGGAATATTGGAAAATCTAGTTGAAAGATAGGTTGAAGGCCGATTGTGAAATAGTTTCACTTACTTTATCATTTAAGTAATAGGTTGGTTAGACCTTTTAGATCAGATCAGTATTTTGAGAGTATCTCTAATAGTATAGAATTATTTGTACTTCTTGACTGAAACTATATGTTAAATAATGAATTTGTAACTTAGTTATTAGAGTGTTCAAATTATACCTGTTTCTCTCCCTTCCCTCAATTTTTAGAAAGCATTCTCTAATGAGGCAGGGGTTTTTGTTTGTTTTGAGACAGCGCCTTGCTCTATTGCCCATACTGGAGCGCAGTGGCATGATCTCGACTCACTGCAACCTTCGCCTCCCGGGTTCAAGTGATTCTCATGCCTCAGCCTCCCTTGTAGGTGAGATTACGGGCGTGTGCCACCATGCCTGGTTAATTTTTGTATTTTTGATAGAGACGGGGTTTTGCCATGTTGGCCAGCTGGTCTCAAACTCCTGGCCACCTTGGATCCGCCCACCTTGGCCTCCCAAAGTGCTGGGGTTACAGGCATGAGCCACCATGACCAGCCAAGGCAGGTTACTTTTATATTGGTTAAAAGAGTGCCTGATATTAAATCCTTAGTCTCCCACTAACCAGCTCTCTCTCTGACCTTGGATGAGCCTTAAACTTTGGTTTAATTCATTTGTAAAACAAGCATAATAATGCCTACCTGAAAGAACTGTTGTGAGGATTTGATTGAACGGGATAATATGTAAAGCACAGCTCTTGACACACTGTAAATGTAGCTGAAAAATAGTAGTGATTATTTTGTGGTAACAGCTTTCATTGTAGAAGAAAATTAATGGAATGTGAAGGATTAATGATTTTGGGAGGTGGAGGGGAGGAGACCTTGTTAAGTAGATTAATTAGGAAGTTATTGGTTTGTCCAAACAGTGCTTTTAGGTGACAAGGGAATTCAGTGTGGAAGAGGAGGTTTGGTAGGAGAAGAAAATATAATCAGTTTAGTTGTAGATGGGTTGAGTTTAAGGTACCCAAGGACACAAAGGTAATACTGTGGAGGTGGCTGTTGGAAATACGAAGCCTGGAGGTACGAATGTGGAAGTTATTGCTGTCTGGTTGGAGATACTTGTGTCTGGGAAGAGTGATCGAGTGAGTAGTGGCCTATTAATGTTTTCTTTTTTTAAAAAATTTACTTTCAATATACTGCCAATAAAGTAATTTGCACTGTTATACTAAGGTATTAGACCACGTATTCTGAGTTCAGATTTGTTGCTTGACTCGTTAATGTATGTAGGTTATACCCAGTTTTGGTAAGCCTCCTGACCTTTGGCCCCATTCACAGCATTATCTCTATCTCTCAAAGGGAAAAAGAAGTTCATTCTTTGAACTGGGGAGTGCTCTGATGTTGGCAGGTCTACTCCTCCTCAGGTCTAGACACTCTTGGCCTCCACAGTGGTTTTATTCAGGAAAGTTCTCACCTTTGAATTGTAGACTTAGTGCAGACTTGCTGGTAGTTGGCTAGGCGGGATCACAACAGTGATTGGTATTGGTAAGTACATGTATTGCTGCCAAGAAGTTGCATAGTTCATGTGTTCAGTCATAGCCTTTTCTTTATATGACGACCCCGCTGAAATACAGAATGGCCTGCTGCCTTCTCACAGAAGGTCTACTGTTCCAAGCTTATTTTTTTCTGAGTGAGAAGAAAAGGTCTTTTGCCACTGTTTTCAGACTGAAATTTAAATTTCAGCTGCCTTGGATCCTATATAATAAAAGATTGAGACACAGAAATTGTTCTATTAGACTTGAAATTTCAATTGCTTTTACTTCCCAGTTTGTAGTAGTGTTTGAACCTAAAATCCTATGTGTGTTTTTAGTTACCTTTTCAAGTTAAACTTTCAGAAACTATCTGCTTAACTTAAAAATTTACTCTTGTTAATTGCCCAACCACATCTTACTTCATGTGTCAAAATCTGCCTGATATTTTTAATTTGGAAGTCCACAGTAGTGGGAAGTCATAGGAACTCCCAGTCAGGGTATTCACAGTAACTACTCACAGTAATAGGAACTCACAGTCAAGTCTAATTTTTCATTTTAATTTTTCCAATCCCTTCTTTACTTCTAGTATACTAATTGAAAAAAAAAAACTTGGGTTGCCTTTAGTTTCAATTTATAATTTTTATTAGGATTTTACTGATACTGTATCTTTTTGGTACTGGAGGTCTCAGAGGACTGACCTGGTTCTACTTGTTTGCTCTTGGGATTTAGAACGATAGTTTCTATTGTGTTGAGCCAGCAACATTTTGCTTATTTTCAAGAGGCAGAGTGGCAGAGTACTAAATTGCAAGGTTGTGCAGACCTTAAATAAGTGTATGGTGAGCTATAAAGTTACAATGTTAAATTAGTTTCTGGCTGGCCCACATTGTTTCCAAAGTTGACTTTGCATTTTAAAAGACCTTACTGATTTAAAAAGCGAATAGAGAACTGCTTGGAAACACATATCATCTGAGAGACATTCGAACATGCGGGGAAAAAAAAAAGTGGAAGGAAAGGTGCTGCTGGCTGGGCATCATAGACTAGAAAGCTGCATTTAAAGTTTAAACTGCTTGGGTAAGACATGTTTTCCTGGTTTATCCTCATGTTTTTTTCCATCTGTGTTCTCTTGCCATTATTACCACCAAATACAGGAGAATACTCCTTTACTTATTGTAGTCTTATTTGGGAGACAGACTAGAGTGTGGATTATGTAGGGACAGAAAGGGAGACTTGAGGGTTTTTTTTTGTTTTGTTTTGTTTTTTCTTCCAGTATTTAGGTTCATTGATGTACAGGGCATATGTTGTCTTCTTTTAGATTTTTCAGTGAAGTTTTGTACTCCTCTCCATAAAACTCTCACACATTTATATTTATACATATATATGTAATATATATATTATTTATTTATTGAGAAAGAGTCTTGCTTTGTTACCTAGGCTGGAGTGCAGTGGCATGATCATGGCTCACTGAAGGCTCAACCCCAAAGACTCAAGCAATCCTTCCACCTCAGCCTCCCAAGTAGCTGGGACCACAGGTGCACATTAATATGCTTGGCTAATTTTTTAATTTTTAAATTATTATTATTGTAGAGATGGGGTCTTGCTGTGTTGCCTAGGCTGGTCTCAAACTCCTGAGCTCAAGCAATTCACCTGCCTCGGCATCCCAAAGTGCTGGGATTATAGGTGTGAGCACCACTGGCTGGGCCAATGTTTTTTCTCTTATAATGTTTCTTCTGATACTTTGTGGCTATTCTGAATGTGTTCTTTTAAAAATTATCATTAGAAAGTTACTTCATTTTTCTTTTTTTCTTTTTTTTTGAGTCAGAGTCTCGCTCTGTTGCCCGGGCTGGAGTGCAGTGGCGCCATCTCGGCTCACTGCAAGCTCCGCCTCCCGGGTTCACGCCATTCTCCTGCCTTAGCCTCCCTAGTAGCTGGGACTACAGGCGCCTGCCACCGTGCCGGCTAATTTTTTGTAGTTTTAGTAGAGACGGGGTTTCATGGTGTTAGCCAGGATGGTCTCAATCTCCTTGTGATCCACCTGCCTTGGCCTCCCAAAGTGCTGAGATTACAGGCGTTACTGCATTTTTCTGCACCAGGATCTCTTTATTTTGTACTTAGGCTTTGCTTGCTCCCTCTTTGCTTTAGTTTCATCATCTGTGAAACAAAGGGGTTAGGTTAGAATAAGAAATTTCCAAAGATCTTTCTACTTCTCACAGTACGTGGTGCTGTGTCGAGGTAACGTCCTTTACATACCTCATGAAGTTAGTGCTAGTTGTACCATCCAAACCACACATAAGTTCTGTGAATACAACCAAACAGCTTTGTTCACATGTATTTGCATGTGTTTCAACTTACCGTGTTCTCTGCATAATGATTCTTCAACAGTTTGAGGTAAAGAGTGAATATTTCAGTTTAAAAATACAGTCAAAAGTATAGTTTCTTATTCTGGTGGACGTGGTTTACTACTACCTCCTCCCCCTGTGTTTTAGTTTGTTGCTGTGCTAGTTTTATTGCATATTTTCTCTCCTAAAAATAGATGGTCTTTATCTAAAGCGTAGTTTTTATAAATATTTGCATCTCAAGTAAATTTTTTCCTACCACATGGATTTCATGTGGTGAGTTCCATGAAAGCAGGTTGTGTTAAGAGGGCATTCTCCTAGTACCTGTTTATTCTTTTCCATACCTCTGCCCCAAGGATCTTGTTTACTGATGTCAGAATACTGGCAGTTTGAGTAGTACTCTTGAAGAGTTATTTTTGTATTTATTTCTGCTGGATTGAAGGAGGTAGATGTTGTACTCATTATCTCTCAGAACATCTATTCAATCCTAACCCCCAAAATATACCTTAGAAACAGGCTCTCTGTGTTTTTTTTTTTTTTTTTAATCTTTTATGAAGACATACAATACACACATTTCTCTTAGATGCTGGCCAGGAATTTGTTTGAACAAATTGAAATGGCAAGTTTTAACCCTAATTTGAATAGAGTTCCAGAAAATGAAGTTAGGGCAGAGGTTGGTGAGGGGTCATATTGGAGTGTCACTGAGCTAGTACCAATTTGTTTGTTTGTTTTGTGGTAAAATGCACATAATATAAAACTTAGCATTGTAACCATTTTTAAGTGTACGGTTCACTAGTGTTAAGTACACTTGTATAGTTGTGCAATCAATCTCCAGGACTCTTTTCATCTTGCAAAACTGAAACTCTGTACCCATTAAGTAACAACTCCTCATTTCCCCTTCCCTCCAGCCTCTGGCACCACCATTCTGCTTTCTGTTTCTATGAGTTTGAGCCAGTATTTGTTTAGCTTTTTCATTTTTGTCTTGAGAACTTGACCTTCTTTATGACAGCTAAATGGATGTTGAACATGAAGAGGAGAGTAATCCAGTAAAACTGGTAGCCACTCTTCATGATCCATGAGTGTTGGTAGTTGCCAACCCCGAAATTAGAGTATCAGTCAGTCTTCTGTAATGCAGTTTGGAAATTGCTATTCCTTGTGTTTGAGGATGATGACAATAGCTAGTGACTAACACTTACTTGGTACTTATTACATGCCTGAGGTTAGAGGAAAGACCTGCTTCTGGGAAGAAAGAGTAAAGGAAAGATTGGGTGCATGACAATGTATAGATACATAAAGGAAGTTCTTGTCTGTTTTCTCTGTTAAGCTCAAAGCTAAGTCATCTGTTGAAAGTTAGGGGGCTCAGGTTGGTTAGGAGGTTTAAATAAAGTGACAGATGTTTGCAATTACCAGGAAATGGGATAGAGACTCATCAGGGAAAGTAGAATAATACTAACAGTATTAGTGGTAATAATAACAACAACAAGAACAGCTAATAATGACTAGTTATCTGTTCTATGCCAGCTACATTTTATGTTGTAATCTTTATAGCAACCTTATTAAAGTAGTTGTTATTACAGGTAAGAGACTAAGTTGCAGAGTTAGGATGCCAGTGTCACTCTGCTGCCCCAAGCCCAGGTGTTCTTTCCTTTTTCTGCACTGTTAATGGCATTGGGAGTGTCTGCCTGACACTACAAACCAGAAGTTTAGAGTATAATTTTTAGAAATTGTTCTTCAGAGAAAGGAGGAAGAGTGGGCTGAAGTAAACGCTATATGTCTAAAATATCACAATTATGTTGACTTTTTTTTGCCACCAGAATGATTGATGCCCTTGATGGGTCATTTCACTAAATAAAGTGAGTTACCACAGCCCAGTAGAAACCCAGATCTGGTTGTGTGACCTTAATAGAGGTATCTGAAATTATAAATTGATTTTCTTCCAATAGCCCGCATCTGAAATAACTGGATTGAGGTTCATGTCAGTAAATTCTTCAATTTCTATGTAGGGAAAAATGAGGACCTTTTTGTTTGTAATTATTCTATTTATTGAACAGTTATTAGTTGTACTTCTAATCTGTACTAGAAGACTATATTACAAAGTGTTTATTTTCCCTAAACAATGGCTTCTCTTGATTCGTGTTCATTATTGCCCTAAATAAATTGAAATTTAGAAAAAGAAAAACCCAGTTTTCTTAGTATCATACATGCAAGCTTAAGTTTTCTTATTTGTTTGTTTTTATTTGACATACATGAAGGTTATTTCCAAAGATACAAATGGAGGCCAAAACAGTTTGACATAAAGCAGACCAAAACAGATTGAATTATACTGTACCTCTACACTGACTAGCATTTTGATGTCTAGATGGATAAGTAAGCATAGTGCTAATTTACAAGCGCAAACTCAACTAGTAAGATTAACTAATTTCTAGGCTGTAATGAATTTATATAAATATTCTTGTTATTCAGATGGGAAACCTCATAACTGTGCTGTAGATTAGACTTGCATTGCCTAAAACTGGAGAATGTAACTTTTTTTGTTTTTTTGACAAACCCACAGCCAGCATCATAGAGAATGTAACTTTGCCTCCCAAATCTGTGTATGTCAGATCACTTATAATTGGAGCTGCACAGTTCCCTCTTCTAGGTTTGACTCTTTAAACTTGGTAACATCTCATTAGGCTAAATGAATTCTCCATGCCCTATTGTCTGTCTTGCTATGTTGCCTAACACTTTGATTTTAACATTAGGAAAACAACTACCAATAAACATGAGATAAAACACAAAATAGATGAATACCACTAGCTTGGTAATATAAACCATTATATAACAGGGATTTGCTGCAGACTCTTTTCACACATAGAAAACTTTTCCAAAAGACATTTTTGAAGTTTCGCTATGAAGAAAGTTTGCCAGTGACTGAAAGAACCTTTTGTAGGTCCCTATTTGGGAGTGCGGTAACTGGTGCTTCTGGACTCTATACACAGAGATCCAAGGCTAGGAAAATATCTCAGGGTAAAGCTATCTAAGTTTTGTATCCAAAAGCTATTAATTTCTTCAGTTATGAGAAGAAACCACAAATTGCGTAATGGCCTTGGTATTTTGTTGGTATGGAGAGAAGGATGATCTCAGAAGACTTGTAGGCCTGTCTTGGGGTGTCTGTGGTGTGTGTGTGTGTTGCTTTTTTTCCAACTTATAAAAAAACTCAACAATCAATCTTAGCCACGTTTTTGAAACCGTAGATATTCTAAGTTAGCAAATCCAAATCAGTACACGAAACAACCATTTTTGCCAGCACCAAATGCATACTTTGCTGAGCTTTCGTATCTGGGCTCCAGAGTTTATTCATAGCAAATTCTGACATCTGCTAAGTTCTATTATGACCCAGAGGGGAGCGAAGTGAAGTAGGATGAAGAATCTGGAAACGCATGCTGCTTATAGGGTAAATTGCATTGAGGAATTTGCATCCATGTAGCCTTTCCCCTTATGGACCACTGTGACGTTTAGTAGGCTGAGCTAAAAGGTCATATTGCTCAAGATGAATAACAATAAATGGTTTGTTCAGTGACTTGTTAAGCCTACTGCCAGTGCCTACTAATAGCCAAAATAGCTATTTCTCTTCTGGGATATATGAGTTTGGCTGTCATCTTTTTGGGAATATGGTAATTTGTAGCCATCACTTTCAGTGTGGTGGGGAGATCTAACATTTAAAAGTTCTTATCCCAGTGGTTTACAGATCCCTTTTCCCCCACAAACCGCTGCTGCTTCTTTTGAACCTTGAATGCTACCATGGTTTAATTTTTTTTTTTTTTTTTTTTTTGAGTCAGGGTCTTGCTCTGTCACCCAGGCTGGAGTGCAGTGGCATGATCATGACTCACTGCAGCCCCAGCCGCCTGGACTCAAGTGCTCCTCCTGCCTCAGCCACCCAAGTAGCTGGGACTACAGGCGTGTGCCACCACACCTGGCTAATTTTTAGATGGGATTTCGCATGTTGCCCAGGCTGGTCAAGCAGTTCTCCCACCTTGGCCTCCCAAAGTGCTGGGATTACAGGTGTGAGCCCTCATGCCCGGCCTTCCTTTGCTTTGCTTTTCTTCAGTTGTGGTTCAGTTCTAGACCATGTTTACAGTAGATACAGGGGCACAGCTCCCAATAGTGTTTAAAACATGTGAAGTATCGGGGCAGAAGTTAGCACCTCTAATAAGTTTAAATTCCCTCGGATTTGCTTTATAGGAAGTATGTTAAGAACATTTTCCAGAGCATTTTCATTCAACTGATATATTTTACATAGCTGCCTTATTAAAATACAGATGTATTCTTGAAATTATTGACCAATTTTTTTTTTTGAGATAGTCTTGCTGTGTCGCCCAGGCTGGAGTGCAGTGGCACAATCTCGGCTCACTGCAACTTCTGCCTCCTGGGTTCAAGCGATTCTCTTGCCTCAGTTTCCCGAGTAGCTGGGATTACAGGCGCCCTCCAACATGCCTGGCTAATTTTTGTATTTTTAGTAGAGATGGGTTTGGCATGTTGTCCAGGCTTGTCTCGAACTCCTGACCTCAAGTGATCCATCCACCTCAGCCTTCCAAAGTGCTGGGATTACAGGTGTGAGCTACCATGCCTGGCCGATCAATTTTTTTTTTTTTTTTTGAGACAGAGTCTCGCTCTGTCGCCCAGGCTGGTGTGCAGTGGCCGAATCTTGGCTCACTGCAAGCTCCGCCTCCCGGGTTTATGCCATTCTCCTGCCTCAGCCTCCCGAGTAGCTGGGACTACAGGTGCCTGCCACCACGCCCGGCTAATTTTTTATATTTCAATTTTTAAGAAATGAAATAAGATGAATGATGAGTAATTCCTTTTTCAGTAATATAGTAGATTAGATATTCAGAGAAATCCCCTCGGGTCAGAAATTTTTTTTTTTTTTTTTTTTTTTTTTGAGACGGAGTCTCGTACCGTCACCCAGGCTGGAGTGCAGTGGTGTGATCTGAGCTCACTGCCACCTCCGCCTCCTGGGTTCAAGCGATTATCCTGCTTCAACCTCCTGAGTAACTGGGACTACAGGTGTGTGCCACCATGCTCAGCTAATTTTTGCATTTTTAATAGAGATGGTTTTCACCATGTTGGCCTTGATGTCTTGACCTTGTGATCTGCCCGCCTCAACCTCCCAAAGTGCTGGGATTACAGGTGTGAGCCAGCTGGAACATTTTTAAATGAGGCTAGGAAAGGTAAAAATGTATGAGCACATATAATATACATATAACGTTCTGGAACTAGTGTAAGAAAAATAATTGAGGCCGGGCATAGTGGCGCACGCCTGTAATCCCAGCACTTTGGGAAGCCGAGGTGGGCAAATCACGAGGTCAGGAGTTCAAGACCAGCCTGGCCAACATGGTGAAACCCTGTCTCCACTAAAAATACAAACAATTAGCTGGGCGTAGTGGTAGGCGCCTGTAATCCCAGCTACTCGGGAGGCTGAGGCAGGAGGATTGCTTGAACCCAGGAGGTGGAGGTTGCAGTGAACTGAGATTGCCCCACTGCACTCCAGCCCGGGTGACAGAGTGAGACTCCGTCTGAAAAAAAAAAAAAAGCATCATTTCATAAGGCAGAGGAAGCCCTGAAGGTGGTGGTGGTTCTGAGGGTTTCTTGTAGGATTAGAGGAAAGTGGAGGGACAAGAGACAAGTAGTACCTAAGCATAGTGGAAGGTCCTACTGGAGACTGTCCCAGATGGAACTGGGACCCTGGAGGGTGCAAGTCTTCAGTGCATGAGTAGAAAAAAGATGTCCAAGATGTCCTGCATGCAGAGACTTGCCTCTTACTGTCTTGGATCTGGTTGGAGAGGGGAAAGAAGCCTCCCATGTGATTGCCTAAGCAGACGCCCATACTCAAAGATTTGCAGTCAGATTTTATACTACCTGTGAGGACTGAAAATCTCTAAACTGAAAACTTAGTTGAAAGTATTCCTATTTGGTTATGGTTCCCAGTGTCTGGGAGAATCAAATTCATATCTCTTTTAAATTAATTAATTAATTTTAGAGACAGGGTCTTGCTATGTTGCCCAGGCTAGTGTTGAACTCCTAGGCTCAAGCAGTCCTCCTGCCCCGGCCTCCCAAAGTGCTGGGATTATAGGCATGAGCTACCACGCCTGGCGAAAACACACTTTCTAGTCAGGCCTTAAAGACTTTTAATAGAGGAAGTTGCAAGAAATGTGAGTTTGCGTAAGAAAATAAGCAACTATGAGTTGGTTATTTTGAGTCAGATGGGGCAGATTCTATTTTCCAGATATGGAAACAGTATTTCCTGACTCCTGCTCTTCTAGAACCTCACTATTGTACTATCAAGAAGTAGAATCTTTTTCTGTTGAAGCTGGGCAGTCCTTTGTGACTGCTTTGACCAAAAGAATATGACAGAAGTGATATTATTTCATTTCTGAGGCTAAGTCATAAAAATACCACACATTTCTTTATTCTCTTGGGATGCTCATTCTTGGAACCCATCAGCATACTCTGAAGAAGCCCATGGAGAGATCCATGTGGAAAGGAACTGAGGTCTCAGGCCAGTGGCACCAGCTATAGGCTTCCAGCTGATGGTCAGTACTGACTTGCCATCTTTTTAAGTAAGCGATCCTGCAAGTGGATCCTTCAGTTCTCTATCAAGCTGCCCTGGGTGATGCCATGTGGAGCAGAGGCAAGCTCTTCTCTCTAAGCCCTGAACAGATTACTAATTTGTGAGCAAAATAAGTAATTATTGTTATTTTGATCCACTAAATTTTGGAGTGGTTTGATATGCATCGATTGACAGGTAACTAAACATCGGTGGTAACCATCAGTCTTATAAAGCCTACAGATGTTTAAAGAAATAAAGGAGGAGGTTAAAAATATGATGAGGAGACTCTTAAAACTGATGAGGAAAATATGGAAGAAGAACTCAGTCTCTGTAGAACTTCTAGAAATAAAAAACATGCAGATGCCCCCAGACTTATGATGATGATCTGATTGTAATTTTTCTTTCTTTATTTCTTTTTTTTTTTCGAGACAGGGTCTTGCTCTGTTGCCCAGCTGGAATGCAGTGGCATGATCTCAGCTCACTGCAGCCTCCGCCTCCTAGGTTCAAGTGATCCTCCCACCTCAGTCTCCCTAGTAGCTAGGAATACAGGCAGGCACCACTATACTCAGCAAGTTTTTTATTTTTAGTAGAGACAGGGTTTTACCATGTTGCCCAGGCTGGTCTTGAGCTCCTGAGCTCAAGTGATCTGCCCACTTCGGCCTCCCGAAGTGCTGGCATTATAGGCATGAGCCACCTCAGCTGACCTGATTATGATTTTTCAACTTTACGATGGTGTGAAAGTGATATTCATTCAGTAGAAATTATACTTCAGTACAGTATTCATGAAATATTCAGCACTTTATTGTAAAATAGGCCTTGTGTTAGAATTCAAGCTGTCTAAACCACCTTGTTTTGTTTTGTTTTGTTTTAGGCTTTTAGCAGTGTGAAGCCATTGTTTTTAGTTTCTCTCTCTAGTGATAAGCGGAAAAGAGGGTTGAGGAAGGGGCTTTACCGAACCAACCAGAAACAGGAACTAAGAACCCAAGCCTGTGTTCCCTCCCTTGGACACCCCTGTAAGATGATTTTGCTCAGTCGTAGGCTAACATCAGTGTTCTGAGCATATTTAAGGTGGACCAGGCTATGATGTTTGGTAGGCTAGGTGTATTAAATGCATTTTTGACTTAGTAATATTTCAACTTATGATGGGTTTATAAGGACATAAGCCCCTTGTAAATTGAGGAGCATTTGCAGCGAAAAATACAGTGGAAAGAGGATACAGAGTAGAGTAAATTAATGAACTGGAAAATGGATCTGAAGAAAATTTCTAGAATTTAGTACAGAGAAAGAAGAGATGGAACATATGAGAGGTTTAGTGACATAGAGAATGAGACGATAACATCTGTCTGATCTAGTGGATCCCAAACTTTTTAAATCTTAGGATCCCTTATGCCTTATGCTCTCTCTCTCTCTTTTTTTTCTTTGTTTGTTGGAGATGGAGTCTTGCTCTGTTGGCCAGGCTAGAGTGCACTGGCATGATCTTGGCTCACTGCAAACTCCACCTCCCAGGTTCAAACGATTCTCCTGCTTCAGCCTCCCAAGTAACTGGGACTACAGGTGTCCATTACCACGCCTGGCTAGTTTTTGTATTTTTAGTAGAGATGAGGTCTTGCCATGTTGGTCAGTCTGGTCTTGAACTCCTGACCTCAAGTGATCTGCCCACCTTGGCCTCCCACAGTGCTGGGATTATAGGCATGAGCCACTGCACCCAGCCTACTCTTTAAAATTATTGAGGACCCAAATTGCTTTTGTTTATGTGAGTTACACTTATAATTTGGCCACATTTTTGCATATATGTTATAGATCCATTAAAAGTTTACTTTAAAAAAGAAACATCATAGAGTGAGAAGGTGAGCCACAACTTGGGAAATGTACTAACAAAGGTTTGTTAGCCAGAATATAAAAGAACTCCTCAAATAAAAAAAAAAATTAGGAAAAATGGAAATAGGAAAGTCATGAAAAAGTTAATTTTACAGGAGTAGAAACAAATGGTTCATGAACATATGAAAGATCCTCAACCCTTTTAGTAATCAAGAAAATGCAAATTAAAATGGCAAGGAACTGTCTATCTCCTGCTCGTCTCCTTTCCCCCACCAAACAGGGAAAAATTAAAAATATAGTTACAGTTGTTAGAGATGATATGAGCAGTAGGAGCAGTCATACTGTTAGGTACCTTCATTTTTGAAAACAATTTGGCTTTACCTAGTGATGCCTAGGTATGTCCCCTAGTGAAATTCTTGTGCGCATGGCTTAAGAGACATATGTAAGAATATTTTAATTATTGTTCATAGTAGCTAAAAATCCAAACAACTCAAATGTCTAGCAACTGTAAAGCATAAATACAGTTGGTATATTTATAAAAGGGTGACCTCTGAGCATAAAAGGAATTTAAGTGCCACTACATGCATCTTCGTAGAGGAATATTCCAAAATAGTGGGGATCAAAAAAGGCAGTTAGAAATAATAAATACGGGGTGGGTGCAGTGGTACAGGCCTGTAATCCCAGCACTTTGGGAGGCTGAGGCAGGAGGATCCCTTGAGCCCAGGAGTTCAAGACCAGCTTGGGCAACATAGCAAGACCCTTTCCCTACAACAAATTAAAAAAAATATTATCTGGGCATGGTGGTGTGTACCCGTATTTCTAGTTACTCAGAAGGCTGAGGTGGAAGGATCTCTTGAGCCCAGGAGTTTACAGCTACAGTGAGTTATGCTCATATCACTCCACTCCAGCCTGTACATCATTGTGAGACCCTGCCTCAAAAAAAAAACGAGTATGATTCTATTTGCATAAAGTTTAGATGCAGGCAAATCTAAACAATATGTTGTTTGGGGATACATATATGGTAAGATTATAAAGAAAAGCAAATGAACAAACTTCAGGATGGTGGTTTTCTTGGAGTGGGATGAGGTGGTACTGGGGAATGGAAGAGTACGTAGGAACTATGGTTTGAATATGACATATTTTACAATAAAATTTTTTATAAGCTTGTTGTTGAAAGGAACCCTGAGGTGATTCTTTTTTCTGAAGAAGACTTTTGGTAATGCGGATAGTAATTTTTTTTTTTTGAGACGGAGTCTCTGTCACCAAGGCTGGAGTGCAGTGGTGCGATTTCGGCTCACCACAACCTCCGCCTCCCCGGTTCAAGCAATTCTCCTGCCTCAGCCTCCTGAGTAGCTGGGACTACAGGTGCATGCCACCATGCCCAGCTAAGTTTTTGTAATTTTAGTAGAGATGGGGTTTCACCGTGTTAGCCAGGACGGTCTCGATCTCCTGACCTCGTGATCCACCCGCCTCGGCCTCCCAAAGTGCTGGGATTACAGGCGTGAGCCACCGCACCCGGCTTGCAGATAGTAATTCTTAATCTTTTGGTACATGCTCTTGCACATAAAGTTTTACAGTAAATATATTTTTCATTTTTTTCCTGAATTTCTTTATGTCAACCTTGCTAAATAGAGAGCGTGCCTAGGAAGAAGATGAAACTAGGAGAATTCATCCACAAGCTTAAGTTCAATGGTTGTAGCCTTAGAATGAGAAATTAGGCCTTTTATTCTACCTGTCTTAAAATTAGCTTATTATTGTTAAAAACCAAAGACTGTTTCTTAGTTTGTTTATTTTTATTTTTTGTTCAGGAGCAGAAGCACTCTTTTGCCCCTAGCCCTAGCCTGCATCTGCTGTTTGTTAAATACCTCCATGAATTGACATCTCTTCCTTTTCCGAAGGAATGTGAAACCCAATAATTACACACAGACCTGACCTACTTTGGAAGAACCAGAGGACAAAGAAACCCTAGATTTCTTCGTCTTTTTTTAACTAAAAAGCAGAGATTTTTGGGAGGCGAGGGCCAGAACTTCCTGTATCTATTCTTCTTTGAAGAGCCCAACTCACCTAAGAAATTTCTGGCTGGGCATGATGGCTCATGGTTGTAATCCCAGCACTTTGTGGGACTGAGGAGGGAGGATGCCTTGAGCCCAGGAGTTCAAAACCATTCCAGGCAACATAACGAGACTCTGTCTGTATGAAAAGGAAGGAAGGGAGGGAGGGAGGGAGGGAGGGAGGGAGGGAGGAAGAAGAGAGAAGTTTTCCCTTGTGTGTGCTGCTTGTAGGCTAGTGGACTTGATTCTAATGAAGCCTTTGCATGTCTGCTGATCCGGAAATATTTGGCCTTTTCCCAAGGCTCTATGGCTTTGGGAAAATAATGATGAAATACCTATTTATTTTTTATTTTTAATTGTCCTATTTTATATGTTTGATTTTTGTAAACACCTCAGCCCTTTTTAAAAAGAAATAGTTGGAATATAAACATATATTCTCATTAATTAATAAATCAGCTGGATGACTAGTCCAAACTATTATTCCATTATCATTGTCACTGCCCTGTAACTTATTTTAGTTCTGTGTTAGTTATATTTACCTGTTGTTATTTTGCTAATTTGATAGTTTATTGTGAAAACAATTTTTAATATTTGTCTACTGACATTTTTTAAAATAGAAAAAAATTCTCCTAAACCACAATCAGAAATCTTTTCATTTGATTCATTAACAGTTACTAAAACACCACAACTGCGTTCTGGGTCCTAGGCCCTGTAGGGGGGCTCACACAACTTCACTAAACACCAGCCTTAGCAGAGGAAGATAACTATCAATATCTGGAATGTCAAGAACTAGAAGAAACAAGATAATGTGGTCCTAGCAGACAGATAAATGGGATAGATTCAAGAATTCAGAAATAAAACCTTACACTTATGGTCATTTGACTTTTGTTAAGTCTGCAAAGATAATTCATTGGAGAAAGAAGAGTCTTTTCACCAAACAGTGCTGGAATAAGTGTATATCCATGTTCAAAAGAATGAAGTTGGACCTTTGCTTTATACCATATGCAAAAATTAACTTCAAGTGGACCACAAAACTCTCTAAGAGTTTTCATAGAGTTTTATAGTTTTAGCTCTCACATTTATGAAGAGAAGAAAACATACGAGCAAACCTTCCTGATTTGGAGTTAGGCAGTGGTTTCTTAAATAGACTACCAAAAGCAGAAGGGACAAAGGGAAAAATAGATAAATGGACTACATCAAAATTAAAAACTTTTGTTCTGCAGACAATACCATCAGAAAATTGATGACAACCCATAGAATGGAAGAAAATGTTTGCAAATCGTACATCTGATAAGGGACTTGTATCTAGAATATATAAAAACTTTTATAACTCAATAGTAAAAAGTCTAATAATTTAAAAATAGAGGAAAGATTTCAATGTGTAATGCCCCTCAAAGTGTATGCAGTTAGTCCACAAACACATGGAAAGATTCTCAGCATCATTAGTCATTAGGAAAATGCAAATGAAATCCTCAATGAGATACCACGTATCCACTAAGATGGCTGTAATAAAAAAAGATGGACAATAACAAGTGTTGGTTAGGATATGTGGAAAGTAGAACTTTCTGGCATTGCTGGTGAGAGAGAATTTAATGATGCAGCAGCTTTGTCATTTCTTCAAAATGTTTAATGTTCCAAAAAATGTTAAAAGTGGAATTACCATATAACCCAGCAATTCCACTGGTAGGTATAAACCCAAGATAAGTGAAAACACATTCACATAAAAATTTTATGAATGTTCATGGCAGCATTATTCATAATAGCCAAAAAGCAGAACAACCAAAATGTCCATCAACTAAAGAATGGATAATTAAAATTAATATATCCATACAATGGAATATTATTTGGCAATAAAAAGTAATGAAGTACTGATACATGCTGCAAGGTGAATGCCCCTTGAAAACATTATGCCAAGTAAAAGAAACAAGTCACAAAAGGACCAGATATTGTATGATCTCATTGAGATGAAATATTTAGTATAGGCAAATTTATAGAAAGAAAGTGGATTAGTGGTTGCCTAGGGCTGGTGGAGGGATAGGAGTGGGGGAATGAGGAGTGACAGCTAAACAGGTATGAGGTTTTTTTCAGTCGGAACAAAAATGTTCAGTTAGATTGTGATGGTTGCACTATCCTGTGAATTTATAAAACACGTTGAATTTTACACTTTAAATTGGTGAATTGCATGGTATGTGAATATCTCAATAAAGCTGCTTTTTTTTTTAAATAACTAGAATACAAAGAAAGCAGGGAAATTCTTGCTGAGGAGAAATACTAATGTGATTATTTGTCTTGTTAATGAATTTCATGTCCTCGTTCGGGCTAAATATTTGTCAATTTTTAAAAAAATCTACTTTCAGAAAGAGTTTCAGGTATCTTTAACAGAAGATCAACAGATTAAAACAAATTTAAAAGAATTAGGGCCAAATAGTCTAGGGAAGAGGAGAGATGGATACTATTTTACCAGAAAACTTAGGCTAAGTAGAGCTACCACAGTTCACTTAGCTTTTGCTTTCTGGCAGTACAGGCCAACAAGAAAACATGGATTCCTTAACTAACATTATTAAATAAAAGGAAAAAATACAATTGAGAAAACCGATTTCCCAGCACCACACTGTAAGTCAAAACTTAATACCCTGTGACTTGATATCAGGTTCACAAAACTATGTCTAAAAGAAAAATTCTTCAATAATACATTTTTAAAAAAGATTTCAAGGCCAGGTACGGTGGCTTATACCTGTAATCCCAGCACTTTGGGAGTCCAAGGCAGATCACTTACAGCCAGGAGTTTGAGTCCAGCCTGGGCAATATAACAAGACACTGTCTCTACAAAAACAAACAAACAAACAAACAGAAACCCCTATGGTGGCACATGCCTGTAGGCCCAGTCGCTGGGGAGGATCACTTGAGGCCAGGAGGTTGAGGCTGTAGTGAACTGTGATCGTGCCACTGTACTCCAGCCTGGGTGACAAAGACCCTGTTTCAAAAGGGGGAAAAAAAGGGTTCCAAAGTGTTCTTTATATGGAAACCATTTTGATTCTGGATATAGGTCTAGTGAGTCTAGTGAAGAAATGTTGTTTGTTAAGCGATCTGGTTACTTGAACTGACGGAAAGCAGAAAGCTGTTGTTTAGTCTGGTATCTCCAACATTAAATAGAAGTTTCCTAACAAAACAATTTAAGACTGAATTTGAATGTAGTGCTAGAAGAGCAGAGCATTCCATTATGATGTTTGCAGTTAACTATTTTAGAATAGCTTTAGATGTGTAGAAAAATTGCAGATACAGTACAGAGGTCCCAAATACCCCACGGTCAGTTTCCTCTATTCTTATTATCTTACAGTAATATGATACATTTGTCATAATTAATGGACCAATATTAGTACATCCTTATTAAAGTTCATACTTTACTCAAATTCCGTTAGTTTTTACCAAAATGTCCTTTTTCTGTGTCAGGATCTTGTCCAGGATACCACACGCCATTTAGTCACCATGTCTCCTTAGGTTTCTCTTAGCTGTGACAGTTTCTCAGTCTTTTCTTGTTTTTGATGACCTTAATGGTTTTGAGTAGTACTGGTCAGGTATTGTAGAATGCTCCTCAGTTGGAATTTGTCTGATGTCTTTGTCATGATTAGATTGGGGTTATAGGTTTTGAGTGGTAAGATAACCAAGGTAAAGCGCCATTTTCATCACATCATACCAAGGGCACATACTATCAACATGACTTATTACTGTTGATGCTAACCTTGATCACCTGGCTCAGGTAGTGTTTGTCAAGTTTTTCCACTGTAAAGTTCTTTCTTTCCCCCCCTTTCATAATGTACTGTCTGGAAGGAAGTCATTAGATGCACATGCTTTTGATAGCATTTTGTGCAATTGAAAAAAGTAACTTTGTTTGGTAAACTAAGGAGCCTGACATATTTACTTTTCCAGTGGAGAGCTTACCTATGTTTACACAGAGTTTGCTGGAATCTCTACAAGTAAGGCTAAAGCAAAGCTTTTCTCAAGAAAGAGCTTTAGTTTTGTTCACATGCTTGAACTCTTGCTTGAAACTGCTACAGTTCTGTACTATAAATTATGGAAGAGATTTCCTTGGCCTAGAATTTCTTGGAGATGATAGTTGTCTACCTTATAAAGAACCATGAGCTGTTAGTTTTCTATTACTATGTAGCAACCTGCCACAAATTTAGCAGCTTAAAGCAGCACACATTTACTGTCTTACAGTTTCCATGGGTCTTGAGTCCTGGCATGGCTTAGCTGAGCCCTCTGCTCAGGGTCTCAGAAGGCTGTACAGTATTAAATGGACTGCATTGTCACCTGGAGGCTTAACTGGGAAAGTAGTTACTTACGAGATCGTTCAGGTAGTTGGTAGAATTGCTTTATGAGTGAGGATCCCAGCTTTTTGTTGGCTGTTGGCTGGGGCTTCTAAAGAGACTGATCCTAGAGAGACTGCCCGCAGTTCTTTGATGCCACCCACAGTTCCTTTTCCTGAGGGCTTCCGTAACATGGCCATTTACTTCATTAAGCTCTCTAGCTCCACTTGGAAGAAAGGGAGGATATTACATAAAGGCATGAATAGGTCTGTCATTATGTGTGTGTGTGTGTGTATGTGTGTGTGAGAGAGAACCATTGGGGGCCAGTCATCATGGGGTCTGTTTGTCACACAGAATATGACTTTTATTTTTATTTTTAATTTTTTTTGAGGGTACATAGTAGGTGTATATATTTCATAATATGACTTCTGAAGAGAATATTTAATTTTGAGTAGGACTGCATCCAGTAAGTCTGTCTTGATGAAAATTAGTCACAGAGTACATCCCAAATGTTAGTTTAACCCAATAGAGCTGGTTGTAGTAAAAAGAATAAACTTTACTTTTAAAAATATTGGGTACAAGGTTAAATGGAGGTAGGTAGAGCTGTTCAATGCAGCATACCAGCTGGGGATGAAGAAAGAAGTTGGAGGATAGGTGAAATACGGGGATATGTTTTCCTTGTTTCAAAATTTTGCTAAAGTCTGATGCTGTCAGTCATCCATTCTTTTATTAGTCAATTATCTCTGTTTATATTTAACAACTCATTACCATAAAATCTACTTTTGAGAAGGAGCAAAACATAATGAAGTGGAGGGCTCAGGTTCTTGAGCTCGACTGTCTGGCTTCGATTCCTGCCTCTGCCATTCAGTACTGTATATCCAGGGCACATAACTTCATTGGTAGGTGTCTCAGAAACATCTGTAAAATGAGAATAATAGTACCTACTCCATAGGGTTGTTGTATGGGTTAAGAGTTAATGCCTGTAATTATTCTTTTCTTTTTTTTTTTTTTTTGAGACCGAGTCTCGCTCTGTTGCCCAGGCTGGAGTGCAGTGAGGCGATCTCAGCTCTCTGCAGCCTCCGCCCCTCCAGGTTTAAGCAGTTCTCTGCTCAGCCTCTGGAGTAGCTGGGATTACAGGCGCGTGCCACCACGCCCAGGTAATTTTTCGTATTTTTAGTAGAGACGGGATTTCACCATCTTGGCCAAGCTGGTCTTGAACTCCTGACCTCGTGATCCACCCGCCTCGGCCTCCCAAAGTGCTGGGATTACAGGCGTGAGCCACCACGCCTGGCCATTATTCCTCATTTTTTTCAAGTGCAGTAAAGATGTCATAGTTATGTTTAAAAAAAGAGAAAGACTCCTGTTTGAGGTATATTGAAGTAGTTACAGATGAAATGATACGGTGATTGGGATTTTGGAGAAACTTGGTAGAGATATAGATAAAACAATTGACTATAAAGTAATAATTCTTGAAGCTGATTGATGCTTTGAATTATTTTATTGTCTACTTTTGTTAATATTTGAAAATTTTCATTACAAAAAGTAACAAAAAAATTTAGTGCCTTGGGACATATTAGGTGCTCAGTATATTTTACCTATTCTTACTATGCTTATGTTTAATATATTGGAATTAACTAGTCTAAAACAAAAAATATAAAACAAACTAAAATTGACTCTTTGAGTTTCTCATTTCTAAGTGAGAAATTTGATAATGGAAACATCGTCAAATTTGGCTGACATTGGATTATGCAACATTTCTTAGACTCGGATTCTTGGTTTCTGTGTTCATGTCTTTCTGGTGTGGTTGTAATTTACAGTTTAATTAATTTGACCTACTTGTTGCCCGTTTCACATTCCATTTAATTTAGTCTGCCATTGTTTGTTCTGTAAGTGGGATGGAAATTAATGTCAATATTATTATTTAGTGTTCTTAGTTTTAACAGTGGGAAACATTGACTTTACCAATAGTGAAAATATTAGCAAATGCCAAGGCTTTTCTGGGCAAACAGTGGTGTTATGCTTTAGTTTTAATGTATTTAATTGAGGAAAGAAACACTTATTCACCAAGGTTATCTCAAATGTGGTAAATGCAGTTTTCTGCTTATTATCATATGGTCCTACATTATATAGCACTGTAAAACTAGATGACTTAGGGCTGGGTGTGGTGACTCATGCCTGTAACCCCAGTGCTTTGGGAGCCTGAGGTGGGAGGATTGCTTGAGGCCAGGAGTTCCAGATCAGCTTGGGCAAAAGAGCAAGACCCTTCTCTTAAAAAAAATTAATTTAGCTGGGCATGGTAGTACATGCCTGTAGTCCTGACTACTCAGGAGGCTGAGGTGGAGGATCTCTTGAGGCCAGGAGTTTGAGGCTGCAGTGAGCTATTATCACATCATTGCACTCCAGCGTGGTCAACGGAGCAAGACTCTGTCTCTAAAAGAAATAACAAATACAGCCGGGCGTGGTGGCTCATGCCTGTTATCCTAGCACTTTGGGAGGCTGAGGCAGGAGGATTGCTTGAGCCCGGGAGTTTGAGAGCAGCCTGGACTATAGTGAGACCTCATCTTTACAAAAATAAGTAAATAATAAACAGATAAGAGAAAATAAAAGAAATAATAACTAAAACTAAATGGCTTGATTACTTTAACTAACCAAGATTGAGAGTTGTATGACTAGTAGTGATTCTGATTTATGTGAATGAACCCTTAGGACTTAAATGTCAATTTAAAAACTTAAAAAAGTCAAAACCCAAGTCTCCCAGAGTTCGAATTAGGAATTGGCACAGTGAGAACCTTATCTTGATAACTCTCTTTCTTTCTTTTTTATAGTCAGGGTCTCACTCTGTCACCCAGGCTAGGAGTGTAGTGGCTTGATCACAACTCACTGCAGCCTTGACCTCCGGAGCTCAAGCAGTTCTTGTGCCCCAGCCTCCCAAAATGCTGGGACCACAGGCACATGCTAATGTGCCCAACCAATTTGAAATTTTTTTTGTAGAGACAGGATTCCACTATGTTGCCTAGGCTGGTCTGAAGCTCCTGGGCTTAAGCGATCATCTCACCTTGGCCTCCCAAAGTGCTGGGATTGCAGGTGTGAGCCACTGTGCCCAGCTGATACCTCTGCTTTCAAGTCATGTAATAGATGAAAACATTGAGGATTAGAGGGGTAAAGTGATTTTCCCAAGGTCACAAACATATCTTAGAGATACAGCTGGAAATTGAACTCTCAATCTCAGCACCCACTGCATTCGTCTTTTTGCTGTCACAGTGATTTCCAAACTGTTCTGCAGAGCCCTAGGCTTCTAAAAAGTTTTGTCTGTAACCAGGATGGATACTCTTTTTTCTGTCTTATGTGTTAGGGTTTATGTGTGATTTTGTTCAGAAGGAAAAAGTTTCTACTGCTGTGTATGATCATTTTTATATCCTTCCTACACTCTGAGCTCCTTATTCTGTGCTGTTTTCTACCCAGAAAAGTACATTTGATTCATTGAAGGGATTTTTTTTTACTTAGTTTCAAAAAATGCCAACTTGATCTCTTAGTTTCAAAAAATGCCAACTTGATCTATCAAGAAACCTGTGACCCAGAGACCTCAGGAAAGTTGCACAAAGACTTTTAAATATGGAGGGATAATTAGTTTTATTATGACATTATTATCAATTAACATTTTACTTCCTTCTAGCTCTCTACATTTTCATTTTCTCATCTCATAAATCTCATTCCTTATGATTTTTTGGTGGGGATGTGTTACTTACGGTCTCTTATTTTCCTAGAACAATATTTATGCAAATATGTCTTTTTTTTTTTTTTTTTTTTTTTGAGACGGAGTCTTGCTCTGTCTCCCAGGCTGGAGTGCGGTGGTGCCATCTCGGCTCACTGCAAGCTCCGCCTCCTGGGTTCACGCCATTCTTCTGCCTCAGCCTCCCGAGTAGCTGGGACTACAGGCGCCTGCCACTACGCCCAGCTAATTTTTTGTATTTTCAGTAGAGACGAGGTTTCACCGTGTTAGCCAGGATGGTCTCAATCTCCTGACCTTGTGATCCACCCGCCTCGGCCTCCCAAAATGCTGGGATTACAGGCATGAGCCACCGCGTCGGCCGTCTGTCTATCTTAAATGAAACTATTTCTGATATCTGGAGATTCTTTTGGATCTCATTGGCAATGAATTAGGGGTCATGTTAATTGGCTTAAAAGTAGTATTGTCATAAGACATAAAAGAGGGGCTAATAGTATAATAGTTGGGTTTTACTTAAATTGTGGATGCTTTTAATGATTTTTAAAAACCCACAATGTTATTAACTATACTCAATACTTTAATGAATTGATACACAGTTACGACAATTTCCTTTACATAAAATCCTTGGTTCTACCTTAGCATCTTTTTGAAATTCTACACTTGTACTCTAATGCAAATTTAGGACCATCAGAGAAGGTCAGTATTTAGGATGTCTGTAATCCTGCTACAGGAAAACACAAAGAATCTTGTTAAATGTTAACTCTGTTATATTAAGCATATACTTCATGTAGCTGTCTTTTGACATCTGTTGTGGCTATGTTTAACCTATATAATAATTTTATATTTCAGTGGAATCATTCTCAGTTTTTTCTATGGCAATGTTGTTTATCAGTTGTCCGCTTACCACCTTTAAAATAAATATCAGAAATTTGGCCAGGCACGGTGGCTCACACCTGTCATCCCAGCCCTTTGGGAGGCCAAGGTGTGTGGATCACAAGGTTAGGAGTTTGAGACCAGCCTGGCCAGCATGGTGAAACCCCATCTCTACTAAAAATACAAAAAATTAGCCGGGCATGGTGGTGCGCGCCTGTAGTCCCAGCTACTTGGGAGGCTGAGGCAGGAGAATTGCCCGAACCCAGGAGGTGGAGGTTGCAGTGAGCCGAGATGGCGCCACTGTACTCCAGTCTGGGAGACAGAGCGAGATTCCATCTCAAAAAACAAAAACAAAAAAACCCAGAAATTTAAGAATTAATTAATGTTTACTATTAGACTTCCAGGGATTGATTTAAGTTACTTAAATTACACTATTCATCACATGAAATGCAAACATTCATTATGGAAATAACATTTGTTTGACTTGAAAATGTGATGATTACTAAATATAAGGAACTCATTGAAACTGGAATAAATGCACAAGCCATCACACAAAACATTCCATTTTGAAGGAATCCCAGAGGGGCATTATCTGTCAGCGCTGGTAGTGTGCACCTGTTCTTCGGAAAACACCTTGGAAGGTAGTTGGTGCCATGTTCCTGATGGGCACAGGGAGGCTGGCTTCTTACTCCAGGCTGCTCAGGGAAGATAGTCTGGTATCATAAACATCCAGACAAGAAATGCATGATTTCACAACGATGCACCTTTTGACAAACAATGAGCACACTACTGACATCCGAGGATGCATTACAAGTGAGACTTTCAGAAATAGGAGGATGAAATGCAGTCTGAAAATGGATATTGCTTCCTGTTTTTCCTTAGTCTTCATTGTCAAATAATTGGGAGATGTCAAGAGATGAGGGTTTAGGATAGTTTTTCAACTGTTTTCTGTTTCCTTGGTTCACTCAGCTCCTGCTACTTCACGCAGACTGTGTTATTAGTCCTTGAGGGCATATTGATATAATTTAAAACAATTTAAAATATGAACTGTTGCTGATTTTGTTCAACAGGAACAGCACTACCATTGTAAGGTTAGCAAGATACCCAATATAATAAATCTCCATAGGGGAAGTTTAAGAAAATTATGTTACGGCAGTTGAGTTCAGCTCTCTTTTCAGCTGGAGCCTTAAGTCTTGGAGCGTTCTAGGTTCTACATCTAAATGTGCTTAACAGTACACAGGCTTCTTGACAAATGCTGTTCTTGGGAAGAGTACAATCCTTCTGTGAGTCTGTGTTATTTTTACCTGTGAGTTGGCATTCCAGGAAAGAGTAGCATGTACTCATTAAGAAAATTCATCTTAAAATTTATTCAGCTTTTTGTCTTCTGACAACCTTGTATTTTAGGCCCTATTGCCAAGTTATTTCCCGTCTTTCTGTCCTGGGACTAAAGTTTCTTTTTTTCTTTTCTTTTTCTTTTTCTTTTTCTTTTTTTTTTTGAAACAGAGTCTTGCTCTGTCACCAGGCTGGAGTGCAGTGGTGTGATCTTGACTCACTGCAACCTCCACCTTCCTGGTTCAAGCAATTCCCCTGCCTCAGCCTCCCAAGTAGCTGGGGCTACAGGCCCACGCCACCATGCTTGGCTAATTTTTTTTTTGTATTTTTAGTAGAGACGGGGTTTCACCATGTTGGCCAGACTGATCTCAAACTCCTGACCCCAGGCAGTCCGCCCACCTCGGCCTCCCAAAGTGCAAAATTTCATTTTTTATAGTTTAATTTCCCACCATAACTTTGACATTTTTCTTTGGAAATAAACTACTTTTTTAAAAATTTCAAAATATTTCTATAAGTTGTAGGTTGAACACCCCTAATTCAAAAACGAAAAATGCCCCCAAATCTTAAACTCTTTGAGTGCCAACATGACACCATGTGGAAAATTCTATGCATAAGCACTTAATACAAACTTGTTTTTAATGCACAAGATTATTTAAAATATTGTGTAAAATTACCTTCAAGCTATGTGTATAAGGTGTATATGAAACATAACGTTTTGGATAAGGGATATTCAACCTGTATTGTTATTCTTATTATTTTTATTGTTTTATTTTTTGAAATGGGGTCTCCCTCTCGCCCAGGCTGGAGTGCAGTGGCGTGATCACAGCCCACTATAGCCTTGAGCTCTTGGACTCAAATGATCTTCCCACCTCAGTCTCCTGAGTACTAGGACTACAGGCATATGCCATCATGGCTGGATAATTTTTAAAAAATTTTTTGTAGAGTTGGGGGTCTTGCTGTGTTGCCCAGGCCGGTCTCGAACTCCTGGGATTACAGCATGAGCCACCAGGCCGGCCTATTTTGTCATTATGCCACTTTCTTAGACAGTGTTCTTTGGTTGCCATTTTGAACTATTAGAACTGCCTTGTTAAACCATTTAGCTTTTGCCCTTTTCTTCCCCAGATCCCTAATACTTTTCTGCCCAATCCTTTCTCTCTATTCAGAGTGTTTCCTGTTTGTCCTACATTCTCTTTCTGTCCTCCTTCTTTCCTGCTCTTCCCTCTTTTTTTTTTTGAGACGGAGTCTTGCTCTGTCACCCAGGCTGGCATGTAGTGGTGTCATCTCGGCTCACTGCAACCTCCACCTCCCAGGTTCAGGCGATTCTCCTGCCTTAGTCTCCCAAGTAGCTGGGACTACAGGCATACACCACCATGTTTGGCTAATTTATATATATATATATATATATATATATATATATATATATATATATATATTTTAGCAGAGACGGGTTTTCACCATGTTAGAGAGGCTGGTCTTGAACTCCTGACTTCAAGTGATCTGCCCGCCTCAGCCTCCCAAAGTGCTAGGATTACAGGTGTGAGCCCTGCACCTGGCCTCTTCCCTCTCTTTTTTTTAGGGCTTTGAGGCATCCTTTTCAACAGCTCCTTAACCTTAAAATTAAGCCATCAATCCCATTCTAAGTATCTCCCTCTTAAACTTCTGCAATTTGTTTAATCTGAAATAAACACCTGAAAATAGAAAATTGAATATCTATATTTTGTAAATAATCCTGATTGACCTTTATTTTTATTGTCAACTCTCTTTTCCTCCACTCCTTTTTTTTAAAAAAAAAAAATTGTTGAATACATTTAAGTGATAAACCTGTAGGACAAGAGTTGATTTAACTATAAAACATTGTTGGCACTTTGCAACAATAACAATCATGTCAGTATGCCTGAGAGAGTTGCTCATAATATTGGAGACACTCGTAGGCTTCTGTTTTCTGAGAGGGTAAATGTCAACCAGATGGGAATTACTGGAACTGAGAAATCATTTTCTTTTTGTCTTTAAAAATTTCTCTTCTATATCTTGAATTTCAAGTAATCACAGAAAATTTCCTTTGCTTCAGATACCATTTACTAATTTTGCACAGTATACCATTTTCCAACTTATTTTCCCACTTTCAGTAAACTTTCTGTTCTCTATCCAGACATTGGAAATGCATGAACTATTTTACAGTCACCATTCAGTACAGCCTAGAGGGCAGAAAAATAAAAGTTCAACCACTCACCTAAAAAGCACTATACATTTTATTGTATTTTATTATTATTATTATTATTATTTTTGAGATGGAGTTTCGCTCTTGTTGCCCTGGCTGGAGTGCAGCGGCGCCATCTCGGCTCACTGCAACCTCCGCCTCCTGGGTTCAAGCGATTCTCCCTGCCTCAGCCTCCCAAGTAGCTGGGATTACAGGTGCCCACCACCACACCTGGCTAATTTTTGTATTTTTAGTAGAGGTGGGGTTTCACCATGTTGGCCAGGCTGGTCTCGAGCTCCTGACCTCAAGTGATCTGCCTACCTCGGCCTCCCAAAGTGCTGGGATTAGAGGCATGAGCCACCGTGCCTGGAGTGCTATACATTTTAAATTATAGTTGTTAACCACTTTCTGTGGAGTTTATTGAAAGCTGCCTGACCCTTATCTTTGCTGGCCATGTAGAGTCCTTGTGTCTCGAGTTGGCTAGCATCCTTGCATCCCAGCCATTCCTTAGGCTTGACAGCTGCATATTTTCCCAGAAACAGTTGTGATTGGTGTGTATAATGAATAGAATAACCTGTTCTTTCCAAATATACATCCCTGTTTTGCCCCTTAGTACTTGATTTGACTAATTGTTTCAAGCTGAAATATAGACTTCAATTAAAAAATTGGAAGCCAGGTGTGGTGGCTGTTGCGTGTAACCCCAGCACTTTAGGAGACTGAGGTGGGAGGATCCATTGAGACCAGCCTGGGCAACATAGTGAGACCCTGTTGCTACAGAAAATTAAAAAATATATATTATCCAGGTGTGGTGGTGTGTCCCTGTAGTCCCAGCTACTCAGAAGGCTGAGGTGAGAGAATGGCTTCAGCCCAGAAGGTTGAGGCTGCAGCGAGCTATGGTCGTGTCACTGCACTCCAGCCTGGGTAACAGTGCAGACGTTAGGATCTTCCCAAGAATGTGGCCAGCCTACATCCTGACCTTGGTCATGTGGCACGTTATTAATCATGGCCATTTAATGTGTAACAGGTTGCATTCAAGAGCCTAGCTTGTGTTGGTTTGGGGTTCTTTTAAATTTGTTTTCTGTTGACAATTCTATTTTCTAGTAAATTTTAAATAAAAATGTTTTTTCATTAAGGCTGATTCCAAAGGTACTTAAGTTCCTTTCTAGCCAGCCATTCTTAGCTGGGTCCTGTGAAAGCATTATGCCCTATAGAAAAGAAAATTGAGTGACTATTTTCTCAGTTCTCCCAAACATGGTACTATTCTAGATGCATTGAAGAGAAGTCAATTCATTACATACAGTGATGCTTTAAGGGCAGTTGTTCTCAGAGTTTGATTCAGGGATGTCATAGACTCCAATACTGTTTCAGTGGGTCCCCTAGGTCAAAACCATTTTTAAAGAAATGCCACAACATTATTTTCACTTTTCATTCATAGTCTCTCACAATTATAAAATAGAGATTTCCAGAGACTATGCTATGTATGATGCTGCAATTGCTCTGATGACCAAGGAGATGTGTGGTTGTATACACGTGTCTTTTAAATTTTTGTCTTAATTTCTGATTTTTAATTTGATTTCTAAGCAAATATTGAAAGATATTACTCACATAATCAAAACTTCTTTGAAGTTTCTCCTAACTTTTAAGAGAAGGAGTCCTGAGACCAAACAGTTTGGGAACTGCTGTCTTAAGGCTGTAAGACTTAATTCTCTGAGAGAACCCCTCCTGGGAATGGCTGCACACAAGGGCAGTACAGTAAACCAGTCAGTTGCTCAATAGACATTTTAAAAATTGAATTAAATTGAGCTCCTAGAATATAACTTTTGAGACCTTATTTGAGATTTTCTCCCAAGGCAATGTTTGAGCATTGAGAGCCTTGTAACTTGGGCCAGGTTTCTGTGAGATAGACAGTTGGCAATTCTCAATATCAAGTCAATGATTTCAGAAGTCATTTTCAAGGAATACGTCCTTTAACTGGTAGATTAATTATGTAGCCTGTTGGCATTATGTGGATCAGTGCCGTCCAAGAGAAAGAGGGCACATATATTATTTACAATTTTTAAATAATCATATTAAAAAAGTAAAAAGTGGTGAAATTAGTTTTAATATCTTTTGTTTAGCCTAATATATCTAAAATATTATAATTTCCACATGTAATCAATATAAAAATGTATCAGGGAGATAGTTTAATTCTTTTTTATATTACTATCTTTGAAATCTGGTATATATTTTACATTTATAGCGCATCAGTCTGGATAGTTACACGTGGCTGGTGCCTACTGTATTACACTGTACAGATCTAGATCATAAAATAGTTGTAGAGCTGAGCCGAGAATGTTCTAGAGTAGATAAGCTTTGTCATAAAAATAGAGAATAAAAATTTTGCTACAGAAGTTAGTATAAAAACATAACCCCATTGAAAAAAGCTTACAATGACAAAATGTTTGATATCTGCCTAAATTCTAAAGACATTTCTAAAAGAAATAGAGCTCTTTCCTTAAAACAAATTTTTTAAAAAAATAAGCTTTTCTTCAAACTGTAATGTTTTCTCTTTCCTTCTAAAAAGCATGCAGTCTGCTCACTATATTCTTTGAAATTACTGTATGTTCATCTGCATACCAGTGTAAGGAGATCCTCTTTCTCGTCTTGGAAGAATTTGAGCCCTTGTGATCTTTGCATTTCCCTCCTACGTAGTTCTTTCTTGAACTGTCCATTTGTCCTGGCATATCCCTGAATCCGTACTATCTGCTATAGGGCATTTATTTCTGATGGGGAAGGGTGGTTTGTTTTGATCTTAATGCTGAACTGTCCCTTAGTTCATTGTCTTTTACTCTGTTGCCGTATCTTGCTTACAAATATGGTGTCAGAATATGCAAGTGAATTTATTGCCTGTTGTGAAGAAACCACTATTTTTTTCAGCTTCATTCACTATGAACATTATTGTGCTTACAAAAGTGAGTTGAGTTAAAAAGAACTGTGTTTTTTAGAAGTGAGAATTAAAAGGGAGAAATAGTAATTTTTCCTCTCATAGAATGAATAATAAAGAACTATGACTTTAAATTTGGCATGATCTAAATTTAATTTTTTTCCTACCACATGCCAATTGAAACAGAAGAATTTGTTGAATGGGAATGTCTTGAGTAGGGAAATTAAGGACTCTCACAATCTGTTATCTCTTTAGTAGCATACTTGATACAGTGTCATGTTTAATTAATATTAGAATGTCAATTTACAAAATCATGCTCTTTGGAAGATAAAAGAATTCTGTGTAGAACAGGCAAACTTAGGAAATATATGGTCTCTTGGTAACATGTTGGAAGTTTTCTGCTTTGTTATAATTTTCATATGTAAGTACAATTAGGAGATTTATAGATTTTCAACCCCAATATAATAACATTCTTTGAGAGTTTATCTTTTCTTTACCTACTGATTTACCTTTGTTGTGGACACATTCAGTTTTTCAAGCAACTGGTGTGTACTTTACACCAAAACCTTTATTATATAGTCTTCAGTAATCTGTAGCTGTGAAACTCATACTCATTTATCTGTTTAGATATTCTCAAAACAATCATACCTGTGTGCCAGCCACCTGCTGTCTGACTTGGCAGTTTCTCTGTTCCAACTTTATTTTTCTGCTTTTTAGAAAACTCCCACTTTCCAGTTTGCAGCTAAGGTAGGAGCTGAGTTCCTTTCCCTGTTAAGTGGTCTTATCAGGCAGTTATGCCATTGCCAAGCAACAGTAAGTTCTCTCCTCTCAGGTGTTAGCTAGTAGGTAGGGTTGGCAAGGGGAGCCTGGCCTGCTGTGAAGAAGTAGACCAGTGTCTCTCTGCCACAGCCCTCAGGGTCGGGTCTTGCTGTGGGTTCCATCCTATGGCTCACTGTGACTTTCCTGAATGGAATGCGTTTATTTTTTTTCCAGCTCTGTTCTTTCCATGTTCTTCCCACATCAGCTGGCGGCAGCCAGTTGGTTCTGAATGCTGCCCACAAATTGTTAGCTATTTTGCTTCTTGGTCCCTCAATTTGTCCCTTGAATAAGGAATTGATGTGTTTCAGATCCAGGATTATGTTGCTTAGTGAAGCAAATCTAATCCTTGCCAAGGAATGCCTAAAGTTGAAGGCTTGATTCCAGAAGAAAATAAAATAACAACAGCACTACCTGTAATTAACATATATTGCCTGTTTACTGTGCCAGGCATTATATTAATCAGGTTGCATGTATTAGCTTTGTTAATCCCCAAAATCACTTTAAAGTAGGTTCCATTGTTGCCCACATTTTACAGATAGGGAGCCATTGGAAAATTAAGTAACCTGTTCTAGGTTATATATTAAGGGATAGTTCCAAGATTTTGAATCTAAGTAGCTTGTCTTCAGAGTCCTTGCTTTCAGTACTATATTCAACTGCTAAATAAAGCTTCACTTTGGTTTTTTTGTTTTGTTTTGTTTTTTTGTTTTGGAGAAAGTGTCTCATTCTGTTGCACAGATTGCAATGCAGTGGCGTGATCACGGCTCACTTCACCCTTGCTAGGCTCATGCAATCCTTCTGTCTCAGCTTCCTGAGTAACTGGGACTACAGGCACACACTACCACACCTGGCTAATTTTTTTATTTTTTGTAGAGATGAGGTCTCACTTTGTTGCCCAGGCTGGTCTTGAACTCCTCGCCTCAAGCCATCCGCCTGCCTTTAACTCCCAAAGTGCTGGAATTACAGGCGTGAACCACCGTGCCTGGCCCAAAGCTTCACTTTTCAATGTCTTCTGGAATCTGAACTCTCACTGAAGAGTAGACAGGAGTTTGATGTTTTAATCTATTAAAACTTCTTTGTACGTGCCTTCTAAGAACAGATTATATTCAATGCAATTTTTCCTGAAAAGATGAAGTACATTTGTTTGTAAAATTCATGTATGTATGTATTTATTTATTATAGTACATATTTATGGGGTACATTTGATATTTTGCTGCATGGATACAACATGTAATGATCAAATCAGGGTAATTAGGATATCCATTACCCCAAACATTTATCATGTCTTTCTGTTGGTGACATTTCAAATCTCCTTCAGCCATTTTGAAATATGTAATAAATTATTGTTAATTATAGCCAACAAAAGGCATTATTGCTAGTACAGATATTTCTTGACTTATGATGGGTTACGTCCCAATAAACCCATTATAAGTTGAAAATATGGTAAGTCAGAAATGCATTTAATTCACTCTATTGTTATCTACCCACGTGATTGTGTGGCTGACTGGGAGCCACACAATCTCTGTTTACCATTATGAAGATCCTATTGCTTCAGAATGCAAATGAAATTTAGAGTGAGTGCCTTGTGAATCAGGGAGGCCCCACTATATGACTCCCTGTGATCTCTTGGAGGTGAAAGAATGCACAAATTTCATAAGTTAACCTGAAGGTCACCCGCTTTTCCCCAGTTACATTGTACATGCCATCAATTAGTAGGGGGTGGGCAGAGGTGGAAGATTTCAGGCACAGGCCTTAGACAGTTGATGCCCTCTGTTATTAAGGTAAATAAATCCTAGCAGTTCTTCCCACCTTTTGCACATCATGGCATGCACAGAAAGTTGAGATTGGAGGTGATCCATTATTGCTTGTAACCCATTTCCAACACACTTGTTTGGAAGTTCTTTTTTTTTCTTTTGAGACAGGGTCTCATTCTGTTGCTGGCACGATCATAGCTCACTGCAACTTCAGCTCCCGGGATCAAACTGTCCTTCCACCTCAGCCTCCTGAGTAGCTGGGACTACAGACACATGCTACCATGCTCGGCTAATTTTTAAAAAGTTTTTTAGTAGAGATGGGGTTTCACCATATTGCCCATGCTGGTCTTGAACTCCTGGACTCAATCAGTCTGCCCTCCTTGGCCTCCGAAAGTGCTGGGATTACAGCTGTTTGGCAGCTCTGCTATGGGGATATATCTGCAAGTTTCTAAGCTTGTTATATTTATGAAAGCATTCTGTACATTACAAGGTGCCATTCACATGTAAGATTTTATTAATAATGACTATTAAGACCAAGCTATTTGTTCTAGGAAGAGACATTGTGTACCATGATTTTTTTTGTTGTTGTTTTGGGAGCTGTCCTGAGAGAAGCAGGAGCAGATGCTAGACCAGTTGTGGAGTTAAGGTCTTGTATGTGATCTGGTGCAGTAATGAGGAGAAGTAGAAATGCAGGTGGTCAAGGGTTATATTATCCAAGACTTCTTACAGGAAACCAAGCAGCTGGTGAGATCCTCATTAAATTCTCTACCTTCTTCTCTGCCTATCCCAGTTCTCTCTGTAGTGAAATTCTGCTTTCTTTGTCAAGTCTTTCCCAGACTTTTTCTACCTCTTCTCCTGTAGGTGAAGGTCATTCACCATCCTCTGTCTGTTGTTATACCTGGTACATAGCTCCATTGCTTGTACTTCCAATGCTGCATTGTTTTCAGTTCCACACATCTTTTTTCCTTTTTAGACTGTGATCTCCTTGAAGTTTAGGCTGTGTCTGATTAATCCTTGTAGCTCCAGCCACACCCAGCTCCTTTCATCACACTCCCTCGTTAGGCATGGCTTGAATGCTCTTTGAGTACAGCTGAAATTTATCTCCCTGTGCCTTTCTCCCGTGGGTCCTCATTTTAACACCTGAAACAGCTTCAGATAAAGTTACTTTTATGCCAGCCATTTATACATCTGAATAATCTGCCACGTATGGCTCCAAACAGTCTTTATTTCTCTGAGCTAAACATTTTTACTTTTGTAATTTTGTTTTCCTGATTTTTTCCTCAGTAAGTACTGTATATGTTCCCTTTACCTCTCTGGTGCATAGAATCTTAGAATGTTAAGATTTGGAGAGGACTAGAGTTTGACTAGTCTAGGTTCTTCATCTAACCAGTATTGCTTCCATACTGATTACATAATTGAAACTGAGATATAGACATATTTTGGAGCAACACAAATATTTTAAGTATTTCACTGAGGAAGTTTAGATTTAGTAAATTTTTAAAAGTCCTTCATCGTTCATTCTTCATTAAAATGTATTTGCTGATGAGTATCTTATTAAAAGGGGGCACATTGGAAAGATATGTTTTATGATGCAGTGCATGTATGCTAAAGAAAGATCTTCAGATTCTTATAACATTCTTATTAAGAATTTGATTCTAAAGCCAAGCTACCTAGGCTTCAATCCTGCACCTGCCACATACTAGGTGTAAATTACTTAATCTTGGGTTAATTACTTAATCTCTGTGTGCCTCAGTTTCTGTATTTCTAAAGCAAGGTTAATGATAAGGTGGGTGTTAGGAGGTTTAAATGAGTTAGTACTTCCAAACCACTAAGAGTTATGCCTGGCCCATAGTAAACATTTCGTATATGGTAGATGCTGCTACTGCTGCTGCCACCACCATCACTGCTACTATTATTATTATTATTGAGTTCTACAAGCATCTGGTGAGATGTGTAAAGCCCCTGTGAAAGTTCTCATAGAACCTTAGTAAGACACCATGTATTTATGATACAAGCTTCTTGCCTTTTTAAAAATTTTTTATTTTATTTAAAGCTTCTTGTCTTAATGAGAGACCCTGTATACCACTCTGCACTGAAACATGATTTGACCCAGACCGTAACGACATCTATGGAGTAATAAAGTATTTTTTCATAGGATTTTACCGTATAAGCAATTGAAGAAATGGCAGAAGACCCATTAGCTTTTGGAGTCTGTTCCTTTGAGACCAACTTGCTAGGAATCCATTTCCTATCTTTTTAAAAAGAGTAAATTAATTTTCCTCATTGACATTCTGTAAACAGAATACTGGCAGCTTATATTTTATGGAACGTAATGTTTTAAAGTGAACCTAATTTTTCTTAGTAAACTGCTTTTAATAATGCATCAGAGTAATTTTTTTCCCTCTGTTGTCAGGTTGCTATCAAGATCATAGATAAGACCCAGCTGGATGAAGAAAACTTGAAGAAGATTTTCCGGGAAGTTCAAATTATGAAGATGCTTTGCCACCCCCATATCATCAGGCTCTACCAGGTAGGATCATTAGTGTATAGCAGATAGCTGCAAAGAACCCAGAATATTGTATGTATGGCT
This sequence comes from Homo sapiens, assembly GCF_000001405.40. Classification (NCBI taxonomy): domain Eukaryota; kingdom Metazoa; phylum Chordata; class Mammalia; order Primates; family Hominidae; genus Homo; species Homo sapiens. Next base: position 116,956,887 of record NC_000011.10, on the reverse strand, counting down.
CCCTTTGAAGAAATGTGGGTGGGTGAACATCTGTGACTTTTTTTGTTTCTATGTTAATCCTGCTATCTTTCCTACCCTTCTGTTTACGCGCTCAGCACTTAGTATCCTCAAGTTTCCCCTGGCCATTTACTAGTACGTTTTCCTTACCCAGGTAGGTCTTTTTAATTTGTTCTTTAAAATTTGATGCCATTCTTAGCAACAACTACACAAAATGTTAATTCAGAAGATGATGAGAATTTATTTTATTTAGTTCAGAGTTCTAACACAGGATGGGAAACTCAAAAAGAAGAGAATTTAGAGAGGTGAAAAGTTAGAGATGAATATAACATTTTTTTAATAGCATTATTTGAATACTAGTTTCTGTGATCATGTTATAAATTGTTATGGCAAAGGACTGCTTCTTGGATCAATCAAAACCTACCTCTTTTCTATTCTAATAGGATTGTAGACTTAGTTTTCCAAGGTAGTAATTATTTTGATAATCAAGAGACCAGATCAAGTGACCAGATCTCTCCAATAGGAGAGATTTCTATTTTAGTTTTTTTTTTTTTTGGTCTTCCCAAGAAACATGCATATTTCATGCCATCATCAAAATGATTCCCTAGCATAACTACAAAAGCAGTAAATCTGATGGCTGGAATTTCAAGCGGGATAGGAGGAGAGGACCTTGCCTTAGCAGGCTGGTGAAAGAGATATTTTGGGAGAGGTGGGGCTTCGGGATGCTTCTCAAATTGCAATGTGTTGGCAGCCGAGAACTTTGCCTCTGCATAGGCCCAACTCTACTTGCTGCTTTCTGCCAGAACAGCCATCTCTTAGTTCTGAAGGACGTGGCCACCCACTTGGTTATTTTGCTGCTGTTAGTCTGCAGTAAATGGTTACTGGCCCAGACATAGGACCATGTGTAAAAGTGGAGAAAGTACACCCAAGGCTCTATGGGCAAGCTTTCGTAGCCTCTTAGTTTTATGGAAAAGAAAACATGTTGTGATATTAACATGTGTGGTTAAAACTACAGCGTTAGAGCTCTTCCCTGGCATCAGCTGCTCACATAATGAAATTAGGTCAACAGGAGCAGACCTGTTGAAATTTATCAGCCTAAATTATGTTGAACAACGCCTACCTTCTGCCCCACAAGCAAACTTATGAAAGCTTCCTGGTGCTGCCTGAAGACCTATATCTGTGAGCTCACAGGTGTCTAACCTCAGCTTCCTTCCTATCCTGATGGGCTGAATAAATTTCTTGACCTTACCTTTTAAAATAAATCATCTTTAAATAATTGTGGGGCTTAGGCTGACCTTTCTCAAGAGGTTGACTTATAGCTATTACCCTTGTAACTGAATTCTGCAAGTTTGCCTGTCTTACCCAAGATTAGCCTATGAGGATTTCCACAGGTCCAGTGCTAGCTTTGAGCAGTGCCTTCTTTCAAGCTTTAATTTTGCTTTCTGGCAGCTGGGTTTTTTAAATTTTATTTATTTATTTATTTATTTATTTTTGAGACGAAGTCTCACTCTGTTGCCCGGGCTGGAGTGCAGTGGCATGATCTCTGCTCACTGCAGCCTGCGCCTCCTGGGTTCAAGTGATTCTACTGCCTCAGCCTTCCAAGTAGCTGGGATCACAGGCATGTGCCACCACGCCCAGCTAATTTTTGTATTTTTAGTAGAAACGGGGTTTCACTGTGTTGGCCAGGCTGGTCTCGAACTCCTAATCTCAAGTGATCCACCCACCTCGGCCTCCCAAAGTGCTGGGATTACAGGCGTGAGCCACTGCGCCTGGCCGGAACTGAATTTTTAATTGTATTTAGTTTTAATTAATTTAAGTGTAAAACTAAAAATAATTTTAAAAAGAATTGTTGAAATGATAGTATTTTGGATATATTGGGGTAAATAAAAAGTAGTATTAGAATTATCTTCACCTTTTCCTTTTTCCTTTTTAAATGTGGCTACTAGAAAAGTTAAAATAATATATGCAGTTCATATTATATTTCTATTGGACAGCACTGTTGTAGAAAGATATACAATAAGCAGAGAACAGTGTTCCTCTGGGGATTGAGATGGAGGAGATTGGGAAGAGGAAAGCCTTTGGTCTTTTGTTTTATAATGAGTGTATGTAATCATTATTACTTTTAAAAATGTTTGATGGAAAATGTAAAAAGGAAGAAAGGACTGACAACATACTACAATGAATTTTAAAAAGGAGCAACAAAGGGACCAAGACAAAACACAAATCACTTACGTTACTTTAAAAGGTTGAGTATTTTAAATTACTGTTCTCTTTTTTTCAAATAAATGGGCAGTGGAAAGGAAAGTTGTCATTTCTATAAAAAAAAGAAAGACATATGTGATTTCTGTGGCGTTCTTATGTGACTCCCATTATTTTCCCCAAAGGCTTCTTTTTGCTTTAGTTTTTTTTTTTTTGATTTGATAGGGCATTTTTGTGCTTCAGATGATTGATGTTGAATCTGAAGTTTAAGTTTTGGTTCTTGACAACTTCTTTGCCTCTCAGTTTTATGGAGCTTAAGAGATTGCAGAGACCTCATGGAACATCAAAAAGCCTATCTCTCTCAAGCAATAAATGTTTCCTACTTTTAAGAACTTGGAGGAATATCTAATTTTCCCTTTCTTCTTAATAACATTTATATTTGTTTCCCCAAAAATGTTTTAAATTTTCTTTAATCTATAGTGGTTATTAATATTTCAAATGAGAAAAGAGGAGTCATTAGTTTATCTTCCTGTATCAGCCTGTCATTTGTGTCACTGTCTGTCACTTTCCTGCCTTTGCACCAGGTTATGGAGACAGAACGGATGATTTATCTGGTGACAGAATATGCTAGTGGAGGGGAAATATTTGGTAAGTACATTTATTGCATTCTTTAAACAGCTATTGAGCACACTATGGCAAACCTAAAATAGCTGTTCAGTGCCTTTGTCACTTGAGCAGCAGTCACTTGATGCTGTTCTTCAATCCTGCCATTTTCTATCAACAAAGGCATTTTAATTTGTTTTGATTAATCTAGTAAAATCCCTTTAACACATTTGTTTCCTTAGCAAAGGTGTTTTGTTTATTTCAGTCAGGCGCTGACAGTTGAGATTAAAGATCTCCAAAAACAAGCATCCTTTCTGAACGTGGGACTTAGGGTCTTTCCTGTTTGCAGGTTTTAATTGAGGTTACCAAGTGCGACAGAACTCACACAAGTGTGTGGGCCTCTGTTGTGTCAGAAAGAGCCACTTAGAGCACATAATCTCACCCGAGTGCGTTCCTTAAACTTTGTTTAAATATAACATGTAACTATATTATTTACCATGTGTTCACAGTTCCCCTCAGTAATTCTTGTAATTTTGGGGGTTCTGCCTTCAGTAGCTATATTTTCCTCTCACACTTAGCTTTAGCACAATGTCAGAAATAAGCAAGAGACTTTGTTACTGACAAATCTGATTTTTAAGATGCTAAAAACTGACAAAACGATTTTTTTTCTAACAGTGATAAATGGAGCCAAGTAGAGTTAAAGGGTAAACTTCCAAATCTAAATTGATGTGTCTTTTATTTTTTCTTTTGGCAACTAACTACAGAGAAAAGTTTCTTTATATACTTTATTTGTCTAATTTCCTCATTTTAAAAAAAATTTATCAATATGAACACTTGCTAGTTTAAAATTTTTTAATTTTTATTTTAAACATTTGCTCCTTCCTGCACGATAAAATGTATTTAAAAGCATAGAATCACTTTTAAAATGAATCTTCTTATTAATGACTAGTCAGTTGTGGCTGCATGGATGTGTGTGTGTGTGTGTTTGTGTTTTTAAAGTTTCCCTAGCGATCTAGTGTTTTTTTGTGTGTCAAAGTATCTTTAGGGTAAGTGCTAGTCCTTTTTAAAAGAGGTATCATTATTTCTTAATTTTATATTTAATTGGCTTTGTATATGTGATTAGTTAATGTCAAAGCTAATGGTGATAGAAATTTATACTCAATATAGTATGGGAGGGGATACTTTATTTTAAAGAAATGAAAGCATTACAAGATTTGAAGGATAGCATTGTTTGTCAAGAAGGTATAGTAGGCCTTCACTATGTATGATAATTATATGCCAATCATGTGCCTTGGAGATGCTGACTCAATTAAGACACTGGTTTTCCTTTCCGTGGAGAAATCTGGTGGAAAACAGACAGGGAAATCAACATATTACTTTGAAGATGAGAATGGAAACTGTAAAACTCTGTATAGTAGAGAACAGTAGTGCAGATGGCAGTTTGGTTAACTCTTGGAGATCAGGGAAATCTTCCTGGAGGGCATGGTTATATGGAAATTTATGAACCAGAAAATGAAAGCACAAGAGAGAATATTTGGAGAGAGAGAAATAGCAGTCATGTTATTGGGAGACTATACTATGGTCTGACATTCCAGGCACATGTTATGATAAACCTGCCTTAATTAAGATCACAAATGTATACAAAGGCAAATAGAAAACTTTCATTATCTAGATAAGGTTTTTTCTTTGGACAAGGTATTGCTCTGCTGCCCTGGCTGGAATGCAGTGGTGCAATCCTAGCTCACTGCAGCCTCGAACTCCTGGGCTCAAGTGATCCTCCTGCCTCAGCCATCTGAGTAGCTGATACTATAGCTGTGCACTAGCATACCTGGCTAATTTTTAAATTTTTAGTAGAGACGGGGGTCTCACTATATTGTTCAGGCTGGAAGATACCTTTTTACAAGTTTTATTCTATAAAAAGTCAAACATCTCCCAAATCCTTGAGCTGCCTGTTAGGTATTTTATTTCATAGAACGACATTTATTGGTGGGGAAACAATGGTAATTTGGGGAGAAAAAAGATCATGTCATCTTAATGTTTGTAATAAAAAAAGACCCAAACACAGGGCACATCAATCTACCTTACTCTTTAAGAAAGCAGATTTTATTTATTTATTTATTTATTTATTTATTTATTTATTTATTTATTCTTTTTTGAGCTAGGGTCTTGGCTCTGTTGACCAGGTGAAGTGCAGTAACGGGATCACAGCTCAGTGCACCCCCAGCTTCCTGGGCTCAAGTAATCCTCCTGCCTTAGCTTCCTGAGTAGCTGGGACTGTAGGTATACACCACCATGCCAGGCTAATTTTTAAATTTTTATAGCGATTAGGTCTCATTATGTTGCCCAGGCTGGTTGTGAACTCCTGGGCTGTAGCAATCCTCCTGCCTTGGCCTCCCAAAGTGTTGGGATTATAGGCATGAGCTACTGCACCCAGCAGGAAGCAGTATTAGAGAGATCCGTTTCTTGGTCCTGGACTTCATGTGAATGTACCTCAAGGGATGAACAAACAGAATACCACTTCTGATAATGTTATTTTAAAAACAAAATATTTTAGGTTGGTGAAAAAGTAATTGTGGCTTTTGTCATTGAAAGTAATGGCAAAAACCGCAATTACTTTTGCACCAACCTATAATTATATATTGTAACACATATTATGTAATATATAACAATAGAATTTGAAATGTTATTATTGATACTATTAAGTAATATTATTATAAAAGATCCAGATGTGGAAGAAAATAGTGTATTACCTAAAGAAATTATTGAGACTGCACAGGGATAGAACTGTCTCATGAGCTCTGATTTTTAAAAATGTCTGTGTAAAAAAGATGAAAGGGGCTTAGTCAAGAAAACCTGGGCTTTGGATGTATTTAGACCTAGGTTTGAATCAGATCTCTGTCACCTATTTGCCCTTTTACTTAGAGCAAATTACTAGATGATTCTGGTGCACAGGTTCCAGGTCTGTATAAGGTAAGATCTAGAATATTTGTATTATAGTTGTGAAGATTAAATGAGATCGCATATATAGAGCTCTAGCACAGTGCTTCCTTACGCCTTCATGTGAGAGAGAGATCAACTTCTGCCGTCAAGGTGTGAGGAGCTCTGCTGACCTGCCTTGCTTGCTGAAACAAGTGAAAACTATTAAAGAAAACAAAACCCAGTCATTTAAAGTCTCTGGAAATCGTCCTAAGAGTAAGCAGAAAATGAAGGAACATTATTCAAGAACATCTGTGCAAATTCGGTAAGAAACAAAGTCTGGTCAGCAAGGTGGAAATTCCCGTCCAGGCTACTGCAGCCAAGAACGCAGGGCTTCCTTCTGTCAAAAGACAAAATTGCAAGTTTAGTTTGATGATCCCAGTTGGCTTTATTTGCGATTCTAGAATCGGACAACATTTCATTTCATAGAATAAGTGTTCCAGTAAGTTGAGCAGAAGAGTTTGGCTTATGGACAGAAGGGCTTAAGAAGTCTGAACAGTGTATTGGTTACTTTTAAACAGAACAATAGAAAATTAACCAGTTAACATCAGGTTACTTCGGGCTACCTTTTTTAGTAAGGATTAAAGCAGAGGGAACTTCATCATTGTGCCAGTTAAAGATTTTAGACTGGGCTGTTTGGGAAATTGGCTGTTATCTCTTTCTCCTGATTTCTCAGGTCAGATAACAACCTAGTTTTCGCTTTGGAACTTTAGCATGAGTGACTCCATTTTGATATTTAGTTTGGTCTGTTGGTGCCTAGTGCAGAAGTTTATTCGAAAACAATGGTCTCCTGTAATTTTTATTTGTCACTTCTCCTCAATTCTCTCCAGCATCTGAATAGCAGCTTTCTTCCCAGGAGGATTTGGACATCAGCAATTCTCATTCTGCCCCGAGCTGCCTATTGCTGAGTCCTGGAGAAGTGCAGTTAAGAGATGGGGGCCCCTTCTTCTACTCAGCCCCCACTTGTGGAACTTGATCAGGTATGCCGAGAATACTAGGACCCAGATCACTCTTGCCTTGGGTATTAAGACAGTGGTTTCACTGTCTTTTGCTGCTAGGAGAGGCAAGCTGAGAGGACCCCAGGCTGCTGTCCTCCCCCGCTCTCCATCCACCAAACTCTCAGTTCCTAGAGTGGGAGCGTCACTCAGAGAAGTTTGCTGTTGTCCCCAACCCCAGCTCCAGAGCCCTAACTCTGAGATTTTTACCTGTGGAGAAAAACAAACCATAAAACAGCTCCTAATTTCTTCCCAAAGGAACTGACTTCATTTGCAACAGGGAGTGAAGAAGTTCAAACCTGATTGTACTCTCAAGAACAGTAGAGGGAAAAGAAAAAAGAAAAAGAACAGTGGAGGTTGTGGTAAAGGACATTTGAGAAGAGATTCATGAAACAGGCCAAATGGTAGGTTTGCTAGTTCGCAGGGGGAGAACCAATGAATTAATTTAGAAAGAGCTTCTCTGGGATTAGAATGAAAATAAATCACTGGCTGGGTGCACACCTGTAATTCTAGCTATTCAGGCAGGAGGATGGCTCGAGCCTAGGAGTTGGAGGTCAGCATAGGCAACATAGGGAGACCCTGTCTTAAATAAAAACAAAAATAAAACAAAAAAACACTGATGGCAAAAATTATTTCTTCAAAGGAACCAGAATTTGATTGTATTGTTTGTAGACCAATTTGTGCCCCAGGGCATTATTCAAAACAAAAGGGCAATCAGCCAGCAACTAGTGGAGTTTAACGGCTGAGTATGGTCAGTAAATGAGAGGAAGAAAGTCCTAGCAAAAACACTGTGATCCCAAGGTAACTAACTGTAGGCATACCGAAGCTGCCTGTTCCAGAGGAATCACATTAGAGGCTGAACACTGTAAATATGGAGAAATAAACTTCACTAGAAGAATCTAGCTTTTAGCTGGGCATGGTGGCATGCGCCTGTAGTCATAGCTCCTTAGGTTATTGATACGAGATCTTTCTAACTGTGGGCATTTTACAGCTATAAATTTCTCTCTAAGCATGCTTTGGCTGCATATCATGAGTTTTAGTATGCCGTATTTTCATTTTCATTCATTTGAAAGTATTTTCTGAATTCACTTTTGATGTCTTGTTTCATTATTTATTTATTAGTGTGTTGTTTAATTTTCACATATTTGTGAATTTCCCGAATGTTTCCTACTCTTGATTTCCAATTTCATTCCATTATAGTTGGTTGTTTTTCTATCCTCTATTTCATAATTTCTGCTATAATATTTGTTATTTCCTTCTTTCTGCTTGCTTCAGTTTTAGTTTGTTCTTCCTCTTCTAGTGTCTTGAAGCCAAGCAGAAAGAAGGAAATAAAGATTATAGCAGAAATTATGAAATAGAGAATAGAAAAACAATAGAGGATATCAGTGAAACCAAAAGATAGTTCTTTGAAAAAATCGACAACATTGACAGATCTTTAGCTAGATTGACGAGAGAGAGAAGAGAAAAAGAGAAGACTGAAATGACTAGAATCAGAAGTGAAAGAAAGGAACATTACTACAGTCCCTTAAGAAACAAAAATGGGCTGGGCATGGTGACTCACGCCTATAATCCCAGCACTTTGGTATGCTGAGGTGGGAGGATTGCTTTAGCCCAGGAGTTCAGTACCAGCATGGACAACATAGTGAGACCTCATTTCTACTAAACATAAAAAATTAGCCGGATGTGGTAGCATGAGCCTGTGGTCCCAGCTACTTAGGAGGCTGAGGCAGGAGGATCACTTGAGCCCAGGATGTCAAGGCTGCAGTGAGCCATGATTGTGCCAATGCATTTCAGCCTGGGCAACAGAGCAAGACCCTGTCTTAAAAAAAAATAAAAATGATTATAAAGGAATATTATGAACAACTATACATCAACAAATCAGCTGGGCTTGGTGGCTCATGCCTATAATCCTAGCACTTTGGGGGGCTGAGGTGAGTGGATTGCTTGACCTCAGGAGTTCAAGACCAGCCTGGGCAACATGGTGAAACACCATCTCTACAAAAAAAAATAGAAAAATTAGCCATGCATGGTGGTGCACACCTGTAGTCCCAGCTACTCGAGAGGCTGAAGTGGGAGGATCACCTGAGCCTAGGAGGTGGAGGTTGCAGTGAGCTATGATTGCACCACTGCACTCCAGTCTGGGCAACAGAGTGAGACCCTGTCTCAAAAAAAAAAAAAAAGTCAGCTTAGATGAAATGGACAAATTCCTAGAAAGATACCAACTGTTGAAACAACTGACTTAAGAAGAAATAGAGGCCAGGCACGGTGGCTCATGCCTGTAATCCCAGCACTTTGGGAGGCTGAGGTGGGCAGATCACGAGGTCAGGAGATGAGACCATCCTGGCTAACACGGTGAAACCCCGTCTCTACTAAAAATACAAAAAATTAGCTGGGCAAGGTGGTGGGCACCTGTAGTCCCAGCTACTTGGGAGGCTGAGGCAGGAGAATGGCGTGAACCTGGGAGGCGGAACTTGCAGTGAGCCGAGATCGTGCCACTGCACTCCAGCCTGGACAAAAGAGCAAGACTCTGTCTCAAAAAAAAAAAAAATACATACATACATACATACATACATACATACATACATATATATATATATATTTCCCTAGCTAAAGTAAAAAATGGTGTTCTGGTTGCAAATTGATAGTCTTTACTTCATTTGACCTCTTTGTAGCATCTGAATTCTTGACTGTTTCCTTCTAAAGCTCTTAGTTTTGACTTCCACAAATGTTCAACTTCTGATTCTTCTATTGTTCGGACTGTTCCTTCTTAGTATCTTTTGCTGGGCCTCCTTTCTCTGACTGCTAGAACATGTTGACATGTTGTAGCATATTCTCTGACTTTATATATATATATAATATATAAATAATAATTATATATAAAATATATAAATAATTATATATTGTATATAAATAATAATTTGTATATAATATATTATATATAAATAATAATTTATATATAATATATTATATATAAATAATAATTTATATATTATATATATATTTTTTTGAGACGAAGTCTCACTCTGTGGCCATGCTGGAGTGCAGTGGCGCAATCTCGGCTCACTGCAAGCTCCACGTCCCAGGTTCAGACCATTCTGCCTCAGTCTCCCAAGTAGCTGGGACTACAGGCACTCGCCACTATGCCCGGCTAATTTTTTGTATTTTTAGTAGAGATGGGTTTTCACCATGTTAGCCAGGATGGTCTTGATCTCCTGACCTTGTGATCTGCCCGCCTCAGCCTCCCAAAGTGCTGGGATTACAGGCGTGAGCCAACGCTCCTGGCCTGGCTAGGGAAATATTAATAAAATGGCAGAGGTGGAGACAGATGTTAAAGAAGTGGAGGCATTGGGTGCTATTTTGAGAAGCATTGCTCTGAAGGAAAGAAGGGAGAAGACAGTAGTTTGTACAGGAAGCAAGGTTGTTGGGAGAGAGTTCTCCACGGATATCTCACATTTCTTCATGTTTCATGAGTAAGGCACTGACTGCCTTTGTTCTAGACTGTTTTCTCAAGGATGTTTATATAGTGAGCACCCTTGAAAGACAGAGATAGTATCTCCCTCCACAGCTCAAAGATCTGTTTATTGCCCAGTGTGAAAGATTCCCTAAGCTCCAAGCTCAGGGTTCCTCTCCTATAATGGACCCGACTGTGTGTGTAGGCGTCATCTGGTCCCCTTTGCAGTGCCCTGTGAAAATTAGGGCTTGGGGAACTGAAGCAAATATGTTGATGTTCATGCTGCTTGCTGTGCCGTAAGTGACAAAGTCTTTTGTCTCTGACAGAGGGGTTTCCTATCTTCTGCCATCACCCATGTAATTGTGGCAGGTTGAGTTATTAGCTTGCAGAAATGGTGAGATCTCAGACCCTCTTGATACTTGACAGGAAATAAGGAGGGGTTTGTTTTATTTTGATTCGTTTAAATATGAGACTTGATTACAGGTTGAGGTTGAAGATGCAGTAGTGGGGAAGATGAGTTTGAAAATAATTGATATGGAAAACAATCTCTAAAGCAAGATCAATGAGGAACTGAGGGATGAGCATAATTGCAAGAAATTAGCCTTGCACATGAAGAAGGATAGAAGATAAAGGATGCATGTGGGTGTAGGCAATTTTTTAGGTAGAAGAATGTGAAAAAGATGTTTCATGCTTTTCATATAATTTTCTATTGAGAGTAGCAGATTATGTTATCAGATGAATTAAGGGTGAGAGGGTAGAGACCTGGATCAGCATGGAGAAAGTGAAATTAGCTGCAGGGAGGAATGAGAGAGAGGGCAATTAAGAATAGCTAAATAAGTTGATTAAAGGCCTTAGAGATAGGAAACAGTTAACTTGTTATTCCATTATACAGAATTGAGTGATTTTTTTCCCCTACCACCAATGCTCAATTACCTGTGTGTAAATTGAATAAGACAGACAATTGGACTGATCCTGTTTAGAGTTTACAGGACATGTGCAAATGAAGAGGCAACAGGTGACAAGGGTTTTGAGGCCACTAGCAATAATGTAATTAAAGTGTGGGCTTTTGGGCTTAGGCTGAAGTGGGTTGGGAAGGCAAGTGAGACCAGGATGACTGATCTTAAATAAGAATTTTTAAAGCTGGCTGGGCATGGTGGATCATACCTCTAATCCCAGCACTTTGGGAGGCCCAGGCAGGCAGATCACTGGAGCCCAGGAGTTTGAAACCAGCCTGGGCAACATGGAGAAATTCTCTGTTATTTAAAAAAAAAAAAAAAAAAAAAAAAGAATTCATGAAGCTACAGGTCTAGATGAAGTTGAAAAGCAAGTGTGTTAGTGTGTTGGGCATATGAAGGTTGGAGAGATGAAAGTCTAAAACTACACTGCCCAACACGACAGCCACTGTCCACATGTTGCTGTTGTGCTCACGCCTGTAATCCCAGCACTTTGGGAGGCTGAGGCGGGCGGATCACGAGGTCAGGAGATTGAGAACATCCTGGCTAACATGGTGAAACCCTGTCTCTACTAAAAATACAAAAAATGAGCCAGGTGTGGTGGCGGACGCCTGTAGTCCCAGCTACTCAGGAGGCTGAGGCAGGAGAATGTTGTGAACCCGGGAGGCGGAGCTTGCAGTGAGTCGAGATCCAGCCACTGCACTCCAGCCTACGGGACAGAGCGAGACTCCGTCTCAAAAAAAAAAAAGAAAAAAGAAATGTAGCTAGTGCCCCTGAGGAACTGAGTTTTGAATTTAATTTACATTTAAATTTAAAAACTGAGGTATTATGAAAAGTTTTAGGCCAGCTGTGAGAGTTAGCCAACTACAGACTAAGAGAGCATAGTCTCCAAGATCACCCCTCACTCTGCTGTCACCTACAAGTTCAGGAAATTCCCAAAACCGGTTCAGTTTGATAAATAGCTAGAAGGATTCACAAAATTCACTGAAAGCTAATATACTCCCGGTTTGGTTTAATACAGGTAAAGGATACAGATTAAAATCAGCCAGGGAAGGAAGTGCAGAGTCCAGGAGAAGTACGAAATGCAGAACTTTTGTTGTCCTTTCCATGTGGATACAAGATATGTTACACTCCTGGTATTGATGTGTTACATTGTGTACAGAGCAGTACCCATCAGGGAAGCTCAGCCCAGCCTCTGTGTTCAGTGTTTTTATTTTACATAAGCCTGATTGATTGATTGATTGATTGCTCACATGATTGATCTGTGTGTCTCGGTCAACTGATGCTCGTGACCCAAAGCCCACACGTCAAGTCACGCTGTTGTGCAGCCAACAATGTATATCCAGCCTCTACCCTGAGACTATATGGGTGTGGCGAATCCCAGCCTAAATCATGTTATTAGACTCTCTGGCATGACCCAAGGCTCCCAGACAGAGACACTCCGAGCAGACATAACATTCCAAGAACCCAGAGACTGCTTCCCAGAAGCCAAGGGAAGGCCAGGCCTTCTCTTTGGGTAAGGCCAAGTTCTTCACTCTGCAGAGTCTAAAATATTTTTCTATTAAACGCAACTCTTATTTTGATAAAACTACATTACACCTTGGCTATAGACAACTTAGTATTTTAGTTGTGATACGCTTATAAAGTATAAAATACACAGTGGATTTTGAAGACTTACTATGAAAAAAGAAGGTACCCTATCTCATTGCTATTATTTTTATTGATTACATTCTGAAATGATCTTTTGATGTATTTGGTTAAAGTAAGTTACTGATTTTCAAAATGAGTGCTTTTTTTTTTTACTTTTAAATGTGATTACAAGAAAATCTGAAATTATATAAATGGCACACATTGTATTTTATTTGATAGTGCTAATTTAGAAGGTTAAGATAAGAGAGGGGGAAGTTTAGAATTTCAGAGTTAAAATAATGTCAAGCAAAGACAAGTTCAAGATGTGGCCATAGGAATAGTTGCTATACATTGGTAGAGTTCTAGGTCACCGGAGAGAAAGAAGGCTAAAGGAACCATGAAGCAAACTGTCAAATAAGTTATCCTCATTGATGTTCACATTCCCTAGGTGATGGCAGAATTTGAGTGGAGGGCGCAATAGACTACAAACTAGGTTTCGGTGAGTGTCTTTGATGAATGTGAAGGCAAGAGAGGCAGAAAGGGAGTATACCAGCTGCCCAAACATATGGCGTAGTATTGTTAGTGGAGACCTTGAAGAGGTTACATTAATTCCTAATCCCTGGTGGAATATTGTCCCTTTTTACCTCAAGAGGCCTGTAAAGGAATTGCTAGTCTTAGAGGAGTTGGTTGGAAAAGTGATTATCAATGGGAGGTGTTGGCCCCGATGTAAAAGCCCTGCTGCCCTTCTTTGCCCTCTTTGTCCCTCCTTAACTTTTGTGACCCATCTCAAATGTTATTCCCCCTGTGAACTCTGCTCTGATTTTGCCAAATAGCTAATTACCTTTTTTTCTTCACTTTGAACATACCTCTCCTATAGCACTTTTTGAAGTAATTTTTTTTTTCATTTCTAAGTTTGTCTTTTACTGGTAATTTAGACTCTGGTCCATTTCTTTTTCCTTTGACTATTTTCCAAGGGGCTTGATTGAATCCATGAATGTGGTGCCCACAGATAGAGAGGGAAGACTATATATGCTGAATTCAATCACTTATCACCACCTCCATAACTACCAATCTGGTCTAAGCCACCATCATGTCTTGCTAAGATCACTGCAGTAGCCTTTAAATAGTCTCTCTGAATCTGCCCTGACTTCCCCCCCGATTATAGCTAGAAGGATTCTTTTAAAATTCAAGTGGGACCTTACCACTGAGCTACTTCTGTTGGCTTTCCCATCTATTTGGAATAAATTTATAATTCCTACTATAGCCTATAAGATTATATAATTTGGTCTCCTGCTGTCTCTCACCACAGCTCCTAGCACTCTCCTCCTCACATCGGCATCTTTCTTTTTCATTAAACCCTTCGCTGTGCTCCCGCTTTAAGACCATATATTCCATTTCTTCTTCCTGAATTACTCTTTTCCTACATATCCACATGGCTGTCTCTCCTGTTTCTTGCCAGTCTCTTATCAAATGTTATCTCATTAGAGAGGTGTTTGCTCACCATGCTGTCTAAAATCTCATTCTTCCTACTGGCCCATTGCTCTGTAGTCTCTGTCTTGCTTTACTTTTCTTTTTGGTTTTTATCATGAACTGACATATATTTATTTGTTTTTTTACTGTCTTGAGTCAATAAAATTTACGTGCCATTAAAGACTTTGTCATTTTTGTTTCCTACCAAATCTTCAATACTCAAAATAGTGCCTACAGGGAATGCATGTTCCATAAATATTTATTGATAAGTTGAATAAAATACTAAGTGAATGAAAGAACATCACTGGATTGCTGATTATGGCGTTTAAGTTTTATTCATCTGTGTCTTCCTTGTTTAATGTAGTGTCTAACATATAGTAGGCACTCAGTAAATGTATTTCATTGTGTCATAATGAAATATAACTAAGTCAAGCATGGAATTTGCATGTTATTTAATAACATCTTAGTTAAATGAGTTTTTGACATGGGGAAAGCACCTTTTTTGGGTAACTGTATAGAGAAAGACATATTGAAGATTATGAATTCTAAGCAGTGTAATAAATAGACTTCAGTAATTGGTTATTTCATGAATATTTACTACTCATTCAATTGACTTATCCAGTTTATTTTTGCATACTATTCAGCCTTATATTATGAAGGAGCAGTGATGACAGTGTGGGTTTATTTAATGTTACAAACAGAATTGAGAAACTGGTTAGTTTTGTAAACCACTAAATTTATAATTTAAAACTTCCACACTCTGATATCTTTAGATATATATCCCCAAACTTCCTATTTGAGACCATGAAGTCATAAATCCAGCACTTTATCAAGCAAAATTTCCTGAATACCAGGCAGAACTCATGGGCATTTAAAACAAATTACTAATTTAAGAGGAGTCTGTTGAAATGTGTATGATTTATTATGAACATTCTCAGTGTCTTAAAAATAATATTTCTTAATGGTGCCAACATGTATGGAACCCTGAACTTCTCACAAAGCCATTCATTTATGCCATAGGTCACTCAAAAACTATTAGGACAGAGGATCAGAAAGACTAACTTGCATAACCATTGTGTACAAGATACTGTGTTAAGTGTTTCACATAGGTTATTTTATCTTGTGACTGCCTGGAAGTTCAAGAATACAACACATTTGTTTGAACACTACTATGTACTGGTTTGTTGTGGCTTTTTTTTTTTTTTTACATGTTTTTATTTAATCCGCAGCATCCTTTATGTCTTCACAACTAAACTACCATTTTCCCACTAGTTTATTTACTCCTTTGATTATTAAAAAAGGTATTTTCGGCCAGGCGCGGTGGCTCACGCCTGTAATCCCAGCACTTTGGGAGGCTGAGGCGGGCGGATCACGAGGTCAGGAGATTGAGACCATCCTGGCTAACATGGTGAAAGCCCGTCTCTACCGAAAATACAAAAAATTAGCCGAGCATGGTGGTGGGCACCTGTGGTCCCAACTACTTGGGAGGCTGAGGCAGGAAAATGGCCTGAACCCAGGAGGCGGAGCTTGCAGTGAGCCGAGATTGCGCCACTGCACTCCAGCCTGGGGGACAGAGCGAGGCTCCGTCTCAAAAAAATCAAAACAAAACAAACAAACAAACAAACAAAAACTTAGCTATTTTCTAAGGGTCTCCTAACAAGCAAGTAACCATGCTACTGAACTTTAGTCACTCTGAATCAAAATAATTGACTTGTATTTATTTCCCTAATTAATTTCCCATTTATTATTATTCATTTTTTGTTCTGTTTTCTTAATATCAGATATGACTAACATTTATTTTATTTATTTATCCTTTTTTTTTTTTAATGCCCCCACCAGGAGTGTGCAAGTGGAGAGATGCATGGATGAAGGAGGGGAGCTGGCGGGGGTGGGTCTGTGACCAGCATTTATATTGTAACTGGCCAAGATGTATGAGGAAGCCACCTGTGCTTTGACCTCACTTTACACTAAAACATTCATTTATAGTCTGATCATCCAGTCATTTCTACCATGACATAAAAATAAGAGCCCCAGAGAACAAATCAAATTATTTTTGCTGTATTGAGTATATATAAATCCCAAAGGGCCAGGCATGGTGGCTCACTTCTGTAATCCCAGCACTTTGGGAGGCTGAGATGGGCAGATCACTTGAGATCAGGAGTTCAAGACCAGCCTGGCCAACATGTTGAAACCCCGTCTTTACTAAAAAATACAAAAATTAGCTGGGCGTGGTGACACACGCCTATAGTCCCACCTACTCGGGAGGCTGAGGTACAAGAATCACTTGAATATGGGAGGCAGAGGTTGCAGTGAGCCAAGATCGCACCACTGCACTCCAGCCTGGGTGACAGAGTGAGACTCTGTCTCAAAAAAAAAAAAAAAACAAAAAAACCTTAAAGGAATATTTTTGCCTGGCTCCTACATTAACATTTACTTTCTCTGAAAATCATAACCCTGTGTTTGTTATTATCCAGTGTCTACAAACAGCCCAGCTTCTATAGTTAGGTAAAGTAAATTCAATATCAGTTGTTCTTTCATAATCAAAACAGAAGTCTACAATGCCATTCTTACATACAACAGCATTGACAGTAATTCCTTACTATCATGTAATAGCCAGGGCATGTTTAGCTTTCTGCAGATGTTTCAAAACATCTTCTTATAGTTTGTACAAATTACGATGCAAGAAATCCATACATCCATTGAGTTGAAAAATGTCTAAATTTTTTATAATCTAAATTTTTAAATAATCTGTGACAACCTCATCTCTTCCCTACAAACATTTACTTTTTTTCTATGCTATCTATTTATGTAAGAAACTGGATTGTCTTAAAAAATGTCCTACATTTGGAATTTGGCTGATCATATATTTATTGTGTCATTCAACATGTTCCTGTAGTTCAGTGTTTCTTGGAAAGTGGAAGTTATATTTAGGAATTTGCTTAGTTCAGTTTTTGGAGGGGAAGCAGGAGTGCTCCATAGTTTTTTATTGCATCACTTCAAGAGTTGTATAATATCTGATTTTCCCACTTTTAGTGATACTTAGAATAATCTTCAGGTATAGTTATTGTTCACCAAATTGATCCTTTATAAAGTTTCCCATCAGTCTTTTACGTAATGTTTTATCTACTCCTGTCATTTAGTTGCCTAGCTATTTCATTAGAAGTTGCAAGGCCGGGCTTGGTGGCTCACACCTGTAATCCCAGCACTTTGGGAGGCCGAGGCAGGTGGATCACGAGGTCAGGATTTTCAGACCAGCCTGACCAACATGGTGAAACCTTGTCTTTATTGAAAATACAAAAATTAACCAGCCATGGTGATGCACACCTGTAGTCCCAGCTACTTGGGAGGCTGAGGCAGGAGAATTGCTTGAACCCAGGAGGCGGAGGTTGCAGTGAGCTGAGTCCGCGCCATTGCACTACAGCCTGGGTGACAGAGTGAGACTTGTCTTAAAAACAAAACAAAACAAAAAAGAAGTTGCAAAATGGTGATTATTTGAATTCTCTCATTCATTCAACATTTATGAGTTATTCTTCTTCTGTAAAGAACTTTGCCTTATAAACTACTTAGAAATTATAGTAATGACAAGATAAATGCTTGATTCTTTCTTTTCCTTATGTATCAGTTTTTAGAATAATGAATTGGTTCTCTGCAATCTCCAGTGGAGACTAAGGAAGTTGGTTTTCTATTTTGTAACATAATTATGCAATTATGGATTTTAGTATATTTTATGTGCTTCAGTCCATTAAGTCATTCTTCTTTTGAAACTGAAATTATTCCACTTAGCCAGTGGGAGCCTGGAGCCTCTTCAGGCTGACTCCTGTGTCCTTTTGATGTGAGCTCAATAGTCTTTGATATTTTTGTTGCTTTTAGGCAAGATGTCCTATGCTTATCTTGAACATTTCCTGTACCAGACATGGAATCAAACATTTCTCCTAGGAATTCTGGTTTGGTCTCCTCTCCTCTCCTCTCCTCTCCTCTCCTCTCCTCTCCTCCCCTCCCCTCTCCTCTCCTCTCCTCCCCTCTCCTCTCCTCCCCTCCCCTCCCCTCCCCTCCCCTCCCCTCCCCTCCCCTCCCCTTCCGTCCCGTCCCCTTCTTTTCATTTTCCTTTTCTTTTTCTCTCCTTCTCTTCTCCTCTCCTCTCCTCTCCTCTCCTCCCCTCCCCTCCCCTCCCGTCCCGTCCCCTTCTTTTCATTTTCCTTTTCTTTTTCTCTCCTTCTCCTCTCCTCTCCTCTCCTCCCCTCCCCTCCCCTCCCCTCCCCTCCCCTCCCGTCCCCTTCTTTTCCTTTTCCTTTTCTTTTTCTCTCCTTCTCTTCTCCTCTCCTCTCCTCTCCTCTCCTCTCCTCTCCTCTCCTCTCTTCTCCCCTCTTCTCCCTTCCCCTCCCCTCCCCTCCCCTCCCCTCCCCTCCCCTCTAGATAGAGTCTCACTCTGTTGCCCAGGCGGGAGTGCAGTGGTGTGAACTCAGCTCACTGCAGCCTCCGCCTCCCAGGTTCAAGTGATTCTCCTGCCTCAGCCTCCCGAGTAGCTGGGACTACAGGCACACGCCACCATGCCCAGCTAATTTTTGTATTTTTAGTTGAGACGGGGTTTCACCATGTTGGCCAAGCTGGTCTTGAACTCCTGGCCTCAAGTGATCCACTTGTCTCAGCCTCCCAGAGCACTGGGATTACAGGCGTGAGCCACCGTGCCCAGCCAACTCTGGTTTCTTTAAATGGAAAATAGCATTTAAAGACCAGAATTTGGGCCTCAGGGATGCTCGTTAGTGCTACTGGGTTATTATTGCTTAGAGGAGGGGACAGAGCTATGAAATATATATTTTTAATGGAGAGGAAAATGAAACAAGTTTATACTAACACTCCAATTAAAATGTAAGATTTCAGCATTTTTACTTCTTAAATATTATATCTTTAGTTCTCTTTTCCCTTATGTTGAAAATTGTGGTTCCAGATGACGTTAACATAGTCACTTTTTTGATATGAGTGAGGGGAGAGACTGATTGATTGAAAACAATACCAGTAGTATTACAAATAATAAGGAGACTTGTGGTTCTTTTTGTTCTTAGGATATATCCCATGAAGAATTGTCTTAGTCTATTTGGGCTGCTCTAGCAGAATACTTTTAACTTTATGTATAGTTAGGTATTATGTACCGTAATCTACTGATTTTTTACAGGTTGCTTTCAATTTTTAGAAATGTTCTTCTATTTGATTCAATTCTGAATTGTTTCAGTTATGTAAGACATTACTTGTTTCCAAAGTTAAAGCTACAAAACAAGGTGCATTCATATGTCTGGCTTCCACACCTTTTCCGTAAGTAACCATTTATTTAACATTATTCCTTTTGGCAAATCTAAATAAATATATGCATATACATACACATGCATATTTGTATTTTCCCTTCCTTCCTACACAAACAGAAACACACTCTACATATTTTTCTACGTCTTGCAGTGCTTCATGGATATAAACCCATCCATGGACCAAAAATCCATGGGCTAGGAGGGAAGACACACAAGATAAGAAATTACTGTAATATAATTGTTTGCTGATGTCATAGAGGCAGATAGATTAAATGTCATTAGACACAAATTATGGAGCAGTTTTTCTAGGGCGGGTGAGTAGGTTAGGGTTAGCTTCAGAGAAATGACCTTTAAGCTGGACTTTAAAGGATAACCTTGAATTCCAAAGTTCAGCTGGGGATGGGGATGAGAATAGGAGACAGGCATTCCAGCAAGAAGTAAAACCCTGAGCAAAGTGTACAGCATGTTGGTGAAACAGCAAGTACACATGCAGGTGAACTATGTTTATGAATTAGAACTATATATTGTAGGCTGTGAGATTTTGTTGAAAAGTTCTAAGTTAAATGAATGACACGACCAAAGAAATGTGTTAGAATAACTGGTAACAATGTAAAGGATGATGGGCAGAAAGGGAAACCTGAAGGATAGAGAAGAGGAGGCATACTCTTTAAATGTAAGTCGAAAATTTAGCGTATTTTGTAAGTAATTGGATGTTAAGAGTGAGGAAGAAAGAGGAGTTGAAGATGATTCCAAAGTTTCTTTCATGGACATCTAGATGATGGTAATAGGGATTCAGGAGGAGAACTAGGTTACAGCAGGAAGATAAAGAGAACGTTAGTTCAGGCCAGGTGCTGTGGCTCACGCCTGTAATCCCAGAACTTTGGGAGGCTGAGGTAGGTGCATTACTTGAGGTAAAGAGTTTGAGACCAGCCTGACCAACATGGTGAAACTCCGTCTCTATTAAAAATACAAAAATTAGCTGGGCATGGTGGCACCTGTTGTCCCAGTGACTTGGGAGGCTGAGATAGGAGAATCACTTGAACCTGGGAGGCAGAGGTTGTGATGAGCCGAGATCACACCACCCCGCTTCAGCCTGGATGACAAAGTGAGTCTCTGTCTCAAAAATGCAAACAAACAAAGAGAACGCTAGTTCAGTTTGGTCCATGTTAAATTTAGATATCTTTCAAATTTTTTTAAATTATAAAAATAAAGATGGGATCTCACTATGTTGCCCAGGCTGATCTTGAACTCCTGGACTCAAGTGATCCTCCCTTCTTGGCCTCCCAGTGTGCTGGGATCACAGGTGTGAGCCACCACACCTGGCCTAAATTTAGATATATTTATGATACCTAGATGAAGTTTTTCAGTAGACATTTGAAAACAGGAGTTTGGAGCTCAGGAGGTTAGATGACTAGAAACAGTGAATTTGGAAGCCATTAGCCTTATGTATTGGCATTAGTTACCATCTCATGCTACATAAAATTCCCTGGAGACATGTACTTGAGCTGTTCCCTTTGGAAGACTAGTTAGAGCTAGGATTGCAACATTTTGATAGTCAATATTTTAACAAATCGAAAGGTACCTCTGTTGACTTGGAGCATGCAGGTTATACTAGGATCTGATTAGAACCTCTGTTACAGGATTAGCAAACCAAGTATTGCTAATACCTTGGTGTAGCATGAGAAACATTGGTACTATATGAGAAAACTTGAATAACATTTTTGAAAGGCCTTTTGTAATATATGAGATTCTATTTCAAAGCCTACCTGGGTTTATGCTTAGTCTAGAAATACTTTTTAAGAAGCCATAAGAAAACAAATCCTTCCTTATACATTACTGTGAATGGACTTGATATGAAAAGGATGGCATGTTTTTTATGAAGACAACTTAAAAAGTGTGTAGTTTACAAACCTTGTTTAATAGCAAAATGAAGAGTAAAAAAAGTGTTTTTGTAAAAGCTTATAGTCTCTTCTCTCATTGGTATTCCTTGAGTTAATTTATAATAATAAATTAATAAGTATTAATAATCAATATAATTAATAATAATTTATCATTATTAATAATAGTTTAAAGATAGGGTCTTGCCCTGTTGCCCAGGCTGGAGTGCAGTGGCATGCTCATAGCTCACTGCAGCCTCGAACTCCTGGGTTCAAGTGATCCTCCTGCCTCAGCCTCTCAACAGATTACCAGGTGCATACCACCATGCCTGGCTGATTTTGTTTGTTTGTTTTCTGAGACTGGGTCTCACTCTGTCGCCCAGGCTGGAGTGCAGTGGCACGATCTCGGCTTACTGCAAACTCTGCTTTCCAGGTTCAAGCGATTCTCCTGCCTCAGCCTCCCGAATAGCTGGGACTATAGGCATGCGCCACCACACCCGGCTAATTTTTTTTTTGTATTTTGAGTAGAAATGAGGTTTCACCATGTTGGCCAGGCTGGTCTTGAACTCCTGACCTCAGGTAATCCACCTACCTCTGCCTCCCAAAGTGCTGGGATTATAGAGGTGAGCCACCGCGCCCGGCCTATGCCTGGCTGATTTTTAAATTTTTTGTAGCAATGGGGTCTTGCTTTGCTGTTCAGGCTGGTCTTTAAGTGCGGGGATTATAGGTGTGAACCACCATGCCTGGCCTAATCTATAATTATTAAGTATCCATCATAGGCAGAGTACTATTTTATGTGTAATAAGGAGGCATAGAAAAAAATAGTTCTAGTTCCACATTTTCAAAACTAAAGCATATCCTGTGATAATGTGTTTCACGAAGAAATTGTGTTGTCTCAAAACTCTCAGGGAAAAAGTTTAGTTTATTTGGAAGAGACAGAAGAAAATTTAGTATACTTTTTGCTTGTATGCCAAGTACAGACTTGGATATATGAAGACAGGTCATATATGTTAGTGTGCCTTTTTAGATTAGTTGGGAAGACTCTTGAATTCATTGAGGTGAGCAATAGCATTTAGCATTCATTTTGCTAATAAAATCTAAGGTTCAGGAAATAGTTTTAATAAACAGGGATAGGAATGTATTCAATCATCTTTTGTTCTTTTAATAAATACTTATTAAGTGCTTAATATGCGTCAGATACCGTTCATTGTACTAGACACAGTATTGAACAAAATGGCAAGAATGCCTGCCCTCATGGAGCTTGTTTTCTAGTGGAGAAGACAGATAGTACACCAACTAAGTAGGGTAGAATGTGTCATTTGTTAGAAAATGATAAAGTGCGTAGGGGAAGTGAATATGAAATTGAAATATCAGGAGGTAAGCTGACAATAGAGATAGGAAAGACCTCTCTGAGAAGGTTATACTTTTGTAAAAGATCATGCAGCTATTTGGGGAGGAGCATTCCAAGTAGAAAGAATAGAAAGAACAAAGGCCCTGTGGCAGGAGTATTTCTGCTGTGTTTGAGAAATAGCAAGGTGGCATATGTGATTATAGTAGAACAAAAGAGCCAGTGAAAGAAGGTAAGGTCAAAGGTCATGAGCTGGGAACCCATCCGGAGGTTTTGACAGAAAAAAATGATGTGATCTTATTTAAGATTTAAGAGAATTACCCTGCTACATAGAAATGCAGACTTAATTGTTTGAGTGTAGGAGTTTGAGGCTACAATGAGCCATGATTGGGCCACTGCACTCCAACATGGGCAACACAGCAAGACCTTGTCTCTTGAGAGAGAGAGAGAGAGAGAGGAAGGAAGAAAAGAGAAAATGCAAACTTATATTCATATAAAATTCTATACACAATTGTTTAATTGTTGATAGCAGCTTTCTTTGTAATAGCTAAGAACTGGAAACAACCAAAATGTCCTTCAGTAGGTGAATGGATAAGGAAACTCTTGTACATCTATTCCATGCTGTACTACTCAGCAGTAAAAAGGAGCAAATGGGGCCAGGTGCAGTGGCTCACGCCTGTAATCCCAGCACTTTGGGGGGCTGAGGCGGGTGGAGCACGAGGTCAGGAGTTTGAGACCAGCCTGGCCAATATGGTGAAACCCTGTCTCTACTAAAAATGCAAAAATTAGCCGGGTGTGGTGGCGCACGCCTGTAGTCCCAGCTACTTGGGAGGCTGAGGCAGGAGAATCACTTGAACCCAGGAGGTGGAGGTTGCAGTGAGCCAAGATTGCACCACTGCACTCCATCCTGGGTGACAGTGAGACTCTGCCTCAAAAAAGAAAAAAAAAAAAAAAAGGAGCAAGGTTAATAGACACATCAACTTGGATGGATCTTAAGGACATTATGGTGACTAAAAATATCAGGCCAGTCATGGTGGTTTATGCCTGTAATCCCAACACTTTGGAAGGCCTAGGCAGGAATATCACTTGAGCCCATGAGTTTGAGACCAGCTTGGTCAACTTGGTGAAACCCTACCTCTAAATAATTAGCTAGGCATGGTGGCAGATGCTTGTAGTCCTAGCTGCTTGGGAGGCTGAGGTGGGAGGAGGTCAAGGCTGCAGTGAGCCGTGATCTTGCCACTGCAGTCCAGCTTGAATGACTCTTTCTCAAAAAACAAACAAACAAAAACAAGAAAATAAAAAAGCCAATCTCAAAAGGTCGCCGACTGTATGATTCTGTTTATATAGTGTTCTTAAAATGATGAAATTACATAAATGGGAAACAGATTAGTGGTTTCTAGGAGTTAGGGATGGTGGGGCATAGAGGAACAAGCATGACTGTGTAGGGGTAGTGCAACGGAGATCTTTGTGGTGGTGAAATATTTTTGTATCTTTTTTTGATACAAAAAATTGAACAGGGGAAAGGCAAGATCCGTTTACACATGCAGGCATATATGTGAGAGTACTCAGTAATGACTGAGTCCGAATAGTTGTAATTGCTATTGTAGTAATTGCAGTTGTTGTTCCACAAATCTACACATGTGATAAAGTGACATAGAACTATACATACGCATTGTACCCATGTCAAATTCTGGGTTTTGATATCGTTCTATAATTATATAAGATTTAACCATTGGCGGAAACTGGGCGAAGGGTACACGGGACCTCTCTGCACTGTCTTTGCAACTTCCTGTGAATCTATAATTATCTCAAAATAAAAAGTTTTTAAAAAAAGATTACTACCTTGGCTGCTCTTTTGAGGAGTAATCCTAGGAGGTTATTGCAGAAATCTAGGAGTGAGGTAGTTGCTGTTAAATGAGGCTGGTGGCACTAGAGTGGAGTGAAGGCAGGGGTGAGAAATAGTTGGATTCTGAATATGATTTGAACGTAGAGTTAATAGAATTTGCTGATGGATAGGATGCAGGGTGTGAGAGAAAGAGAAGAATGAAAGATGCCATAAAAGTTTTTGGCCTGGTCAATGGAGGAGCAAAGAAAAGAGATAGTAACAAGAAGCAGCAACAAGTCAAGAAGCCCGGTAAGAGGTAGTTGGATTCTTGGCAAGAAAGACAAAATGACAAACCCTCTTCCTCTAGTCAGTGGCAGCCACGCCTGGGAGTTAGAGGACAATAGGATATTAAAGTGACTGCACTCTTATTAACCTGCTTAGGGGGAGCTGAGTTATCTTGGCCTCGCCCTGCTTTTTTGGAAAGAAGCGTTTGTTTGATAAACAGGAAGTCGTTTCCATGGGTGTAGGAAGAAGAAATGATAGAACTGAGTGGCAAAGCAAAGAACTACTAGCTGTGGTTAGTTTGGAATTGGCAGAAGTTTTTTCAGGTAGTCACCTAAGATGAAGATGAGCACACATACTGCCTTTTCCCTTTTCTAGGCTGGGTTCATTCTTCACTGAAATGTGGTATTTCTGCCTATTGCTTGTCCTGCTGTCAGGGTATGTTCATTTTCAGCTAGTGTTTTGCATCAACTATGAGTTGTAGACTTAGCAGACAAATGGAGACACTGTCTGTTTAGAGTGGAAAAGTGACTTATTTTAAGAAATGTTGGCTCCGCACCACTATCCCATTAGTGGCATACCTCTGACACTCCATTGAAGCTGGCCTAGGGAAGGTAAGACTGGCTTCTGTGTATTTTTGCTCTTTGAAAGGTCAGAACCTAAATGTACCACAAGATATTTTCTTCCTGAGTAAGATTGGGACAAAATTACAAACAGTGAATTCTGAAGCAAACTTACGTGCTGGTGCTCTAATACTTTAGAAAATTCAAAATCGATTTCCTGTACTTCTAACAATATTACTCTTCGTCGGGTATGTAAATCTCTTAGTGTCACTTACTTCTTTTCATTTTGCAAGGAAGGGCAGACCAAAAAGATTAAAGAAGACCAATGCCAAGTCATGGTCATGGGAAAGTGAGAAAGAGAATTTAAAAGTACTTTTTACTTTTTTTTACTTTGTTTTACTTTTTACTTTTGAAAAGCACTTGAAACAGGAGAACCATTTTTTTTCCTTTTAACCGAGAGTCACCTCATCCCTGTCTGGGTACATGTTTGGAGTGAAATTGTGGTCAAAGAAAACTTTAAATTTGTCCCAGACCTATAATGGCAACTAAATAGATAAGTAGTTGATTGATGGTGAAAAAAGCTTAGTGTGATGGACTTGACTTTATGCAGCAGGTGTCTACTTGAGGTTTGTTTAGATTGGTGGGGGTGGGGAGGGGGCAGGACTCTAGCTAGGGGCATGGCTGCAGTGTGGATGATTGGGATGAGGATATGGGTAGTATTTGTGTCTCAGTATTTAGGAGAGGTAGTTCACTGAATTGCCTGGAAGAAGCAGAACAACTCTGGAGTTCCTTGCAATTGGAGTTTATCCTGACAAGGTTCAACGTACATTTTACTTTGCGTATTGAGTGGATTCAGGAGCCATTTGGTTTCATTTGCCTTCTGAAAGTACTGCAGTATTTGTAAAAATGCTGTGACTATGTGTTAAGTCCAGGCTGGTCTACAGCTCTGGATTTCTTCACTGAAAGTTAAATATCACATTTGAACTTGAAGAATGTTTGCTGCCTGCCTCTAGAGCATATACGAATATAAAGCAGCTATTTGTCAGCAGGCAGCTGAAAGGCGATTTTCAGCAGGGAGTGAAAACCACTGCAGGCTGCTGGCTTCCTGGCACACCCACTAGACCTCGTAGGTTTACAGTGAAAGCAAACCAATGGGAGTAGGGGTTGGGGGGATAAGATGGGCAAAAATCAGGGCAGAGGCTGAGGTCTGAATGCGATTGAGCCACTGGAAGGAGCTTGCATGTGAAGAGCACAGTGCTCCCAAAGAGAAGAAAACTTGAACCCTAAACACAATGGCTAGGAGCAAATATCTAATGTGAACACTTTAAAAAAAAAAAGTGATTTGTTCCGTAAGTGTATTTAGAGTCCAGGGGAAAAAAAAAAGTGATTTGTTTATCTTCTTTGTATCTATAACTATAGGGGTACTGAAGGTAACTTTGGGGAAAGTATTATAGTTTAAGCTGTACTACCCAGTGCGCTGTTACAGCTACCTTTTAACCAGAACCATTAACAGTGACAATCGATGTGTAGAAAATCACCTTTAAGCTCTGCAGAATCCTGAAGGACTTTGTGCTCTATTGACTAGATGTTTAAGTATTCCCTATATAGTATTCAGTGGACCTTTTCAAAAATGTCTTTTGCAACATCTTTGAAAGTGAAAGTTTTAACGTATGATACTCTTAATCAGAGTACACGTTTATTCCCA
This sequence comes from Homo sapiens, assembly GCF_000001405.40. Taxonomy (NCBI): domain Eukaryota; kingdom Metazoa; phylum Chordata; class Mammalia; order Primates; family Hominidae; genus Homo; species Homo sapiens. The sequence goes on along the minus strand of NC_000011.10, from coordinate 116,929,717 downwards.
AATATTCTGTTCTTTCTTTGGGTATAGCATGCAACAGAGTTTACTTGTATTTAGAAGATCAAGAGGTGGGGGTATTGGCAGGATAAATGATTTGTCCAGGGACAACTGATGTGTCACTGTAGAGATAAAACAGAACTAGGCTGCATTCCAGCAGCTTCTGGCCCGTATAACAGTTTTGAGAACTTTCCAATCACTTTAGGAAAACAAGGTACTTAGAAATTTATAAAGACTTTCTTAATAAAAGAAATCACTTATTTTGGAAATTGTGAAATTAATCATTCTGCAGCATTTAAGAAGCACTTTGATGTGTTCTGGTAATTAGTATTTACTGCCAGACAAATGTCTCTTGGGCATTTTAATTAATGGGTAGCTTGGCCAAATGAGCTTCTGATGGTAAACCTTCATAAGGGTTTATTTTTATGTTTCTCAAGAATAGCTGTCTCTTCAAAGCTCTTTAATTAGACAAGGTTTAGCAACTAAAACATATTATTAGAATAATTAGGCCTTGGGTTAAGAGAAATAGGGGGTCAGAGGAGCAGGTACTGTTAGAAAATGGCCTCTTAAAACATAGCATTCTACCTCTGATGGATGGCCAGTTCTTTCACAGCTTCTGTTAAGTTACTCTCCCTAGTTTGGACTTCGTGTTGTTTAAAGTTCATAGCAGACCTCACCGGAAGCCTAAACACACCCGAGTGGGAGCTTACTTATCCCCACCTCTGACCTCCCAGGGAAAGCTTGATTCTAGTCCTTTTAACTGCTAAGTGGAAGACTTCTTATTTTCTCCTTTTTCTTCTATTAAATCGATAATCTTGGCTATAACAATGACTTGTATTTTTGAGGGAGATGCTTCAAAAGCCTTGTGTGTGGCGAACAAAAATTACAATAATTCCTTTGAGGATCTTTCTTAATGATTTATATTATCTACATATAAGATATGTTCTTAAAGTGACTACAGTATTTGCATTCCAGAATGTTATATTTCTTGTGGTCAGAATGCAGTTTGAATTATTTTGCAATCTGCTCTGTAGATGGGCTGGCATCTAACTCCCCTTCTTCAACCTTCTCCCCTACCATTTCTTGCCACAAGCGCTCAGTCTTGGCAGTTATTGCTAGTAAATATGTGCTACCCTGAACTTCCTCTTTGTGGTGAAGGAAAGATACACCTGACTGGTCCTGTGAGGGAGTGAGATGTCACCAAAACAATTGTGTATTCTACCAAAACTGTTGATAAATCACAATATATTTATCTATATTCCCTCATTTTTCACTTTCCTACTGTCTCAGGATGCTTAGGATGGCAAATATGTCCTTTTCCCAGCTAGATCAGTTGATTAAAGGACAGTGCTCATGAGACTATTAGACATTTCTAACAGAACAACTGTATCATAGCTGACATTTCTAATCCCACTAGCTGTCATGACCTATATGTGTTGTTGGTTTGATAAAGAACTGAGTCAAAGATATGTATGTTGTTGGTTTGGTATAAACCTACTGCTATTATTAGAAAGTTCTTAAAGAACCTGCTAATCCATCAAATCATTTTTGAATATTGAGGATAGCCTGCTTTATAGTATTATGATTTTATCACATGTAAATTCTTTTGATATACCTTAGTTAACAACATGGCCAATGAAATGATTTTATTTGAGTTGGTAGAAACTTCACTTGGTTTTTGATTGATGTTATCTGTAAAAATTATCATTTTGTAAGAACCATTTGGTGAGCCCCATAAATGCAGATATAAAGATGTAGGTATATCGCTATGCACTCCAGAGAACAGTTACCGAGTAAGTGTGTTTTTATGTCAAATCGAAGAACTTTGAGAAAGCAGAAAGATAGTAACCTAAACAGAGTGCTCTGTCGAGGAGTTTTCTCCCCCTAGCAGTGACGAATTTCTGTCCACCCTTTCCTTAAATGATTTAATATTGGGGCCTTGCTTTTTTACCTCCTCTTTAACACAGGAAATATTTCTGATACTTATCTTCATGTGTGTGTTTGCTCATGTCTGTGCAGTCTTCTGCAGTGAGGATATGAAAAGAAAGGTAGTGAGTTCTATGACCCTTGAAAAACACCAGAACTCTCTTTTCCTAATGAAAGTACAAGTGTGTTCTTATGCATACTTTTGTATAACAGGATTTATACTTAAAATAGTTTGGATACTTATTACTAATGAATTTTGATAGATGCAAACCAGGACTATCAATGTGTTGTTCTCTCATTGCTCATTTTGCCTCTTTAACTCACTCGAGAGGGCCCCTTGTAGCCCTCCTTAAGTCTACCTTTTGAAATTACACAAGTGTCCAAAATGAAAACTGACTGTATTCTTCTTCAACACAGACCACCTGGTGGCCCATGGTAGAATGGCAGAAAAGGAGGCACGTCGGAAGTTCAAACAGATCGTCACAGCTGTCTATTTTTGTCACTGTCGGAACATTGTTCATCGTGATTTAAAAGCTGAAAATTTACTTCTGGATGCCAATCTGAATATCAAAATAGCAGGTGAGAACTGTACTGAGGATGTCAGATAGGGACAAAGGAGCTTTTCCTTGGGGTTCTATAAGCAAGGGATTATCTGTTTCCATCTCTTCAGAAAGAACTATTGTGAAAGTAAGGACAATTTAAGATGAAAAAAAAAATAGCCTGAAAATTGATAAACTTTAAAAGTACTTCCCCTCCCCTGCCCTTTTTTTTTTTTTTTCGAGACTGAGTCTCATTGTCGCCCAGGCTGGAGTGCAGTGGTGCAGTCTTGACTCACTGCAGCCTCCATCTCCCAGGTTCAAGCGATTCTCCTGCCTCAGCCTCCCAAGTAGCTAGGATTACAGGTGCGCATCACCACGCCTGGCTAATTTTTATACTTTTAGTAGAGTTGGGGTTTTGCCATGTTGGGCAGGCTGGTCTTGAACTCCTGACCTCAAGTGATCTGCCTGCCTTGGTCTCCCAAAGTGCTGGGATTACAGGCGTGAGCCACCACACCCGGCCTGTTTATTTTTAATGTAGTATCAGCTGGAACTAGGCTGGGGAGAAAGAAGGGAAAGGTGATATTTAAAATACTATTACTTTGGTTAACGGGTCCTTTTTTACATAAGAAATAAAATATGTAATAAAGTGGAAAGGAAAACTACTAAAATTGTATACCCTCTCACCTTCACTTGAGAAGGTTGATTTATGTCACTGCTGACACAGAGCATACTTATTCTAAAGGCTGTAATTGTATGATAATTTAGGAAAAATAGATCTTAGAGTGGCTTATAGGCAGTCCAGCTTTTTGTCTTCTCAAATTTTACTAGTCTGCTTATCTGACAGTGCCTTGAGAGCACTTTTCACTGCCTTGATCTGTTCATGCTTAATTTTAGTAAACTATCAGCATTTTGCCTAATGAATACAGACTCACCATTTACTAATAAAATTAAGTGACTGCAATCTATAGAGAAACTGTAAATATGAAAATAAGCCATTTATGTTTGCCGACACTTTCCGGTATAGCATCGTGTATCCCCGGTCTCCCAGATAAAAGGAAGGACATCTCATATAGAAAACTAAAATATAGCTAGAATGTAATTGTCTAGAAAAGGCAAGGTATAAAGCAGTTCTAAGGATTTTCTTCCTTAGTAGAGGTGGGATTTGAGAGTTTGGATTTTTATCATAGGTCAAAGTTACCTAAGGGTACCTTTGCAGGGTCACAATTCTTCTGAGAGTTGCTTTTGTGTAGATAAGCCTGTTCACTTTTACATCCTGGAGCATCACCTAGCTTTTTATATATCTGAAACTGACAGCTACACTTTTGTTTAGAACTTTCATATCATTTATAAGTTCTTTCACTCCTGCACTAGCTTATTACAGAGTACACAGGAATTAAAGGCTTTCTTTATCTTATATAAAATCATGTTTTTCCTTTGCTCTCATGTCGGTTTTATTTTCTCCAAAGCTCTATAGATACTGGTAGTTCCCACAAAGGTGTGTGGCATGGAAAAGCCTGGCAATTTCAAACCTTCTTTTGTAATTATTTGTTGTAGCTTCAATTAAATTAATACTAATAATACCTACTAAACTTCACAACCCTTAAAACTGTAATAAAAGATTGATTAGTGTCTTATTATTACTATAACAAATTACCACAAACTTAATGACTTGGAAAAACACAGATTTGTTAGCCTGTAGTTCTGGAGGTCAGAAGTCCAAGCTGGGTCTCACAGGGTGAAAGTTAAAACAGCAGCAAGGGCTGTTCCTCCTGGAGGCTCTGAAGGAAAAATGTGTCCTTGCCTTTTTTAGCTTCTAAAGGTCACCTGCATTCTTTAGCTCAGCCCCTTCCTTCCTTCACTCCAACCTGTGGCTTCCATTGTCACATCTCCTACTCCTAATTCCGACCCTCCTGCTTCCCTCTTGCAAGGACCTTTGTCATTACATTGGGCTGTCTCAGATAATCCAGGATCATCTCTCTCCCACCCCCACCTTTTTTTGTTTTTGTTTTCGAGACAGGGCCTCATTCTGTTGCCCAGGCAGGAGGGCAGTGGCGTGATCTCAGCTCACTGCAACCTCAACTTCCTGAGTATCTGGAACTACAGGTGCGCGCTTCTATGCCCAGCTAACTTTTGTATTTTTAGTAGAGATGGGGTTTTACCATGTTGGCCGTGCTGGTCTCGAACTCCTGGTCTCCAGCGATCCACCCACCTTGGCCTCCCAAAGTGCTGGGAGCCACCGTGTCTGTCCTCATCTCCCCATTTTAAGATCTTTAATCATGTTAATACAAGTCCTTTTTACCATGTATGGTAACACATTCACAAGTATGGGGGATTGGGATATAGATGTATTTGGGGGCCATTATTCAACATGCCACAGATGTCACTGTAAGGCTCTTTGGATTATAGATTAGGGTAGTGAATTAAAAGAAGGCCCTCTGGACACGCACCACCCACTCTGCACTGACCAGCCCACCTGGATAGCAGAGGACACCCCCAGCCCCCACCAAGCATTGAAGACATAGTTTATTTCCTCATATCCTTTCTCCTTGGGTGTAGTTGGGGTGGGGAAGGAGGGAAGACTGGGGTCATCTCCATTCCTTGGGCTCTGTGCCCGAGTCCATGGTGCACCACTGTGCTGCGAGCTGTGGGGCCTGCTGCAGTGGGAGTGTGTGGAACACCTTGACCAAAGGGGAGCTTTGTCTTGTGTGTTTTGAAAAAGGCTTAATGAAGAGAATGTTGTTCATTCTTAGTAGTATAGTTTGCAATTCTTAATGACAAATAGTAAGTTTCAGTAGAAAACAAAACAAAACAAAAAGAAGGCCTTCTTTATATTCTCTAGTTTTATTTTCCGTCCGCTGACCCAAGATTAAAAATTTTCTTAATGCTCCCTTGGTTCTTGATTTTGAATTTAGGATGATTTTGATTTAGTTAAAGAAATTTCTTTTTTTTCTTTTTTTTTTTTTGAGATGGAGTCTCACACTGTTGCCCAGGCTGGAGTGCAGTGGCATGATCTCCGCTCACTGCAACCTCTGCCTCCCCCAGGTTCAAGCGATTCTCCTACCTCAGCCTCCCGTGTAGCTGGGATTACAGGCATGCGCCACCACGTTCTGCTAATTTTTTGTATTTTTAGCAGAGACGAGTTTTACTATGCTGGCCAGGCTAGTCTTGAACTCCTGACCTCAGGAGTTCAAGATCCTGATCCACCCGCCTCAGCCTCCCAAAGTGCTGGGATTATAGGCGTGAGCCACCACGCCCGGCTGTTAAGGAAATTTTATATCCTTTAGTTTTTACATTGAGAAACTCAGAGTAAAAACAGAGATTATTGATAATTGAAGTTGGAAACTCTACTGAAATATTTGGTAAGGAGATTTTTAAAGACTTTTCTGTTGTTGTTGTTGTTAATAGTTAAAACAAATTCAAGGAGTCACAATGAGAGTGTCTACCTGCTGATATATAATTACAGACTCCGGGGTGCTGGCAGCCAGCCTTGGGCTCTCTCTGTGTTAACACATATACTTTGGCAAGATTTTTAAGTTCATTAACCCAAAGCGTACATTTTTATTATTTGTTTTAAGAGCAAAACAGAAAAATAAATGAGCACCTCTAGTTTTGCGGCCTGCTACAATACCTAACATTAGCTTTGCTCATGCAGTCTTTCTCTTATATGCCATCGTTACTCAGTTTCTCAGTCATTGCCTGAACCTCCTTTCTTGCACATAAATTAAATAGAATTATCATTCTCACCTCCCAGTTCTTTTTTGAACTTAATGGACTAGTGGGAGAAATGCTTCTAGTTGAAGCCAACTAGAACATGACTAATTTTGGAGAGGTAGGTTGGATGTTTTTGACAGGATAAGGTCAGATAGGTAACGAAATCAACTTTAATTCTAAAAGCCAAAAGTAACTTTCAGATTCCTGATCTTTTCAATGGCCTCCCTTTTGGTAAAGTATCTTAAATGTCAGTAAGAAGAAACTACTATATATGAAAGAAACATGCAAGAGAGAAAAAGGGTTTTTTGGTTTTATTTTAAGAAGTTAGTCTTGGCTGGGCGCAGTGGCTCATGCCTGTAATCCCAGCACTTTGGGAGGCCAAGGTGGGTGGATCACCTGAGGTCAGGAGTTTGAGACCAGCCTGGCCAACGTGGTGAAAACCGGTCTCTACAAAAGTTCACAAATTAGCTGGGCATGATGGCGGGTGCCTGTAATCCCAGCTACTCACGAGGCTGAGGCAGAAGAATCACTTGAACCCAGGAGGCAGAGGTTGCAGTGAGCTGAGATCACGCCATTGCACTCCAACCTGGGTGAGAGAGCGAGACTCCATCTCAAAAAAAAAAAAAAAAAAAAAAAAAAAGAGAAAAGAAAAGGAGAAATTAGTCGTAAGCAGCTCATCTTTAAAATAATCGTATATGTTATAGTACCAAAATAACTTGGAACTAATAAAACTCAGATTAGGAAGTATAAAAGATTCATGTTTTCTGTATGCCATTGTTTAAGTGATTTTAATGAAAATAATCATGCATCCAGTTTCGTGTAGAAGATGAATAAATTGGTCTGTGGATATTTGTGTTTACATTAATTTATTTTTACATTTTGTATTAATGTGGTGATTTACATTTGATACTGTTTGTTTGTTTTGTAGAGACAGAATCTCACTATGTTGCCTAGGCTGGTCTCAAACTCCTGGCCTCAAGCGATTCTCCTGCCTTGGCCTCATAAAGTGCTGGGATTATAGGTGTGAGCCACCATGCCCGCCCCTTCCCCCTTCTTTTTTAAGAAACTGGGTTACCTTCTGTTGACCAGGCTGCAGTGGCATAATCATGGCTCACTGCAACCTCAGCCTCCTGGGCTCAAGTGATCCTCCTGCCTCAGCCTCCCAAGTAGCTGGGACTACAGGCATGTTCCACCACACCTCGCTAATTTTAAACATTTTTTGTCACTATGTTCCTCAGCCTGGTCTCAAACTCTTGGCCTCAACCAGTCCTCCCTCCTTAACCTCCCAAAGTGTTAGAATTATGGGCATGAGCCACCGTGCCTGGCCTACATTTGATATTTGATACTGTAAAAAGCTAGCTATCACAACTGTCCATACTAGTTCTCTTCGAGAGAATAAGTGTTCCCTGGATAGATAGATATTAGTTATAGATATTATAAGTTATAATTATAGTATAAGTTATATCTTCAGTCATAAATACTATAAGATTCAGCTGAGCAAGGTGGCATGCATCTGTAGTCCCAGCTAGTTGAGATCAAGGCTAAGGCAGGAGTCTTACTTGGACTTAGGAGTTTGAGTCTAGCCTCATAGTGATACCTTGTCTACTGAAAAAAAAAAAAGATTGAACCATTGTTCCACTGTTTATGATTTTTTTTGTGCTTAATTCTTATTTATGAATTTTTGTTCTAGTTCTGTTTCTAGAGAGAATAAAGCCCAGGTGAATAACTTTGTTTTCTTTCTGGTTTTAGAATTATTAGTAACAAATCCGTGTTCTTAATGGCAGTAGCAAACCTGTCTTCTGTAGAATTTTTAAAGAGATGTTTCTGTCATTAGTAATACAGAAGAAGCCTTGATCATTTTCAGAATAAAGAATTTTACGACAGGGAGAGGTGGCTCATGCCCGTAATCTCAGCACTTTGTGAAGCCGAAGTGGGAAGATCACTTGAGGCCAGGATTTTGAGACCTGGGGCAACATAGTGAGATTCCATCTCTTTTTTATTAAGAAGAAAAAAGAAAAAAAAAGAATTTTATTTCTAAAGGCAGTTACCAAGTCTAGAACTAAGAATTTGTGGAGGTAATCTAGAATCTTACTTGTTAACGAAGCCTCCTTGCATAATGGCACAGAAGAGAAAAAAGAAGCGTGAAACGTGACTCCAGCCCTAAAGAACTGAGGCTATATGGGCAGCAAACATTAGATCTTTGAAAAGTTGGTAACACCAAAATTATGCTTTGCATATATATAATGTACTTCACAAAGCATTTTTACATGTATCACCTAATTTTATTGGCATGCAAATATATCTTATTAAAAAAGTAAAATCTCTTCATCTTCTGGCACTTTTAACTCTCCAAAACTTCTGAATTTCTTGTAAAGAGCACCCAGGCAAGGTATAGAGAACCCCAATGCTGGGAAAAGAGTAGGATTCTTGGCCTCCGACTTTTAACTTTTCTTGCCTGAGATGTGTAAGGATCCACAGAAGAGCAGTTGAAGGACTGACGAGGCACAACACAGCTCACTCAGCATGGAGCCGGCATCGCTGGATGATAGTATCCTTAACAGCTACCAAATTATAGTTGGATACAATAGAAGAGATGTTACAAGGCATGTCATGACTCATTATCACATTAATTGTACAGTCTAATTAGCATAGGAGTTCAGAGGATGATAGAAGTACTGTAGTTTGTAAGATTCCACAAGATTGTCAGTTCCACAAGGACTGTAACCATGTCCTGTTTATTGTCACACTCCCACTGGCTCATACATGCCTGTTCTGTAGCAGGTGCTCCCCAGCTTTGTCGAACTGAAGTTCAGGCGGTACTGATAAAGGACATAAATATTGTATTGAGGACATGGCATTTGAGGTGCGTCCAGTGTCATGTGATTGGATGATCAGGTGTAGAGGAGAGAATTCCAGCAAGTGTTAATAAGGCACCTGTCAGTTGCAGACACTGATACAGGCACGGGGGTACAGCAGTCAGTAAGATAACCCCTTGGAACTTATATTCTAATGGGGATAAATAGACAGTAAACACAAATAAGCTCTCATAGGGCTGTGACAAAGATAAACTCGAGTAACATGGCAGAATGATTTGTGCGAGAGGTACTGCTTTTAGCCAGGATCTTCAAAACATTCCACGCAGAAAGAAGAACAATGCAAAGGCCTGAGAGAGATAAATTCAACATAGAAGAAAGGGGTAGAAGAAAGTCCAGCATGGCTGGAGATAATGAATAAAATGGGGATTGGAAGAAGTTGGGGTGAGAGAGATGGCAAAGGCCAGTTGCACGTGGTTAGGATGTGGGATTTCATTTAGGTTCCAGTGGGCACTGAGTTGGAGCAGCGTGGGCAGCAGTAGAATGCACAAGGTCTATTTGAAAAAAAAAAAAAAAGGGTGAGCAGCTCAGTGGAAGGGAAGGCTAAAGGAGAGGAGTCTCCCCGAGAAGGCAGGAGCAGTAGATGTTTATATTAGATTGAAATCATTTGAATATAAGATATAAGGCTTAATTAATCCAATTCAGTATGGAGACGGCAAAAAGCTGGAAGCTGAGGGAAGGGAAGGGCCTCCTGGTAATAGGAAGGCCAGTTAAAGGCTGTGAATGGTAAAATCCCGCATGAGGGTGATGGTGGCAGTAAACATGCAAAGGAAGAAAACGGCAACAAATTCAAGAGAGAAAGCAAGCGAGAATTTCTAGGACCAGATAACCAATCATATGTCTTGACCAGGAAGAGGGAATTTTGAAAGATATGTTTAGAAATAAAGAAATGAAATTTTCTTACTGATGGATTATATTAAGCTATCAAAAAAATGGTGTTTTGAAAATGGTTAATGTATTGCTATTCGAAAGTAATTTTAATGTCCTTGTCCCCAAAGATTAAGTAGCAAGGTGTCTATATTTAAAATAGATTGCCTGAGAAAAAACTGAAATGTAGCTGGCTTACTCCCTGAAGAAAAGTTCTTTCAAATGCTTAGACGTTATAAGAATGTTCTGAAAATTGTGGAAACATTTTTTTTAAACCTAAGGAAGTTGGAAACTTTTGTCTTTAAATGTCGACTCCCAGAATGGTCTCCATGAGATAGTTTCCACTCTCGTGTTATTGTTTTAGTTGGCAATCAGTAGACAGCAAAGATCAGAAATGCAACTATAGAAAGGCCAATATCCTGGAAAGAATTTTCAGAGCATGGATTTAAGGTACCATGGAAAATTTTGACCTTAATGCAGTGAGAGCTAGACCATTTTATTATTTTTTAGGGAGAAATTAAAACATTTCCTAACTCAATTGACCTTTCACCCTTAGTATGAATATACTGAGATACCATCATATAGAAAAGAAAGGTTGGAAACCTTGGATTTTTGAGTACCCTTCCACAGTGTGTTGACTGACAGTGCCTCTGACTGGTCACAGGAAGTAGTTATGCAATACTCATTATATCAATCTAAATTGTATTTCATGATTCTAATGCCCTCTTTTTAGGCTATCATTCATTGCACCTCCCAGGTTGACATGTCCAGTGAATTGAGACCAGAGAGGCCTTTGTGTTTGTCCTGAATTCATAATAGAGTCTAGGAATTTTAATAGCTAGACCTGTGTTCTTGCCCTGAAATGGCATATGACCATTACCAAGAAGCGGCTCTAAATAACCTTCCTGCACGTTGACCCTTGGGAAAAGAAAATTTGAAATATTATCTCTCTTGAATCCTATTCCTGAGACTAGAACTTTACAAATTTGTATTCTACTTAATGTCATATCTATATTTTTTAATATTAAGATTATTAACTTAGTTTAACACAGAAAAAACGTTGATGTTCCAGGAAGGTGCACCCTATTTAGCCTACGGTTTCTCGTATATCTTGGAACACTGAAGTGTAACACCTGAGGCTGTGTAAACAGAGGCCAGCCTGAGAAGCTGAGAATCAAGAATTTGATGCTCAACCATAGATTCCTCTTACTCACACTTCTAGTTTGTGCAGAGTGACTTCTCTATTACTTTTCCTCAGCCTCAAGGATTTTCATGCCATTATCTATTAATTGCACGTCACTTATTTTGGGGATAATTAGAAAAAGGGGGAATGAGAGGTTGGGAATAGAAAAAGGGAGAGAAGCAAAGGGCAGAAAAGAAATGGAAGCTTTTGCTTTGAGGTCTTGTGGGGGTGGGGGTGGAAAAAAAAGTGTAGGAGAAGCCTGAGCCCAAAAGCTTGCCTCCTCCCTCTACAGGGAAAGGGAGTTGAGCGGAGTGTAAGAGGGTGGATGGCATGCGCTTCTGACCTACCAAAGCATCTGGAAATTTCAGACTGCTCTTTGTCTCTGAGACTGTGTTGGGCACAGCATTGAATAAAGTGTGGATCAATAAGTATGTGAAGTGCTGGATATGTTAATTCACTGGATTTAATCATTCCTCAGTGTATACATGTATCATAACATGTACGATGTACCCTGTAAATATATACAACTATTGTAATTTGCCCATTAAAATAAAACAAAATATAAATAAAACATGAGCAGTGATGATTAAAAGCCAAAGTTTCATCTTAATCTGTATAATATCTAGAACAAAGAAAAATAATTTTATCGGCATTTTATTGAAGCTGCAGAAAATGACAGCTTTGAAAAATCTCAAGCAACGTATGGTTTAAGGAAATTAGGTGTACACTTAAGCTATAGTTTGTTTGTTTCTCCCTTTCCTTTCCTTTCCTTTCCTTTCCTTTCCTTTCCTTTCCTTCCTTCTTCTTCCTTCTTTCCTTCCTCTCTTGTCCTCTCCTTTTCTTTCTTTCGTTCTTTCTCTCTCGCTCTCTTTCCTCTCTCTCTCTCTCTCTTTCCCTTCCTCCTTTCCTTCCTTGCCTCCCTCCCTCCCTTCCTGTCGCTCAGACTGGAGTGCAGTGGTGCAGTCATAGCTCACTGTAACCTTGAACTCATGGGCTCAGGGGATCCTCCCACCTCAGCCTCCCAAGTAGCTGGGACTACAGGTGTTTTGCCACCATGCCTGGCGAATTTTTAAATTTTTTGTGGAGATGGGACTCGTTTTGCTGCTCAGGCTGGTCCTGAACTTTTGAGCTCAAGAGATCTTCTCACCCCACCTACCTAACTGTTGGGATTACAAGCATGAGCTACTGTGCCCAGCCTCTTACCTGTAGTTTCTAGTTTAAGAAGTTTTAGAAGAACATTGATATTCTATCCATTTAGAGTAGTGTTTTACTTTTATTAGTGGCTATAGAAACTATAAGAACTATAGAAAAGTTATAGAAACTTACAGTTCTTATAGGAACTCTAAGAACGTTTATATAAGTCTGCCCAAGGTCATGTGTCCTCATGAGGATCGTAAGCTCCTCAAATGCAAGTTGATGTTGGGAAGGGACTAACGAATCACCCAGAGTGCTCCTTCACTCTGATTCTGAGGGAGTCTTTATTGTGTTGTGTGAAGCGTGTTGGAAGCCAGGTGTGGTCGCACGCACCTGTAGTCCCAGCTACTCAAGAGGCTGAGATGGGAGGGTCGCTTGAGCCGCAGAGGTTGAAGCTGCAGTAAGCTATGATTACACCATTGCTCTCTAGCCTAGGCGACAGAGCGAGACCCTGTCTCTTAAAAAAAACAATAAAATTTTTTACTTTTTGTAGAGATGAGGTCTCGCTCTGTCGCCTAGTTTGGTCTTGAACTCCTGAGCTCAAGTGATCTTCCTGCCTCAGCCTCCCAAAGTGCTAGGATTATAGGCATGAGACACTGTGCCTGACCTAAAAAAAAAATTTTTTTTTTTTTTTGGCTCACACCTGTAATCCTAGCACTTTGGGAGGCCGAGGCGGGCGGATCACGAGGTCAGGAGATCGAGACCATCCTGGCTAACACGGTGAAACCCCGTCTCTACTAAAAATACAAAAAATTAGCCGGGCGTGGTGGCAGGCACCTGTAGTCCCAGCTACTCAGGAGGCTGAGGCAGGAGAATGGCGTGAACCCGGGAGGCAAAGCTTGCAGTGAGCTGAGATTGCGCCACTGCACTCCAGCCTGGGCGACAGAGCAAGACTCTGTCTCAAAAAAAAAAAAAAAATTTGATGTGATATTATAGAAATTTAAAATTAAAGCAATGTCAAAAAGAGTGAGGCTGACTTTTTAGGCAAGCCTTTGCAAGGTGGCAGAATATTAGTAAAGGTCCCCATTATATCAGAATCTGGTTGTCATTTATGAGTTCTGAAATATACCTTATCAGTTCTCTTAAAATCATAAGAGAGTGAGTATAATATTTGTATCAGTTTTCTTAGCATCAAAAAGTACAGTTTGCTAGTGGTAGGCATGGGTATTTCATCTAGTCTTTTTAAAATATCCTGATTTGAGTGGTCTTTGGCTCGTCTTTGCGGAGGTTATACACAGACCATCCTTAATTTACCATCTCAAGTAGTATACAGGATCTTTTCCCAGCCAGTGACTTCTGAATCCTCAGAGATTTTCAGTGTTCCAAGAGATTCATGTCATACAAAGTGATAATGACTTTTCTATTTTTTAGAAGTTAATAAATGAAATAATTACTTAGGTCTTTCCGCCCTTCTTAAATGGAATAGTTTGAGAGCCTCTGAGTATAAATCGAGTCTACCTGCTGGCAGGGCGCTAATGAGCATGCTTATGACTTGGTCATTCCATTTATTGTTCAAGTAGTTGGTTATCATAATAGCTTTGACCAGGGTACAGTTTTTCATTGTATTTTATTAAGTTTACATCTATTATGGATCACTGGATTATATAAAGCATAAAGAACACTAATGTTGAAATTCAAATTGATGAGGATAAAAATGATAATTCTGTAATGCCTCAAGACAACCTTCACCAAATTCATGATTTGTCTTTGTTTGGCCATGGTTCTTACACAGCACATCAAATTGTTTCTAGGGCCTCAAGAAACAAAGTTTAAAAATGTTACATTACATACATACACACAAAATATGTATATACCACATGTATATACATTTTTTACACACATATCCGTATCTATATCTATCTATCTATATTATATCCAGTTTGATTTATTGGGAATAAAGACTATCTACATTCATAGTATATTATTTGCAAAGAAGTGCTAATAAGTAATGACCCAATATTTGTTAATCCATTTCATTATTTAAAAGCAAGGCATGAAAATAATTCATTTAATCAAGTCTGGTTTTTAGGTTCAAACATGTAAGTGTTCCAAATCCTAGGTCATGAAAAGTATTCATCTGTTTTGTGTATTATAATCTCAGTATATTTGTGGCTTCCAAAGCCAGGTGCCGTGGTTCATGCTTGTAATCCCAGCACTTTGGGAGGCCAAGGCGGGAGGATCCCTGCATACCAGCCTGGGCAACATAATAAGACCCCATCTCTATCCCACCGCCTGCCCCCCCGCCCCATCAAAAAGAAAAAATACACATACACACACACACACACACACACACACACACACACACATATATGGCTTCCTACTAAACATGATATATCAATTTTAAATAAATACTTTTTCTTGAATAATTGAAATAAATAGTGTGGGTCACTTGTATGATGGGATAATATGAATTTGTCTTAAAATTCATAGTGAACTTTTAAATTAATTTTTAATGTACTAATGTAAAATAAAATGTCTTTTAGCTAAAGTCTCTTCTGTATCATAAATCATAGAAAAATGACAAAATTATTTTTAAAATTTCTTTCCCGGGAGGTTTTTAAGATAATACATTCCTTTGAAAGGAGTTTGTGAGTCAGAAAAGCTGGAAAATAAAAAGGTAACTGTACTGATTTCTTTACATTCTAATCCAAGTATACCATGGTTTTCTTGATCAGATTGAGTGAGTCTCTGAACTGTTGATAGAACCTTCTTCAGGAAAGCCCCATTTCTCTAGAATATACCAATTGCCCCTCTGGAACTTTTCCTTAAAACTCATCCAGTGGTTATAATTATATAGTTACATGTGTGCTTGTTTCATGTGTATCTCCCCCACTGGACTAATCTGCTACATGAGGGCAGGGACCATGTCTGTCTTGTTCACCTTGTACTGAGAATACATTTGTGGTCCATCAAAAAATTGAGGAGGCAGGCCGGGCGTGGTGGCTCATGCTTGTAATCCCAGCACTTTGGGACCTGGGCGGATTACCTGAGGTCAGGAGTTCGAGACCAGCCTGGCCAACATGGTGAAACCTTGTCTCTACTAAAAATACAAAAATCAGCCAGCTGTGGTGGCACATGCCTGTAGTCCCAGCTACTTGGGAGGCTGAAACAGGAGAATTGCTTGAACCCAGGAGGTGGAGGCTGCAGTGACCCAAAATGGTGGCATTGCACTCTAGCCTGGGCGACAGAGTGAGACTCCATCTCAAAAAAAAAAAAAAAAAAAATTGAGAAGGGGAGTACTTTATTCCCATTATCATATTTTCACATCACCTTTCAGTTGGGTTACTTTTCAGATGTCTGCTCTCATTTGAAGTTTTTTTTTGTTTGTTTGTTTCCTATTAGCTTTAATCTAAGATAGTATTTTGTTACCTACTCTTAATTTCTAGGTAACACCTTAGAGCTTCTTAAGTGACAATCCTATCTTCTTTTCTCTAAAAGTAGGCTTCTGCTTATCAGACCATATGTCTTAGTTTTTAATTTGGAAAAAGGTTTTTGTTTTGTTTTTTTGTTTGTGGTTTTTTGTTTATTTGTTTGTTTTTTTGAGACACAGTCTCACTGTGTCACCCAGGCTGGAGTGCAGTGGCCCGATCTCTGCCCACTGCAACCTCTGCCTCCTGGGTTCAAGTGATTCAAGAGAATTTAAGGGGACACTGATTCATCCTGTTCTATAAAAGGCACACTAAAATTTTGTATACCATGCTCACCTATCATTATTAGAAACTTACCTGATTAAATGATTAGGCTTTTATTGTTCTTGTTGATATTCTTTACAATCATGACTATGATATACTCATTAATGTTTTTAAGAATTCCGATGAGTACTGTTTGCATGTGTTGTAGAAAGTGTCTCATTATAATCCTTTCCTTTATACATCTAGTCAGTACTGAGTTTGATGCAAAGATCCTATATTGAGGAGGTGTTTGGGGATTTATATGAGAAGGGTTGGATGTTGCTATCTAAAATAAATAGAGTGGAGAAGACTGGTTTATTACTTCATTTAAAATAGCTGAGTTCAGCTATTGTACCTGCTAAGGTGTTTTGGGATAAAAATACATAAGTCACTCATTGGAAATGCCAATATAATGCTGATCCAAATCTCCCCCCAAATAAGATGATTACTTGATTTTTTTTTTTTCCTTGAAGGAATTTTCTCTTGTGTATATATGCTAAGGCTGTGAGTCAGGAGTTTTTGGCATTACTTCTCTATTAGCTCCTAGTGAGGAAGTTCAGCCAGGGGTTGAAGTGATTACTAAATCCTGAGGACTTCCCAATATCTGTTTTTAAGAGTGAACTAATATTGTGACTTCTGAGAACTTTGAAACTCATCCTTTGTCACTACCACAATTCTGAGATCCACACACTTGACTTTTGTTTTGTTCAATTTCAAATAAAGCCCTTAGGTCATATGGTTTGGCCAGTGACATTATATAGGAAAAGCAGATTTAATTCCTTATTAGCGTCATGTTCCATTTTAATAGTCAGGAGAACATTCTAAATCCTATTTATATACTGTTCTTACACCAGTCTTGATCTTTGGTTCTTTGCATCATTTCTAGCAGCAACATTTCTAATTATTAGAAATTTCTAATAATTGGAAATTAATCAAGGACCTAATTATTTCTGTCTTCATCTTTGGGTCTCTAATTGCAAATGCAGTATTGGGATTGTGAATCCTCAGAAGCTTTTAGCTTTGAAAACATGAAGGATCTTGTCACAGTGATTTTTGGTGAGGTTGTTCATTTAGGGTAAGTAAATATCTTCCCACTTCACTTTTTCCCCTCTGCTCCCTGCTTCCAAGCTGTTTACTTATACAGCAAGGAAGTGAAGCACAAGTTACCCTTGGAAAGCAGGGTTGTCCGTCGCTCAAAGCTGTACTGTATTGCCTTAGAGACACTGAGAACACTAGTACTGGCTGGAAAGTTGTGCCTAATCTGTTTACATCTGCTTTGGATTGTTCTTTGGTTAGCCAAAAAAGAAGTCAAGTTCATTGCTCTAAAGTGGTAGACCAAATAAGAAAATTGCCTGTTGCAGTTGCCCTGATTTATAAATTAATGCCGCCCGTTTTGCTCTTTTCCCTTACCACATAGACATATCCAGTTGATGATATACTTATTTTTAGGGATATCAGTTATCACTACCTTATATATCCCCAGGCTCCTGATCTCACCTCCAACAAAGAATTCCAAGTCTCAAAATTGATAGTAAGCTCTGGTATTTAAGCCTTCCTAGAAGACAGTCATATGGTTCAAATTAAAGTCTCCTGCTCTGTATTAAGAGAAAGGGATTTAAGTTGCCATTTCAGCCTGCGGACAAATGCTAACCAACTAGGGTGTTGGGGGTTGGAAAGCAACTTAACAAATTATATTGAGAGCCACTTGCGAGTGGAGAAATAAATGACCATGGCCACATGAAGAGACCAACTTCGCTCCACTCATATGGCTTCTGTTGTGTAGGTGTGCGTATCCATCTTAACCAGCTTCTTCTGTTTCTCCCTGTTCTTCCGTAACTCTTTAGAATATTCATCATTTTAATGTTGACTCTGTAGGTCATACATCTTTCCCATTGCCAGTAAATAAGCAGTAAGGGATATCAAGTATTTTATCGGCATCAGTACCTGAGAATTACATAAAACTAACTGCTCAGTGTTTTTGTTCTTATTGTTCAAGATGATGTCTTAAAGTCTTTATACTTAAAATAAAAATTTTAGTTATAGAATAATGTAAGCATACTATAGAAAATTTAAACAGCAACAAAACCGTTTTAAATATTCAAGCTGCAATCCCACCTCTGAAACCATTGTTAACATTTTGAATGCATTTTCTTTTGTCTTTTTACTATGCATGTTTTTCATACTTATAATCAGTGTATTTACAATTTTATATTTCCCATGTTGCTCCATATAGTCATCATTTTTTTTTTTTGAGACAGAGTCTGGCTCTGTCTTGCCCAGGCTGGAGTTCAGTGCCACCATCTCGGGTCACTGCAGCCTCCGCCTCCCGGGTTCAAGCAGTTCTCCTGTCTCAGCCTCCCAAGTAGCTGGGACTACAGGCATGTGCCACCACACCCAGCTAATTTTGTATTTTTAGTAGAGATGGTGTTTCACCGTGTTGACCAGGCTGGTCTCGAACTCCTGACCTCAGGTGATCCACCTGCCTCGGCCTCCCAAAGTGCTGGGATTACAGGCATGAGCCACTGCACCTGGCCTCATCATTTTTAATGAGTGCACATCAAGTAGATGTACCATAATTTACCTGATCTACCCCATATTGTTTTTGTTTTGTTTTGTTTTGTTTTAAAAGACAGGGTTTCGCTCTGTCACCCAGGTTGGAGTGCAGTGGCATGATCATGGTTCACTGCACCTTGAACTCCTGGGCTCCAGGGATCCTCTGGCCTCAGCCTCCCAAGTAGCTGGAACTACAGGTGTGCGCCGCTTCACCAGGCACCATATTGTTTTATGATCTCACCAATTCTTGGTATTAGCACAATCCTCACTTTTTCTTTGGCATTTATTACTGCATTCTAAAACTTCAAAGTGTGTTTACTTAACCTTTTGAACGTACAGGGAATCCTTTCTTTGCCTTAAGTTTCTGTGTTTTTTTTGTTGTTGTTGTTCTTGTTTTTCACTTACATTGAAGTTGTCATTCTTCTGGATTTTTTTTCCTTTATATTTCACCAGCATTTGGCCTGCTAGCACTCTTCATCTTGAGCCATGTGAACTAAACTTCAGCTTATGGTAGTCTAGTTTACTTTATGTCTTCTGGAATCCAGCTAGTGGTAATGATCCCAGGCCTTGTCCCTTTCTCTTTCCCAGGCTGACTTGAGCTGGAGCAGTACAGCACTCCGGTGTTCCTTAGAGCGATATGAGCTCTGGAATGGTGAAAGAAGATTGTTACCAAATACAAAGTGCCTGTGGTTTTGGGGAGATGATGAGGCTCTGTGTGTTTACTGGCTGCTTACCTTTGGGATTTGAATAACTTAAAGATTATAATCAGAAAAAAAATAGATTCTTAAAAAAAAATGGGGAGAGTTAAGATTATCTGAAAGATTACTAAAACTATGTCAACTTTCAGTTATACAGGTTTTTAAAAATATTATCTAGGTTTTTTTTTCTTCTTTTCTGGCTATGTTTTTTCATTTGATAGTTTACATATTGAAGGAAAAGAAGGAAAACCTAATTTTTTTTAGTGTTCTTCGTTAACAGCTCTTGTTAGAACTAAGGAAGCAAGTGATATTATAGACAAAAATGAATTTTTAAATTATATGTAGTGTATACTAGCTTTGTCTCTTACTAATATGGGTTACTGAGAAATAGTTATTAGTGTGGGAGTAATACTAATATTTTCAATCATGTGACTAATAAGCATATCACTCACACCTAATTGCCATTTTAGCATTAATGATTATACCTATCACTAAAATATTTACTCTTCCTTTAAAATTATATTTAATGATAACTGGAAACTTCATCATTGTATATATTCTTCCTAGATTACAGTTTTTCTTCATATATGAAAATTGCTATTTTCAACAAAAACTTTAGTTGAGATCTCTGTCTTACCAAGTAGTTCCCAGTTCCTACACTCTGAGTTCTGATACATTCATTTCCTATTTCAAACTGTATCGCTCTTTTCTTCCCTTTCTCCCACCCTCTCTGTTCTTAGTTAGTCAGTGAGTTGTTTTAAGATATTTATTGAGTGCTTTCTCTTCCTGTCAGCACTGTGCTAGGCCCTAGGAAATCAGTGGTGAGAAAAACCTCTGCCCTCAAAAGCCCTAATGATTGTGGAGCTTAGATCCCAGAGCAGTGGTTCCAAGTGGCGAGAAATAGCAGTGGAGGAGGAAAAGGAGCTATTCTTGTCTCTTTTGTCTTTCATTTATTATGAAATATTATGTTTATACATAAATTTTCTTTAAGCATCTGTGTATACTTTAGTGAATCACTAGAAGCAAATACCTGTGTAGTAATTGGCACTCAGGTCAAAAAACTAGAAAATTTCATCAGCCAGGCTGTACACCTCATCACAACCATATCCTTCCCCCAAGAGAAAAAAAATTTTTTTTGTACTTTTGTGTTAATCACTTATGTGCTCTACTTTATAGGTGTTTTTTTTTTTCTTTTAGTAGTTTTGCCACTGATGTAATGCATTACTTAGGAGTTTTGCTCCAAGGGATGCCATTTATACTGAATATAATGTGTAGTGGGTCCATCCTTAAACAATATAGTTTTGCTTGTTTTGAATGATACATGAATAGAATCATATTGATTATATTATTTTTTGTCTGTTTCATCCAACAGTCTGTGAGATTTATCCATGTTGTTTGTATAGCTGCGATTTATTCATTTTTATTTCTATATAGTATTCCATGATATGAATATACCACAAGTTATTTTTCCATTGTACCTATTAATAGCTATTTTAAAAGCAGAAGCCCCTATTGCTTTCAGTTTGGGGCACTTACTAACAGCTGCAACGAACATTCCTAAACATTTATCCTGGTATACTCTTAAACATTAGTGTGTATTCTTAAACATTTAAGAGTGTAAACTGAGAAGTGAAATTGCTGGGTCATATGGTGTGTGTTTTTAGGTTTTATTTGGTAATGCTGAACTGTTTCCAGTAGGTGTGAGAGTTCCACTTGCTCCATGTCCTCTCCAGTGCTTGTTATTATCTACTCTTAAATTTTTGCCCATCTGGCAACTGTGTAATGATTATCTTGTTGTGGTTTTAATTTTTACTGTTTCTCTTTAATAATGAGATTGAGCTTCTTTTTGTGTCTCTTGGCCTTTTTTTGTCAATTGTCAATAGTCTTTTGCTCATTTTTCTACTGGATTCTCTATTGGTCTTATTGATTTATAGGAGTTTGTTTCTTTTTGATAGTCTGGATACAAGTCCTTTGTTTTTTTTGTTTGTTTGTTTTTTGTTTTTTGATGATTGATTGGTTGGTTGGTTGTTGAGATAGGGTCTCACTCCATCACCCAGGCTGCAGTGCAGTGGCGTGATCACAGCCCACAGCAGTCTCGGCTTCCTAGGCTCAGGCAATCCTCTTGCCTCAGCCTCTCGAGTAGCTGGGACCACAGGCATACACCACCATGCCTGGCTAATTTATATTTAGTTTTTGTGAAGACGAGGTCTCCCTGTATTTGCCCAGGCTGGTCTTAAACTACTGAGCTCAAGCAATCCTCCTGTCTTGGCCTCCCAGAATGCTGGGATTACAGGAGTAAGCCACCACGTCCAGCCGAGTCCTTTATTTTATAAGTTACAAATATCCTCCCTCACTTTGTGGTTTCTCACTTTCTGTTTAACGTGTGTATAAATTTTGGCATAATTCTAATGTAACGAAGTTTACCACTTTTCCCTTTATGATTAGCACTTTTTGTTTCTTGTTTGAGAAATTCTTCCATCCCCTGAGGCCGTAAAGATACCTGCTTTTTTTTTTTTTTTTTAAATAAAAACGTGATAGTTTTACCTTTCACATTAGGGCTATAATCCACCTGGAATTAATTTGGGGATAGAGTGTGAGGATGGCAGCCTCTGTAATTTTTTTCCATATGAATAACGAGTTGTTCCTGTGCCACTTTTTGAGAAATTTATCCTTTTCCCATTGATATACAGTGTCTACCATTCTTTTCTATGCATGTTTTTAAAAGAAACTTGACGCAGTATTCCTGAAGCATTATGTGTCTTTGGGAATTAACATAAGCAGAGCAAAGGGTGGCAGTCAATAATAAAATGAAAAACAGTAAACTGTAATAACTAAGGAATTTGCAAGTTTTTTGTTTTTTTGAGACAGTGTTTTGCTCTTGTCACCCAGGCTAGAGTGCAGGGTGCAATTTCGACTCTGGTGCAACCCTCCGCCTCCTGGGTTCAAGCAATTCTCCTGCCTCAGCCTCCCGAGTAGCTGGGATTTCAGGCACCTGCCACCACACCTGGCTAATTTTTTATTTTTAGTAGAGACGGGGTTTTGCCGTGTTGGCCAGGCTGGTCTTAAACTCCTGACCTCAAGTGATCCGCCAGCCTTGGCCTCCCAAAGTTCTGGGATTACAGGTGTGAGCCACTGTGCCTGGCAAATTTTTAAATTTCAATAAAAATAATTATGGGATGTACGTGAACTTAAATATAAACACATACATGATGCTGAAAGCACAATGTGGGGCTGGATTTTGAGGGCACTGAGAACTGGCGTTATAGGCTGCATCTGATTCATACTAATTTTTCTTTAACCTTTATACTTGGGAATGTTACTTTTGAACCTCACGTCTCAGGCATAAAACAAAAATAATGCTCATCTCAATGAGGTAATAAATACAAGGTGCTGTAGCGCAGCACTCAACAGAAGGTCCTTTGAAAAACAACTGTTTAATACTGCAAAGTGCAGCACAAATAGGAAAACTGTTGCACTGGAGAGATGAGTCAAGGACAGTCCAGTTCCAAGTCTTTCTGGGATACATGGCTCCCTCCAGGGCTCTTGCCACTCACCTGCATGGCCACGACGTTCGTTTCTAAGTACTCTGAATATATTTGTATATAACTTAGGATTAGTATCTGTTGGTTGTCATCAATCTTGGTAAGAAATGCCTAATTTTATTCACAGCTTGACATTGTAGATAACTCTGAATGGATCTGGATTATATTTGTAGTCCATTTCTGTGATGTAGCCTGTCTTTACAACAAATAAACAAAAATTCTGAGGGGAAAATGATACCATTTCTCATCGAGAATAATTATGTCATCATTTGTTTTCCCTCAGATCAAAGTTACATAACACTTGGATGAGATTACATGGATGCTGTAAGCCACCTTTTTCTGCTTTTCTGCTCTCTCGGCTTCCTTGTTACATTTTCCTGACTTTCTTCCTTTAGCCGCGCTTTCTCTCTCCTTTTTGCTGCATCCTCTTTCTGTTCTCGCACCTAGGGAATAGGAAGTACCTCTGGGTGTTTTCGAAGCCTTAATTCTCATCCTTCCCTTTTCTCTACTTTTTCTTTCAAAAATATTTTATCCTTTTACTACTATAATTCAGTTTCTCAGAATATCTTCACTTAAATTTCTGATCACCTTCTCAAACTCAGGACATAAAGAAAAAGTAATTTTTTTTCTTCCCAAACCAACTTCTGCTTTCCTTAAGTCTGTCATCTGCTCAGGGCCATATTCTCTACTTCTCCTTCTTTTTCATCCCATATATTCTGTTTGTTATCAAGTACTGTCCGCTCCTTTCAGAACATCTTTTGAATTGTTTTTTTCATTTTCAATATCTCATCTGATCACAGCCTTCAATATTCACCTCACACCTAACCTAATCTTGCTTTCTAGTTTATTTTACCACTTCACCTGCCTGCTCAGAAGTCCTAGCAACTCCTTATTGCCTGTAAGTGTGGCTCTCAAACCTCTTCAGAAAGAACTGTGTTTTACTGGTACCTTTATATTCACACCAAAAGCATAAGTGACAAAAGGAAATACAGATAAGTTGGACCTCATCAACATTTAAAACTTTTGTGCATCAAAGGACATCATCAAGATAATGAAAGTCCACAGAATGGGAGAAAATATTTGCAAATCATATATCTAATAAGAGATTTGTATCCAGAATGTATAAAGAACACTCACAACTCAATAATAAAAAGATAACCAATTTTAAACTGCACAAAAGATTTGAATAGACATTTCTCCAAAGCAGATATACAAATGGCTGAAAAGCACATGAAAAGATGCTCAATATTATTAGCCATCAGGGAAATATAAATGAAAACCACTGTAAGATATCATTTCACATCCACTGGGACAGCTGAATTGACAATAATAAGTAATAATAATAAAGACAATAAGTGTTGGCAAAGATGTGGAGAAATTGGAATCCTTGTACGTTGCTGGTAGGGATGTATAATGGTACGGCCACTTTGGATAGCAGTTTGGATACTTCCTAAAAAGTTAAGCAGAGTTACCATATGACCCAGCAGTTCCACTCCCAGGTATATATCCAAGAGAAATGAAACCATATGGCCACACAGAAACTCACATAAATGTTCATAGCAGCATTATTTTTAGTCGCTGCAAAGTGGAAACAACCTGAATGTTCAACAGATGATGAATGGATAAATAAAATGTGGAATGTCCATACCATGGATGTTATTCAGCAGTAAAATAGACTCAAGTGCTGACATAGGCAACAACATGGATGAACCTCCAAAATATTATGCTCAGTGAAAGAAGCCAGACACTAAAGCTTATATATTGTATGATTCCATTTATGTGAAATGTCCAAAATTGACAAGTCTCATAGAGACAGAAAGTAGAAAGCCTAGGGCTGGGCCATTGGTGAAAGACTTGAAGGGTGTTGGGGAGTAACTCCTAATTAGCACAGGGTTTCTTTTTGGGGTGATGAAAATGTTCTAAAATTTCTTCTTTGGTTTTTTCACTGCCTTTTCCTTACAAGGTGAAAAATGTTCTAAAACTGATTGTGGTCATCGTCGCACAACTCTGTGAATGCGCTAAAAGCCGCTGGGCATTACACTTTCAATGCGTGAATTGTATGGGATATGGAATACAAGAAATATGTTATGGCCAGGTGCAGCGGCTCATGCCTGTAATCCCAGCGCTTCGGAAGGCCGAGGTGGGAGGATCATGTGAGCTCAGGAGTTCGAGACCAGCCTGGGCAACACAGCAAGACCCTGTCTCTATTTTATTCTATGTTTTAAAATTTAAAAATTAAAAAGAAAAAAGAATAACATTTTATAAGAAAATATTTTATGAGAGACTTATAAAAGAGACATTAAGAATATGAAGTAATATATTTCGTATTCCTTATCTCAATAATGCTGTAGGGAAAAAACAATTGAAATAAAAGCAGTAAATGAGTGGAGCATGGAGAGTGTGTCATGAGCCAAAGGTTATAATAAATTCATAATCAAGTTTTTTTGTATCTGAAGTCTAATAAAATTTTTAAATGTGGAGGAAAAAAAAAGGAAAGAAAAAATAGTAATGGTTCACAGGATGAAGTCCAAGGTCTTCATTCTGTCATTTGAAGCTGTATTTTATCTGGCATGATGCTGCTGTGCACTCTTTATTTCTTGCCATATGCCCCTACAAACCCTTTATTGTACCCAGGGCAGTGTCTTGCTTGTCACTTGAACTTAGCGAGTTAATTCTAAGTGTTCTGCCCTTGCTCGTGCTCCCTCCTGACTGCCATTCAGAGCACCCTTTCCACCTTCCTTCATTGCCTCTCCAGATCCTGGCCATTCAACCAAGTTCTGCTTCCTTTGAGCCTTTCCCTAGAACTATGTTTTATGCCTTTGGTTTGTTAGAAGATCTAACACATTGCTATTCCCATTGGAAGAGTTCCATAAATACATGTTACATAAAGAGTGAAGGAAATGGAGGAACTTACTTAGAGACTTATAAAAGAGACATTAAGAATAGGAAGCTTTAGTAAATAATGAAAGATATTGTGAATTAGAGTAGCTCCAGAGCCAAAATAAGATGAAAAAGCCTATTAAATAGAAATGGTTTTCTAGGTTCAAGTTCAGATCAAACTTAAGCTCTAAAGCTTTTCTTGGCTTGGTGCAGTGGCTGTTGCTTGTAATCCCAGCACTTACGAAGGCCTAGTCAGGAGGATCGCTTGAGCCTAGGAGTTTGAGACCAGCCTGGACAACATAGCAAGACCCCCATCACTACAAAAAAATTTTTTTTAAATAGCTAGGCATGGTGGTGTTTGCCTGAAGTCCCAGCTACTTAGGAGGCTGAGGCAGGAAGATGGCTTGAGCCCAGGAGGTAAAGGCTTCAGTGAACTATGATTGTGCCACTGCACTCCCATCTGGGAAACAGAGCAAGACTCCATCTCCAAAAAAAAAGTTTTTCTTTACCTTTTTCTTTGGCATTTCTGACTTAAGCCAGTGAGAATTCTTCCTCATTCTTTTTTACTCATTGCTTGAATTTGTGTTATGAGAATTTTTTTCCTCCAACTTGGATGATCTTTCAATTTTTTCCAGTTGTCTATACATGTAGATAACTGAAAACAGCAAAGCTCTTAGTGATTCTGTTCCATGTCTATCTGTTCCCCACCTCCATTTCCTACCACACACCCCAGCATTCCCCTAGTACATCACTAAACTATCAACAGAACCTAAAATAGACTAGTTTGTTTTAACTGTATTTTTCTTTCCAGTCCTCTTAAAATGTGCAGCAAAATGTCCCCAAAGGCAAGCAGCTAAGAGAATGAAGAGGAGGTATTCTCCCATCACAGTTACTCAGTCCCAGAAGTATTGATTGGAAGGCACTGAATTTTCAAAATGACTTCCAGATTTAGTACATGGTAATAATTTGAGGCTTTCCCACACGGATAATTTAAATGTTCAGAAAATAAGTTATGTTATAGCTGAATGGGCAGCAAATTAGACAGAATTTTAACTTACAAGATGCATAGCAATAGTGAAGATTAATGTGAAATACTAGTAAAGAGCCACTGGTAGGGAAGAGAAGACAGCGATATGCTTTCAATGAAACCGTCAATTTATAATAATATGTATATTGAAAAGGGAGAGTGGATCAGATCCTGTTAGGTTTGGTACGTTAAAGAAAGAATTAGGATACCGCAGGCTCAGTAATTAAAGGAATCTGCCCATAATTGGGGGGTAAAAGGTGTCTTGTAGGCAGGGAATAGCAAGATTTTGCTTGAATGTACACCTTAGAGTTGGGAGTAACAATACTTGGAATGATTATAGAAGACCTCTCGACAGGTTTCTGAGACTAGAGGATTTTGTTTGGTGCATAATAGGAGATGAGAGCAAGCCAGTAGTATTTGGTTGTTGTTGAATCTTACAGAAATCTTGCATTTGGTTATTGGGTCTAGCTGTTGAAGCCAGCTGTTTGGATGTAACATAGTGGAAGCAGGTGCTTCTGCAGATGTGGCTCTCTCTAGTTGTCTGGCTGTAATATATCATTCATTCTCATACACTCATTTCTCATATAAAATCCTTATAACTATTAGCAGTCTAAGCCTGCAGACATTGCTGAAGCTGGTTCCCTTTGATATTGTTTTCTTTGTAACAGTTTCCTGTTTGGTAGATAAAATAACAAGCTCACACTATTAGGTTTGTGCCTTCACCTCCCTGGCAAAGTAACATGCTAGAAAGGTTACTAAACATTAGTGGTTCAAAATGAGAAGTCTGTACATTTTATCTGCTTATAGGCGAATTTAAACTCAACTGGTTTAAATTCATTGCTTAGCCTGTTGCATGCTCCATTGAAAACACAAACAAAAAACTCCATGATTCTTCTAGCCATGATTCTTCTAGAGTTTGTTATCCAGTCATTCCAGTGCCAGAATCCATCAGGCAGAACAGAATCATTCGCATTTCTCCTCTGCACTGGAGAGAAGAGGAAGGCTGATCATGGAAAAGGACCTGGTGAAGGTTTTTTGCAAATCTAAGGATCTTTTTTCTGTCTTTTATTTTTGCAAACCTAAGGATCTTCCTTCTGGATAATTCCCAGAGACGTCAACTTTGCTGAATCTCAGTTGTTGGGATTTTTAGCAACCTGTTCCCACTCTCCTAAGAAAAAAATCTTAATAGTGACCAGT
This sequence comes from Homo sapiens, assembly GCF_000001405.40. Classification (NCBI taxonomy): domain Eukaryota; kingdom Metazoa; phylum Chordata; class Mammalia; order Primates; family Hominidae; genus Homo; species Homo sapiens. The sequence goes on along the minus strand of NC_000011.10, from coordinate 116,901,862 downwards.
GTGTGCAGACTTTAATTTGTAAGTGAAAGTTACGGTGTTTCAAAAGTTGCAGGTTAGTTGGTAGAGCATTAAATGCAGTTTTGTTCATAGTCAACATTAAGTGCCCACTGTGTTAAACACTGTTAGATACTGTGAAAGAGAGAAGAATAAGGTAAGGAACTAGAGAGAGAGGGTAGATCTTTACAAGAGAGGATGTTTTTCAGGAGCTAGAAGAATACATTATTTATGTATTCAAATAATAAAGGGAAAGAAAGTACAGACAGAGTAGATAGGGGACATTTCTTGTAGGGGATCCAGGAGGACTTCACAGAAGAAGTATTATTTATTTCCATTAATGAATGAGAGTATTCATCTTCTCATAGAAGAAGCTATAATGATTCTATTTGTGGTCCTGACTGCCACACCCCTTATGATCATTAAGTTAATTTTAGAACCTTGGGAGGGACAGCTAGGAGGCAGAGGCTCTCGTTGCTGGCCAGCTGCCATTGTCAGTTTGAGAAGTCTCCAGTAGTCAGGAGGTGACAAGAGGATTGGCCCAGTTATTTTATTGCAGTTTAATTTCGTGACCCTTTCTTGAGTCTCTGCTATGTATTAGAACCACTGTGTAGAGACTAGGATAAATAAAACGGTATCTCCTCCATTTACTAATTAATGGAGGGTATAAACACACAATACAATTAAGTATAATATAAGGCAGAGGCTGGGCGCAGTGGCTTACGCCTGTAATCCCAGCACTTTGGGAGGCCGAGGTGGGCTGATCACCTGATGTCGGGAGTTCGAGACCAGCCTGACCAACATGGAGAAACCCCGTCTCTACTAAAAATACAAAAATTAGCCAGGCATGGTGATGCATGCCTGTAATCCCAGCTACCTGGGAGGCTGAGGCAGGAGAATCTCTTGAACCTGGGAGGTGGAGGTTGCGGTGAGCCAAGATCGCACCACTGCACTCCAGCCTAGGCAACAAGAGTGAAACTCTGTCTCAAAAAAAAAAAAAAAATAAATAATATATATGTATATGTATATGACAGAACAGTAATGGGATGTAGAGGCGTAAACAAAAGGCTGTGGAAGCACGGAGGAGGAAGCCATTGACATGGTGTTTTCTGGTGGAAATCAGTTAAGCCTTCATACAGGAAGTAATATTTGACTGGGCCTTGAAAATGAGTGATACTTTAAAGATGGAAAAGAAAGGAAAAGGCATGGTACAGAGAGGAAATAGCATGTGGAAGGCATGTAAACACAGGATGTGAATAGTCTAGTGATGCTAGCATGGCCAGGGATAAATTGGAAACATAGGATGGAGCTGGGTTGTGAAGGGCCTTAAATGACAATGCTGAGATGAAGACTCTTCTGTAAGTAGAAGGGAGGCAGCCCATGTTTTTTGAGCGAGGAGGTAACAGGATCTGGTTTGTGTAACTTTGTGCTATGAATGGATAGCTTAGGGGAAAATGAAATAGGAAGTAAGCAATAGCATCAGTCAAGCTAGGGATGATAAGAGTATGAACTGCAGTGGTAGAAATGGAAATAGAAAAGAGGAGGTGGAGTCAAGACACATGGAGTTGAAGCAGTAAGAGTTTTATTACCAGGTTGAAATGGGAAACGAGGGAGAAAGGACTTGAAGATGACTCCAGTGTTTCTAGTAACACAGGTGGTGATGTCACTAATGAGGGTAAAAGCACTGAAAGCGCAGGTATGACTTTGGAAAATGGTGGGTTTGAGGTGTTTCTTCCCAAGCAAGTATTGGGGATTCATGCCAAGAACTTAAGAGTGGTACCAGGGCCAGACATATAAATTTGGGGTATTTATATCAAATGCTGGTAGAAGTAGCGAGATTAAAAGAGTTAGCCCTGAGAAAACATAGAGCAAGGAGAGGCAGTTAAAATCAGCAGAGCCTGCTGAAAAACACCTTCTGTAGAAGGTAGAAAGAAGGAAAGCAAATAGCAAAAGGAGAGTTGTCAACAAGAGTAAAACTGGAAAAGAGAGGGACGGGTTTCAGAGAGTAGGTGGGTGCTTAACATTTTCAGATGCTGTGATTTCAGGGAGCATGGTGTCCCTGGGGCATGAGGGATTTCTAGCCTGTCACATGGGTACACATACATAAATAAAAGCATTTCTACACCAGAGACTCAATCCTTTGGCCAGCCATCCTTGCTCATTGTCTTAGTGTAGCTCCTGAAGACTCATCCCTGCTACCTCCCATCTGCTGCGTCTTGTAGCAGTAGGAGAGGGAGAGAAGAAGGGAGGAAAATTGAAGCACAAGGAGAGTTAAAATTAAAATGTAAGCATTCTTGCTTCAGTTTGTAAATAAGTTGCATATTCTTCCTTTTGAATAAACTACTTAATTATAATAATGTCACTTTGTCTAATTTTTAAATGGTCATAGATGTGTTTGTCATAAGAAGTAAATATAACATAAAAATTCTGGGTCCAAGCCAAAAGAACAAAGCTGGAGGCATCACACTACCTGACTTCGAACTATACTACAAGGCTACAGTAACCAAAACAGCATGGTACTGGTACCAAAACAGAGATATAGATCAATGGAACAGAACAGAGCCCTCAGAAATAACGCTGCATATCTACAACTATCTGATCTTTGACAAACCTGAGAAAAACAAGCAATGGGGAAAGGATTCCCTATTTAATAAATGGTGCTGGGAAAACTGGCTAGCCATATGTAGAAAGCTGAAACTGGATCCCTTCCTTACACCTTACACAAAAATCAATTCACGATGGATTAAAGACCTAAACCTTAGACCTAAAACCATAAAAACCCTAGAAGAAAACCTAGGCATTACCATTCAGGACATAGGCATGGGCAAGGACTTCATGTCTAAAACACCAAAAGCAATGGCAACAAAAGCCAAAATTGACAAGTGGGATCTAATTAAACTAAAGAGCTTCTGCACAGCAAAAGAAACTACCATGAGAGTGAACAGGCAACCTACAAAATGGGAGAAAATTTTCGCAACCTACTCATCTGACAAAGGGCTAATATCCAGAATCTACAATGAACTCAAACAAATTTACAAGAAAAAAACAACACCATCAAAAAGTGGGCAAAGGACATGAACAGACACTTCTCAAAAGAAGACATTTATGCAGCCAAAAAACACATGAAAAAATGCTCACCATCACTGGCCATCAGAGAAATGCAAATCAAAACCACAATGAGATACCATCTCACACCAGTTAGAATGGCAATCATTAAAAAGTCAGGAAACAACAGGTGCTGGAGAGGATGTGGAGAAATAGGAACACTTTTACACTGTTGGTGGGACTGTAAACTAGTTCCACCATTGTGGAAGTCAGTGTGGTGATTCCTCAGGGATCTAGAACTAGAAATACCATTTGACCCAGCCATCCCATTACTGGGTATATACCCAAAGGACTATAAATCATGTTGCTATAAAGACACATGCACACGTATGTTTATTGCGGCACTATTCACAATAGCAAAGACTTGGAACCAACCCAAATGTCCAACAATGATAGACTGGATTAAGAAAATGTGTCACATATACACCATGGAATACTATGCAGCCATAGAAAATGATGAGTTCATGTCCTTTGTAGGGACATGGATGAAATTGGAAATCATCATTCTCAGTAAACTATCGCAAGAACAAAAAACCAAACATCGCATGTTCTCACTCATAGGTGGGAATTGAACAATGAGAACACATGGACACAGGAAGGGGAACATCACACTCTGGGGACTGTTGTGGGGTGGGGGGACGGGGGAGGGATAGCATTGGGAGATATACCTAATGCTAGATGACGAGTTAGTGGGTGCAGCGCACCAGCATGGCACATGTATACATATGTAACTAACCTGCACATTGTGCACATGTACCCTAAAACTTAAAGTATAATAAAAAAAAAAATTCTGGGTCCAGCTGAGTAGGCTTACATGTGTTTCCTGATTCTAATGTGGTCTTAACATCATCCAGTTTCATTTGCATTCTTTTTTTTTTTTGGAGACGGAGTCTTGCTCTGTCGCCCAGGCTGGAGTGCAGTGGCGCCATCTTGGCTCCCTGTAATCTCTGCCTCCCAGGTTCAAGCAATTCCCCTGCCTCAGCCTCCCGAGTACCTGGGACTACAGGCGCACGCCACCACGCCCGGCTAATTTTTTGTATGTTGGTGGAGAGGAGGTTTCAACATGTTGGTCAGAATGATCTCCTGACCTCGTGATCCGCCCACCTCGGCCTCACAAAGTGATGGGATTACAGGCATGAGCCACTGCCCCCAGGCCCATTTGCATTCTTAAAGGAACAAGTACCACTCGCTTTATTCTGCCTAGGTTTATGAAGGGAGCAGTACTATTTTTGCTGACATAAACTGATCATGTTTATATTTCAGCTCATCTATATCTCTGTTTCACTATTATTGTTTTAAGTGTCTGGCTATGTGGTTTCTAAATGTTCTCTTTTTGCATTTAATATTCAGACAATGATTTGGAATCTTTAGTGACTAGAGACTAGTGTTTGCTCAGTTATAATAAAAGGTTACAATAATACGAATTATGTCCATTTGCCTTTCTAGATTTTGGTTTCAGTAACCTCTTCACTCCTGGGCAGCTGCTGAAGACCTGGTGTGGCAGCCCTCCCTATGCTGCACCTGAACTCTTTGAAGGAAAAGAATATGATGGGCCCAAAGTGGACATCTGGGTAAGTAACTGCCTTCTCTTATACCCCACAGCATTAGCTACCCTTGGTTGATGACAGCTATTCGCATCCTGAAGGATACATAATGATGCAACATGAATTGAGATCCTGGTCACCTGTTCTTTCAAGTCCCAATTCCTGTGCAAAGCCTTTTTTTTTTTTTTTTTTTGAAACAGAGTCTCACTCTGTCGCCCAGGCTGGAGAGCAGCAGGATGATCTTGGCACACTGCAACCTCCACCTCCCAGGTTCAAGTGATTCTCCTGCCTCAGCCTCACAAGTAGTTGGGATTACAGGCACAAGCCACCACACTTGGCTAATTTTTTGTATTTTTAATAGAGACAGGGTTTCACCATGTTGGCCAGGCTGGTCTCAAACTCCTGACCTCAGGTGATCCTCCCGCCTTGGCCTCCCAAAATGCTGGGATTATAGGCATGAGCCACTGCACCCGGCCTACTCGTGCAAAATCTTTCCTCCAATACTTACCTTGTGGACTGAGCCACATATTTCAAATTTCCCCTTTGCATTTGCAAAAGAAGCCCAAGGGCCAGCTTGGATGGGGGCCGTTGCCAAGAAGAGAGATTATTTCTACTGTGGCCACTTACCTTATCCCCAGAGAATGAGTACTGAGAAAAATTCAGGATGTTACCCTAAATTAATGCCTAGAAGCAAAGAAGATTGTTAACTGTTCTAAGATGGAAGAAAAAGTTTGTTCCATAATCGTATGCATGACTCACCATCATCTGCATACACACACTACAGTAGTCTTTTTTGTTTCCCCTGATGTGATTAATTGTACATCCTCTCTGTTTGGGATGCAGAGCCTTGGAGTTGTCCTCTACGTGCTTGTGTGCGGTGCCCTGCCATTTGATGGAAGCACACTGCAGAATCTGCGGGCCCGCGTGCTGAGTGGAAAGTTCCGCATCCCATTTTTTATGTCCACAGGTAAGGGAGTCGCTAGCACACAGCTATGAATGGGTTCATGAAAGTTAGACCCACTCAGTTATCCCAGGAATTTAGTGATGGAGTATAAATGGCCCACTTACAACCTTTTTTAACTCCAGCTTGCTGACCTGATGCCTCCAGGAGGCAAGGTTCTGTAGAAACAGTATATAGGTTTTGGCATCAGAGAGCCCTACTTGGGTTTGAATCTGGGCCCTAAGTCTGTCTCAGCTTTAGTGTCCTCATCTATAAATTGGCTGAGAGTTTTGTGAGGGCTGCTATTACTGTAAGGATTAAATGAGATAATGTATGTGAAGACTCAGTAGGCCCATGGCATAGCAGTAATGCAATAAATGCTTTTGTTTCACTTCTGTCTTCCTACCCTTTTTCAGGATATTTCCACTTATTGGGTTCTCATTGCAATGTGGTTTTAAATGCCAAGGATAAAGTAGGCTTTGCATCTTAGTCTTGCTACTGCTTCATTTCCTATTTCTGTGCTCTTTGTCCTCCAGAATCAAATTTAAAAAATTTTATTTAACGAGTGGGCAGTAAGGTAGGCAGGTCTTGGAAAAATTTAACACCGAAAATAGATACAAGATACTCAGAATTAACAGTATTTTATCACCATTTATTTGCACATAAGAAGGGAACATTTTAGAGAACGCAAAAAGTCATATAGTTTTGCTTAATCATCTGTTTTCATTTTAAGGAAGAACATGTGTCCACTGGGTTGACAACAAGGTAGAAGCCCATGGTAATTGCATTTTAGAACAAAGAGGTGAACCTTGGAGTAGATTTAACTTGGCTCCTTTGAACTGATAACGTCATAGTGTAGAAGATAGTGCTAAATGCTGTGGGACAAATAAAATAGAGAAGGAGTTAGGATAGTGGTTGGTAAGTTACATGAAAACCCCTTCATGGAGAAAGGGACCTTTCAGCAAAGCCTGAAAGAAGGTGAGGGTGAATGCTGTGCAGTCCGGGGAAGAGCACCCCCTGGCTGTTGAGGGGTCAGCGCAGAGGCCGCGGGGATGGAGCATGGCTGCATGTGAAGGAACGGGAAGGAGGCCTGCGTGCCTGGAAGGAAGGAGCGGTGAGAGATGAGGAAGAGAGATGAGGTCAGAGAGGTAAGAGGGAGCTTAATTTTAGGGCCTAGTTAATGTAAAGACTTTAGATTTTACTGTGACTGAAGTATACAGGATTGGAGGGTTTTGACAGGAGTGATGTAATCTGAGTTTTATTTTTTCCAAATTTTATGATGAAAAATTTCAAACATACAAAAAAATTGAAAAATTTTGCAGTGACTTTTGTTTAAAAAAGATCACTTTGGCTGCTATGTTGCCGGTAGGCTAAAAGGTACAAAGGCTGAAGGAGGGACACCAGTTAGGAGGAGACTTTTACAATAGTCCAGATAAGAGATGTTGGTGGCTGGTTCCCAGTCTGGGGTGTCGAGATGGAGATGGTAAGAAGTGATCAGATTCAAGAGATGCTACCTACCATGTGTGGCAGGCACTGTTCAAAGCACTTCACAAACATTAACTCACTTCATTATTTTAACAACCCTATGAGATACACAAGATTATTGTCTCCATTTTACTGGTGATAAAACTGAAGCCAGGAGAGATTAGGCAATTTTCCCAAGATAACACTGCTACCAAGTGGCTGAAGTAGAATTTGAACCCAGGTATTTTGGCTCCAATAACATTTAGTGTTGGATTTGATATGAAAGAAAGACTCCAGAGTTTCTATCCTGAGCAAATGGAAGGATGGTTTTACTGCCAACTGAGATGGGGATGACTGGGGAAGAATACTTACATTTTGGAGAGATGTTTTAGACATGTCATGTTTGAGGTGCACATTAGACATCAGAGTTAAGATATGAATTGGCAGTCGCATTTAGGAGAGAATTCTGGGTTGGGGATGTATGTTTGGAATCCCCAGTGTATAGATAATAGTTAAAGCCATGAGGTGAGCTCACTTTTTAGGCAGTGGTTACAGAGAAGAGAAGAGGTCCATGAATTAAACTCTGGAACATACCGCTATTTAGAGAACAAGCAGGTGAAGAGGTATCATAAGAGTTGCTGGTGAGGTAAGCCAGAGGGCCTGCTGTCCTAGGAGACAAGTGAAGAGACTGTTCCCAGGAGGAGGGAGGAGGGAGTGAGGAGCTGTGGGGAGTGAATGCTGCTGCCAAGTCAGGTAAGAGGACTGAGAACTGAATGTTGCATTTAGAAATGTGGAGATCGTTAATGATTTTGTTTCTTTTTTATCCCCCCACACCCTCACCTTCCTAGATCATTAATGATTCTGAAGTACACTTTTGGCAGAGGAACAGGAGCAAAAGCTTAATCATGTGGTTGCAACAAAAAAGGAATAGAAGGAAAATAGACGACACGCTCTTTCCAGTTTACTATAAAAGGAAGCAGAGAAGTGGTCCAGTATTGCTCTGGCCAGGGTCACCAGTGATCTCGTTATTGATCAACTGCATATCCTTAGTCTTTTTCTTAATCACTGCCCAGCAGTGATTAACACTTCACCCTTGCCCTCCCTCCCTCTCTCCTTTCCTCCCTTCCTCCCTAACTCCCTTTTTTGGGACTGGGTCTTGCTCTGTTGCTCAGGTTGGAATGCAGTGGTGTGATCGTGGCTCACTGCAGCTGGACCTCCCAGGCTCAAGTGATCCTCCCTTAGCCTCCCAAATAGCTGGAGCTGCAGGCACACACCACTATGCCTGACTAATTTTTTTTTTTGGTAGAGATGGGGTTTTGCCATGTTGTCCAGGCTGATCTCAAACTCTTGAGTTCAGGCGATCTGCCTGCCTTGGCCTCCCAAAGTGCTGGGACTATTGGTGTGAGCTACTGTGCCCTGTCTCTTTAGAGTTATATGTTAGAGCAGCTTTAGATTCACAGCAGTATTGAGTGGAAGGTACACAGTTTGCATGTACCCTCTGTGCTGTCCTGCCTCCCTCCCCTGCTGACCCCTGTCATAATCAATGTGCCCCACCAGAGTGGTATGTTTGTTACAATCAATGAACATGCATTGACACATTATCACCCAAAGTCCATAGCTTACATTTGGGTTTTCTCTCAGTGTTACACATTCTGTGGGTTTTGGTAAATGTATAGTGACATGTATTCACCACTATAATACATATAAAATTGTTTCACTGCCCCCAAATCCTCTGTGCTCTGCCTGTTTATCCATTTCTCCCTAACCCCCTGCAACTACTGATCCTTTCACTGTCTCCACAAGTTTTTCCTTTTCCAGAATGTCATATGGGTAGAAACATACAGGATGCAGCCTTTTCAGATTGGTGTTTTTCAAATAGTAATATGCAATAAGGTTCCTCCATGTCTCTTCATGGCTTGAGAGCCCGTTTCTTTTTAGCACTGAATAATATTTCCTTGCCTGGATGTACCACCCTTTATCCTTTCACCTACGGATGACTTGGTTGCTTCCAAATTTTGACAATTATGAATAAAGCTACTGTAACATCTTTGTGCAGGTTTTTGTGTGGACATAAATTTTTAATTCATTTGGTTAAACACTAAGGAGCACAATTCCTGGATCATATGGTAAGAGCATGGATAGTTTTGTAGGAAACTGCCAAACTGTCTTCCAAAGTGGCTATGCTATTTTGCATTCCTGCCAGCAATGAGTGAGAGCTTCTGCTGCGCCACATCCTTGTCAGCATTTGGTGGTGTCAGCATTTTGGATTTTGGCCACTCTAATAGGTATATAGTGATATTTCATTGTTGTTTTAATTTTTAATTCTCTAATGATGTATGAGGATGAGCATCTTTTCTTATGCTTATTTGCCATCTATATATCTTTGTTGAGGTGTCTCTTCAGGTCTATTGGTCGTTTTTAACTTCAGGTTGTTTTATTTTCTTATTGTTGAGTCACTCATTACATTTTAAAACACTTTTTCTCATTGCTTCTGAGACGCCATATTCTCCAGTTTTCCTCCTGTCCTCTGGAAGCACCTTCTCCATCTTCTCTACCAGACTTATTTTTCTCTGCTCATCCTTTAGATCTTTTCATCTTTACAACATCTTTCTGGAGCCATGTTATTTACTGCTGTAGCTTCACTGATCACTGTGGTGATCAGTCCTCAGTTAACTTTTTGTCCCAGACCTCTCGATCTAGGGCGACATATCCAAGTATTTGCTAACCATTATCTTCACTTTCATGTATTGAAGTCAGATCAATGGAGACATATTCAGAAATGAACTTGACTTCCCCCTCCCTAGATTTGCTCTATTCTGTATTTGCTGCCTTAGTGAATAGCATCACCATCTGACCAAGGCCAGCACAAGCCTTGATGTTTCCTCTCTCACCAGTGCCACAGCTGATCAGTTACCAAATCCTGTCAATTCAACCCTCCATTCATGTAGGCACTTCTAAGACCATACTATCATCTTCCCTTGCCTCAATTAAACAATAGCCAATTATATGGATTCCTGGCTCCAGTCTTGTCCCCCTCTAATCTATTGTCAACTTTGCTACATGACTAATCTTTCCAGAACACAAACATATAAATAAATAAAACATACCACACACACACATACACGTACATTTTCTCTCTCTTTCTCTCTCTCTTACTTAAACACACAAATCTGATTATATCATTTTCTAGCCTGAAACTTTTCAGTGGTTTACCATTGCCTCTAAGGTAAAGTTTACTCCATAAGGTGGCAAAGCATTGGCTTACAAACATTTTTGGCTATGATAAGAAAAAAGTACATTTTATACTGTGACCCAGAACACGCATATATAGATACAAATGAACAAAAGCTTTGTTTGCTTGATTTAGAGATGGGGTCTTGCTATTTTGTCCAGACTGAACTCGAACTCCTGGGTTCAAGTGACCCTCCTGCCTCAGTCTCCCAAGTAGCTGAGACTAGAGGCGTATACCACCATGACTGAAAACAAAAGACTTTTTTTTGAGACGGAGTCTCGCTCTGTCACCCAGGCTGGAGTGCAGTGATGTGATCATAGCTTCCTGCAATCTCCAGTTCCTGGGCTCAGGCAGTCCTCCCACCTCAGCCTCCCAAGTAGCTGGGACTACAGGCAAGCACCAAGCACCATCATGCCCGTCTAATTTTTAAACATTTTTTTATAGAGATGGACTCTCTCTCTGTTGACCAAGCTGGTCTTGAATTCCTAACCTTAAGCGATCCTCCCTCCTTGACCTCCATGAGCCACTGCGCCCAGCCAGCAAACAATTTTTTTAAAAAAGCAAAACTTACCTTACTATGTACAGTGCATTTCAATATATTTTATTCTATTCCATTTTAAAAAATGCTGATTTCGACTTACTAAATTGATCTCCTATCTGCTATTTCAGAAACAATGACATAGAAATACCTTTATAACCTGACTCCTGCCTAGCTCTTCAGCCCCAGCTCCCACTCTCCCACCAGTCACCCTAATTTTCTTCTCGTTCCCTGAACAAGTTCTGTTTTCTGGAGCATTTCCCACTGCCGAGAATACATCTTCCCTATCCCACCCCACTCCACCCACTCCTGTATTCTAGAATTCAGAATAAAAAAAATTAGATTGGATAGAAATAAGAATCTAGATAATTTCTATTCACTCTTCATGTCTCTAAACTTTCTCTTATCGTGGTGCTTACCAAGCTTTATATTGTAACTACTTCTTTCATTGTATGTCTTCCACACCAGACTGAACTTAGTGAAAGTACAGACGAAACATGTCTTTTTCACAACTGTCAATAACCTACCACAGGATCTGGTGTGTAGTAGGACTTAGTAAATATGAAATCTGAATCAGAACCACCCCATCCCCAGTGGCATTTGTTTACATTCAGAATAAAATTCAAGGAGTCATTATTACTATGGCCTACAAGGCACAGCTGTCATTGCCCCTTCTTTGGTCTCATTTCCTGTTACTGTTCACCTCCGGTTCTGAGCTCCAGTCACAGGGCCTTCCTTGCTGTTTCTCAGACTTGCCAAACACATACATTCCCCTCAGAGAGGAGTCATAGGTCCCCTCAGAGAGGCCTGTCCTGGCTACCCCCATCATTCTCTTTCTGTAATTCTGCTTTTTCTTCATAGCACTTACTTTATTGTCTCCTCACCTCCTATCACCACTTGACCATAATAAGCATTTGGTTTTTGTTTACTGTTATGTTCCCAGGGCTTTGGACGGTGCCTGAGTTCTAGTAGGCACTCAGTAAATATTTGTTGAATGAATTAATGCATAGGGTTGTTCGAACACTGACTCCAAAAGCCCCTCTGGAGAGTAGTCTTATCCAAATCATAATATCAGTAGTAATATCAAATAATTACATTTGTTTAGGGCTTTTGAGTTTATAAAATAATTTCTTTTTTAATAGGTTTATTTTTTGAGACAGGATCTCTGTCGCCCAGGCTGGAGTGCAGTGGCGTGATCTTGGCTCACTGCAGCCTCCGCCTCCTGGGCCCAAGCCATCCTCCCACCTCAGCCTCCTGAGTAGCTTGGTCTACAGGCGCACGCCACCACGCCCACCTAATTTTTGTATTTTTTTGTAGAGATGGGATCTTATTATGTTGCCCAGGCTGGTCTTGAACTCCTGGACTCAAGCAGTCCGCCCACCACGGCCTCCCAAAGTTTTGGGATTACAGGTGTGAGCCACTGCACCCAGCCAATATATTTTTTAAAAATATTTCAATTTTTCAGTTTTTATATTTTTGGCGACAGGGTCTTGCTCTGTCACCTAAGCTAGAGCCTAGTGGTATGACCATAGCTCACTGTAGCCTCAAACTCCTGGGTTCAAACAACCCTCCTACCTCAGGCTCCAAAGTAGCTAGGACTATAGGCCTGTGCCACCATTCCAAGCTAATTTTTTAAAAGATTTTTTGTAGAGATGAGTCTCACTACATTGCCCAGTCTGGTCTTGAACTCTTGGCCTCAAGCAATCCTCCCACCTTGGCCTCCCAGAGTGCTGGGATTATGGGCAGAAGCCAGCATACGCAACCTAAATTATTTTCTTTTACTTAATCTAATTTGAGCTACATAACTATATTTTAGAATAGGTAATAGCACATATTTTATCATCTTGCTGATGAAGTTTTGGAAGCTGAAGTTTAGAGAAATGAGTTAACTTGCCAAAGCCACACAGGTAATAAGTAACTAGGTCAGTATTCAAATTTAGTGTTTGTTTTACTACACCATACTGTTGCAAAAAGAGCAAGATAAACCACTTCCTTTACTTTTCCAATGTCCACAGTGTTTCCTGTGAGCAACTTGGATCTTTTCTATCCTCCACCCCCATCACCTCACACCATGGCAAGAGATTCTTACTGAACCCTTCCCGGAGCCGGCTTCAGATAGGGGGTCCTAGAAAACAGCTAAGCATGCTGTCAGCCACACTGTCTATTAGTGCTTAGAAATAAACTAACAGTCTAACTGCTTAGAACTATTATTTGTAATATGATGTTAGTTAACCTGAAAGCTTCAAGACTCAGAGAAAGCCAACAGGATTATCCTAAACGTAGTCGCTCTTTAATCCCAGTTAAATAATTCCCTAAGTAGCAATACAAGTTTTTGTATGATTAGTACAGAGAATGAGAAACAACCAGGGTAGGAAGTCAGTAGATACTTGCTATATTACCAATATGATCTCTCTGGCCCTTGGTAATATACATGTGCTTGGCATTGCTGAATGTCATAGGCCTAAATCCCAAGGCCCATTAGAGAATACTTCAAAAGGATAAGGCATAGCAGAAAATGAATTCATCGGTTATTTAGGCTTTTCTTAGCTTAGACAACCTTCAAGTACCAGAAAGTGTCAGGTGAAGGAAGTTTAGAGTCTGTCCCAGAGTCCTTTTTCTGCTTACGCCTCGTGTTTCTGGGCACAGTTGTATCTCAGTAGACCTGGAGCATAGTCTTCTGATGGAGGCGAGTGCTGGCTGCTTTTCAGCCTGTGAGGCCAGCTGCTATTGCTGTATTACGGGAGATAGCGTGATTGAGAGAATTCCTTATGCACAAGATCCTTCCTTTTCTCAGCTGTTGTCATAGGCTTGAGCTGAGTTTATCTGTTTTTCTTCCTGAAGGGTCTAGAAACTCCAGCAGAGCTGGTATAGTGTTCTAAATGATCACTTGGAAGACCAGAGGGCAAAGCCTCTACCATGTAGCTGCTTCTAGCCAAGTTGAATTCCAGAGTAGCTACATACAGCTGTGTGGGAGGCCATGCTCTGCAAATGGATATAGTTAGCTCAAGAATTCTAAGCTGCTCTCTATTGTCAGTAATGTGTGGAATGAAGTATCCTCACAATTCATGTATATTTCTATGCCTGGTGTTGTTTGTTTGACACAAGTTTCCTTTCATAGGCATCCTGAGATGTACTAAAGACATATATTTTCAAGTTGGAATGACAGTGGCATACATTTAAAAGAGGATTTATTTGAGGCTAGGTTGATTGTATACCACCTAGTTTTTATAATTATGTATGTGTCTTCCTCCTCTCCCCACTAGAATGTAAGCCTCTTGATTATCAGAGCTGTGTTTTACACTCAATACCTTCCATAAAACCTGACAGCCCCTGGTAAGACATAAGCATTCAGTAAGTGTTTTTGAATGAAAAACTGAGTCATCACTACTTAACTATGGAATCTTATATCAGACTCTTGTTTTTTTTTTTTTTTGGGAGACAGATTTTGCCGCCCAGGCTGGAGTGCAGTGGTGCGACCTCAGCTCACGGCAACTTCCGCCTCCTGGGTTCAAGTGATTCTCTTGCCTCAGCCTCCTGGGTGGCTGGGACTACAGGTGCGTGCCACCACACCCAGCTAATTTTTGTATTTTTAGTGGAGACGGGGTCTCGTCATGTTGGCCAGGCTGGTCTTGAACTCCTGGCCTCAAGTGATCTGCCCGCCTCGGCTTCCCAAAGTGCTGGGATTACAGACGTGAGCCACCGTGCCCTGCCAGACTCTTGTATTATATTATTAACATGATCTAAATTATTTATTCATCAAACCACTTGGTTTTATATACTTTTTTTTTTTTTTTTTTTTTAGTGTAGAGACAAGATTTTCATCATGTTGCCCAGGCTGGTCTTGAACTCCTAGGTTCAAGCAATCCGCCTGGCTCTGCCTCCCAAAATGCTGGGATCATAGGCGTGAGCCATCACGCCCAGCCATGGTTTTATGTAGTTTTGTTATATGAGTTATTGTGAAGGTGACCAAGTCAAATGACTTTTAGGTGTAAAAGGGTGTTTTGATCTACTGTAGAGTTTGCTTCCTATTCCTTAAGTAAAATAAGTTTGATCCAGGCCAGTGTTTTTGGATTAAACTTCTCAGAGCATCCCAAAGAGCAGTTTGATAAAACCCTGAGTCTAAATTATAGAAGGATTAAAAGTTGAAACTTGCTGTTTTCTTGAGCTGTTGTGGAAGGTGAAACCTGGCCTGGCTTCATGTGTTGGCAAATATTTCCTCTGATCTGCCCTTCCACCGATGGATGCAAATAACTTAAATTTTTTGAGCACCAGATTCATTCAATATATTTTTTTAACAACATACTTAAAGCCTAGTTTACCCTATTCCCCTGTTGTACCACCTGCTAGCAGACATACTAAGATCGTTTATTTAACTGAAGGAAAATTAATTTACAGTGAAAAAACTGCAGCGTTAGTGAAGGCATAGAGATCTCTTGTGGACAATATTTTTGAGTCTTTATTGATTAGACTTCATTGTGACTTAATTAATTGTAATACTGCATGAGCATTTTATTACTGGGAACGCAAAACCCAGGCTTACATAATGCTTCTGATGGAGAATGTAACCTGCAGCTACTGCCAAAAAGCTTCTACTTAGAGGCAAACAACTCTGCCCTGATAGGCTTACTCATCAAGAACCACACAGCATCTTGCTTGGCTAAAAGCACTTTGTTTAGAACCAATGGGGCAAGGGATTAAATTGGCTCACCCACCAAGTCTCCATATACCGAGGGGCTCAGAGTCCTCAAAGCAGTTTTCTCATACCTTTTGAGACACACTGCACCGCCAGAGAGAAAAATCTATGTAGTGCTTTCATGTCAGTGAATGTAGAAATCACAGCTGATGTCAGAAAAGAGGTTAAGAACTACTTCAGAGTGAAACAGGCCAGCCGTGTTCATTCCCATGACCTAACATAACTAAAAACCAGTAGATAAATAGTGGTACTGCCCTATTTATTATTAGCCTTTTCAAACCAGCTGTCTCCTGGCTTATGGCAACCCTAAATAGAAAAATAAAAGAAGGACATTCCAAGTGGAAGGACTTCAGAGATATGGATAATAGTCAACATTTATTGACCACTTTCTATGTACCAGGCACTGTTGCATTACCTTATTTAATGTTCAGAACAACTGTCTGAGGTAAGCTGTTTTATGAGGTAAACTGTATGAGAGGTTATTTGATAAATAAGAAAACTGAGGCATGATAAGGTTAAGTAACATGCCCAAGATGCACATCTAGTAAGTGGCAAAGCTGAGATTTGAACCCAGGCAGTCTGGCTTCAGAGACCATCTAACCATATGTGTTTGTATTTTCATTCTCAATAAATACATAGTAAGTTAGTCCAAGAATCAAGAGAGTCATAGAATGGATATATTTGTCTGCATCGGGATTACTTACTGAAAAACGAGTAGCAGGAACTCTGTATTGGACCTGGAGGCAGAATTTTCTTAAACTGTAATGACTGATACTAGGAGTCAAAAGATACTAGAATGTAAACCACAAGATGGACAGCCTCCTGTAAAACAGTATAGCAAGCCAGGATCTTTTCAGGGTTGGGCTAGAGCTAAATCTTGGCATCCCTACCCTTTAGGCCAGGATTTCCTGATTTCTGAATTTTAATTCTGGCAGCATCATGCCCACCTAGAAAAACTGATCGAAAGTAAGGAAGTTCAAGAAATAGGTGTCATTTTTCTAATAAATGGATATACATGGGTCAAAACCTTTTCTTTGTGGTCTGTCTCGGGTTGATAAACTTGGTAAAACTGAAGAGAAAAGCCTCTCAGTGCATGTTTATTGATTCCTAAAGAAACTTTTCTTATGGGCTCCATCTCTTTGCGAAAGTGTTCCAGGCCATCTCCCTATGGCCTCTATGTTCAGTCACTGAAAGTGTCTCACAGAATTTAGAGATATAAAGAACTTTATTTCTATTCCAGGATATTCTGATTACAATAATTTGCAGAAACCACTAGGGTTGGAATTTATAGTTAAATGGATAATTCTCCACCTTCTTTTCTGATATCTTACTGTTGGAATATCATTTTTGAAATTTTACTGAAGTGTGGGACTTCCATTTTTCTTCCCCCGAGCAACTGAAAATAAATGTTTCAAAACATGACAGTTTTTTCTTAGTGCCATTGTGTCAAGAGAAGCTAATCTCAATGCTTATTTTTTATGAGTCGGATCTTACTGCAGTCAGTGCTGTCATAGGTTAAGTTCCAAGGTTGTGTATTTTCTTTGTTTGTGTAAAACTGTGGCATTGACTACATCCTTGTCAGGCTTGGTGGCATGCACCTGTAATCCCAACAACTCAGGAGGCTGAGATGGGAAGATTGTTTGAGGCCGGGAGATCAAGGTGGCCAGCCTGGGCAACATAGCAAGACCCTGTCTCTAAAAAATAAAAATAAAAAAAATAGCCAGATGTCACTTTGGGAGGCCGAGATGGGCAGATCACGAGGTCAGGAGATCAAGACCATCCTGGCTAACACGGTGAAACCCCACCTCTACTAAAAATACAAAAAATTAGCTGGGCGTGGTGGCATGCACCTGTAGTCCCAGCAACTCAGGAGGCATATTATCGTTTATGAGGCAGGATAATCATTTGAACCCGGGAGGCGAGGTTGCAGTGAGCCGAGATCGCACTGCTACACTCCAGCCTGGGCGACAGAGCGAGACTCCATCAAAAAAAAAAAAAAAAAGCCAGATGTGGTGGTGTGTGCCTGTAGTCTCAGCTACTGGAGAAGCTGAGGCAGGAGGATCACTTGAGCCCAGGGGTTCGAGGCTACAGTGAGCTATGATTGCACCCAGCCTGGCCAACAGAATGAGACTCCATTTCAAAATAAAAATAAATAACTAGTCCTTTAACTTGGTATTTAGAAATGTTTATTTCTATTATAGCAGTAATATGTCAAAATTTAATGTATAGAATAAAAGCATTCCAATCCTTATAACACCATTGTTCTAGCAGTACCCAAAATAACAAAATTTCAGTGCAACAACAAAATCCCTGTATTTTGTATTATTATAGTTAACATTTATACAATCTCTGAATGTATCTATAGGTTAGCACATTTACTGTATGTTATTTATATATACAAATGTCATTTTTTTTTTTTAAGACAGAGTCTCACTCTGTCACCCAGGCTGGAATGCAGTGGCACAATCTCGGCTCACTGCAACCTCTGCCTCCCGGGTTCAAGTGATTCTCCTGCCTCAGCCTCCTGAGTAGCTGGAATTACAGGCACACGCCACCATGCCTGGCTAATTTTTGTATTTTTAGTAGAGACTGTGTTTCACCATGTTGGCCAGGCTGGTCTTGAACTCCTGGCCTCAAGTGATCTGCCTGTCTCGGGCTCCCAGAGTGCTGGGATTATAGGCGTGAGCCACCATGCCGGGCCCAAATGTCTTATTTTGAGGACCATTTGTCTATTTGTTTACATTTTTAAATAGTGACTATGTTAAATAAATAGGTTTGATCTTAGCTGGCAGTTGACATTGACAGTGTTTCTTGAGCGTATTAATAAAACATCATTTTTAGGGCTTAGTCCACAAGCAGAGTGAAGATTCCTAACTCTGGCTGGCTTCTTAGCAAAAGAAGGTATCTTGGCAGAAAACACCCCTGGTTTCTTATTGATTTACTTTTTAATTATTTCTGCAGGGATCATAGCACTGCAAGATAGTCACACTGTTCTGTCCATGTTATAACAAGATCAGGACATTATAACAGACTTTATTTTCTTTTCATGAGGAAAAACAGCATGTTTTGTGTGCAGTTTGTCTTTTAGGAAAAGGCAGGCAGCATTAAAGAGGTGCTCTGAGACAAACATTTTTTAAATCCAGAACATCTAAAATACAGGGATAGACTCTTATCAAAGCCATGTGGCTCCATCCTGAGATTGCTGTTGCAGGCCATCCATTGGTCTTGTTCTGTTTGCTATAATAGCATCACTTCTCCCCCAGGGCTGGTACCCGAGCTGGACAAAGTGAGTGGATAACAGCATCAAGCAGTGTATTGCATAGCATCCTTGTTCTGAAAACTTTAAGACTTTAATGTCATTTAACTTTTAAAAGGTTTTTGTCAAGTAATTCATTTTCCATAGAAACATGTTTCAGAGATTTAATCGCCAATTTATTTTTGTTTCCTTTTTAGATTTTGAAATTTAGAAAAAATAGAACCCTCTTTGAAGTGAGAATTGTGCCAGAAGCAATTCATTACTAAGAAGTAAACATTTTTAAGAAGTTTGTTTAAATTATTGAAAATATAGAACTCTTGGGCTGGGTGCTTTAGAATTACCTTTGAACACACCTACCATTGACTGGACCAAGTACATAAGAAACTAGATCATCCCCTTCTTCTGAGCACCTGTAAGCAGCATGCACTTTCTTGCCTGCAAGAAAGCCTTTCTGTGCCTTCTGGTACACAGATGTCTTCTGTTTCCACCAGCTCAAAGCAGCTTTATGTGGTCAGAAAGAATCCATGACTCAGTTTCTTCTATGCCATTGCTCACCACAGAGCTGGAAAGGATTGTTTTGCCATGTTCTGTTCTTTGGTGTCACATGCAGGGTTTCAGGGACAAATGGCTTTCCCTCCTTCATAGGATCAGCCTGAAGAGTCTGATGATCTGGTTCCTTAAATTTTTACCTATCTCCTCTTATCTTTGATCCTTGATTCGGGAAGCCTTCTGTTTCAAGCCTTCCATCATAGTCTTCATCACCTTGCAACAACTAGAGTATATAAATAAGTTTGCTCTACCACAGTGTATTTAATCCTCACCAGCAAAATTATGAATAAGACAACGCTCCCCATTTAGTGTTCTCATGTCCCTGCCTCATTAATCCATCCAACTTGCCGTCTCCCCTTAAAGCTAGTTCTTGGTCTTTGCACCATCTATTTGCCTGGCCCATTTTGTACTAACCTAGCTTGTGGGTGATTCTGTCATGATGGAACCTGTGAAGATGACATGGCATCTGATCTGCCAGAGGAGAGAATTGTTTTGGTTTGTTTTCATAACCCAGAATACCAATAATGTGTTTATTTTAGGTACCATGTAGGTTAAGAGCTCCCTGGAGTAAGACTGACCAGAATTTGTATTCTGCTTTGGCCTCTTATTATCTGATCAAGTTTCTCAACTTCTCTGATTTTAAATTCTCTTTGTCTATAAAATTGAGATAATAGTATTGGGTTGGTTTGTGAAGTAGATGCTTAAATTAACTTAAAGGGTTTAGCACTTTGCCTATCATGTAAATGGTCAATAAATGTTAGTAATGATTAAATAATATTGTTGAATGAATTGCTCTATTAGTCTTTCATTCTCTTCTTCCCTATTTTTTTTACTCTTTTCTATGTATCTTTCTCTCATTTTTGCTCTCTTGGTATGCCAAAGGGACATTACTATTTTCAGTCAAATCCACACGGCTTATGGAGAAGACTTATCTCCCAAGAATTGTTTTGGTTTGTTGTAACCACTTAGAGAAATTTGTTTTATTATCAAGGACAAAAAAAAAGAAAAAAAATGTTGCTTTCACAGATACGGACTCACACTGGCTATGTCAACTTAATTCTCATTTTAGGACCCTGCCCATACAGCAGCTCTCTCCCCACAAAGTCATCCAAATGCCTGGCAGCGCAGCAGGGCAAGGCCTGTGCTGAACATCCTCTAGTTAACGTTCTGTTGGCAGATCAGGTTTCCTGGGCCCACAGTGACTCTCACTGCGGAGACCGCTTGGCGTCTTGCATGGAGCAGATGAAAGCAGCTCTGAAGGGAAGCTGCTTCTCTGGCACACACAAGCAGAGGAGCATATTCTTGCATTGCCCAAAGTGGTTCAGTTTCATTTAGCATCAGAGGCCCTGCCTTTTGGGTGGGAGCAAATAATGGGGCCCTTTTATTTTTTATTTATTTATTTATTTTATTTATTTATTTTTTTAGAGACGGAGTCTCGCTCTGTCGCCCAGGCTGGAGTGCAGTGGTGCGATCTCGGCTCACTGCAAGCTCCGCCTCCCAGGTTCACGCCATTCTCCTACCTCAGCCTCCCGGGTAGCTGGGATTACAGGTGTGTACCACCACACCCAGCTAATTTTTGTATTTTTAGTAGAAACAGGGTTTTACCATGTTGGCCAGGCTGGTCTCGAACTCCTAGCCTCAAGCAATCTGCCCACCTCAGCTTCCCAAAGTGCTGGGATTACAGACGTGAGCCACCATGCCTGGCCAACAGGGACCTTTTAGACAATAAAATAGAGTAGTTCTTGGTATCTGGAAAAGTTGATGTTTTGTTTAATGTGAGGGCTCCATCTTTCCATGCTTGTAAATTGAATGTCCTGTGGGTGATTGTGTTCTTAGGTTTGAGAGCATCTATTCCCCTCGTTTTCACCCTGTTTCCATGTTTTATGTAGAATGGTGTCTTCAAATCTCATCTGAATTTAATTTCATGAACTACATGACACTTAGGAAATATGAATTGATGATGATACTCTAGCTTTCTGCATTTTGTCATATTTTCCATCTGCACCACATATGAAAAATGTTAAATTTCTGTTCCTTGGCACGTTCGATATTATGTAGGATAGTCAAGATTAAAAAGCTCTTGCCCTTGACACTGTAACCAAGAATTGTTTTGGTTCTTAATCTGGGGCCTGTAGACACCAGGGTCTGGGGGATCTATGCAGGCTTCATAGGACATCGTTGAGTAGTCTAAAGTTACATGCAAGGTCTTGTGTATAAATTCTTGTGCAGATTTTTTTTTTTTTTTGGAGAATTTTCAAGGCATCTGAGGCCAAATAATGGTTAAGGATGACTGAATAGAGGTTTCAAGATCCTGAAATTGAACTAGATATATCTTCTAATTAGGAATTATTATGGTACTGTTTTTGGTTTGGTTGTGTGTGTGGTGGTGTTGTTGTTATTGTTGTTTGCTTTTAAGGAAATTGCCTTGGAAAAAATCTGTTTTAAAGCAAGCCTGTAACTGAACACCATTCAGCTTTGGTCATCTTATGCACTAAATTGTGTGTGGAGACCAAAGGAAAACAGGAGAGTGCCATCTAGAGGCCTTAACAACAGTTTGGTCCTAGCCTTCTCCCTACACAGGAGTCTTTAACAACTTCCTAAATTAAGAACACTTTTGTCCTCTTAAGTAACTGCAAACGATAAACATATGTGTCAATGACATTTATAATCTATACAGGTGCTGCTACAGTTGTGGCTCTAGCCTTACTACTCTGGAAATGTAATTTTAATAAAGCGTACTGTTGTAGATGGCATTTACTTTATTCTATAGGAATGTAGAAGTCTTTGAGATGTACACTGCATTTGAATATAGTTTTAATTGTAAAGCAACAACAAATTGATGCCTGATGTAAGAAATCATTTTGATATAGGAACTTTGTTGTATTATCTTTTGAAGTTAGAGTAAATTAAAATAAGAGTAATTTATCTTAGTTACTTGTAGTATTCTTTTCACAACAGTAATATAGAATGGTGTTTGCCAAATGGTATAGAAATTGAAGAGTTGAATTCACCCTAGAAAAGTAGATCAATTTATATCCATGTGGAGATGTATAATAGGGTAGTCAAGAGCACAGCTTAGAAGTCCCAACTTTACCATTTCTTTGCCATGTTGAATATGTTAACTTTCAAAATCTTGTTTCTTCTTCATTTATAAGTGGAGCTAATTATAGTCTCTAAGTTAAGGTTGTTGTGAAGGTTAAATGTAATAAAGTTGGTAAGCACAGTGCTTGGTATATCAAAAGTAGTTTTTTGTAATAATGTCTTACTGTTGTTGTTATTTTCACTGGCCAGTTTTGTTTTCAGGACGGTTGTGATTAAATAGAAGCAGAAAATTTAAAAACCTATAGAAAATTTTATTTTAAAAAAATTTTCACAATTACAATCTCATTTGATTAAATACTCAACAAATATTTATTTACATATTCAGTAGATATTTATGCAGCTCCTAAGTGTCTAGATATAATAACCATTTTAGGTACTGGAGAGTTGATACTGGGTACAACAGAAAGAAAGACATGGGCCTTGCATTGCAGTGGAGGAGTCAGACAATAAGTAAATACATAAACAAGATGGTTTCCCAAAGAAATCATTTGCGTGAAGACAATGAATGTGATGTAATAGAGAGTGACTGGAGGCCCATCTTAGAGTAGATGGTTAAAGAAGAGCTTTCTGAGGAAGTGACGTTTAAACTCTTACCTGAATGACAAGGAGCCAATCATATGAAGATCTGAGGAATGGCCATTTCCACTAAAGGAAAAAACAAACAAAAAAACACATGTAAAGGCCATTGGATGAGAGTGTGTTAAACATGTGCAAAAACTAGAAATGTGCATAGTGGCA
The DNA here is from genome assembly GCF_000001405.40 of Homo sapiens. Lineage (NCBI taxonomy): Eukaryota > Metazoa > Chordata > Mammalia > Primates > Hominidae > Homo > Homo sapiens. The sequence goes on along the minus strand of NC_000011.10, from coordinate 116,878,707 downwards.
GGAAACCAGGTCAGAGAGGGAAGTAGGGGGCCAAGCGCGGTGGCTCACGCCTGTAATCCCAGCACTTTGGGAGGCTGAGGCAGGCGGATCACTTGAGGTCAGTTGTTCGAGACCAGCCTGGCCAACATGGTGAAACCTCGCCTCTATTAAAGATGCAAAAATTAGCTGGGCGTGGTGGCACAGGCCTGTAATCCCAGCTGCTGGAGAAGCTGAGGCAGGAGAATCACGTGAACCCAGGAGGCGGAGGTTGCAGTGAGCCGAGATCGCACACTGCACTCCACAGCCTGGGTGACAGAGCGAGACTCTATGTAAAAAAAAAAAAAAAAGGGAGAGAGAGAAGTAGGAGCCTTGGAGGCCCAGGACTTTAGATTTCATTCTGAGGGTTATGGGAAGAGATTGGAGAGTTACAGGCAAAGTGGTGATATGCCCAAATTTATGCTTTGGAAAAATTCCTTTTGCCTCTCTATAGAAAACAGATTGTAATGGAGAAAGAATGGAAGCAGAAAGACCGGGTAGGAGACTTTTGCAGCGTGTAAGTCAGAAATGGTGGCTTGGATAAAGATGTTGAATTAATGGTTCAGTGCTGAATTAGTGTTGGGGGATTTGGATCCCCCAACAACTCTGCACCACAGGGGCAGGGTAGCATTGTGGTTAAGAGAACCAGGTGAAGAGTCAGGCTATCTGGTTTGACTTAATAGCCATGTGACCTTGACAAGTTTCTTTACCTCCCTGTGCCTGGTTTTTGCTATTCCTAAAATGGGAACAATGATAGTACATTCCTCCTAGGATTGCTGTGTAGATTAAATGAGGAAATAATAATTGTAAAATGCTCAGAAGATGCATCAATAGTGCTGTTTTGGTATCATCATCACTGCCTTCATCACAACTATTACTCTCATCACCCTCAGTAGCCACATTTTATAGATGAGAAAACTTAGAGGGTGGTTTTGAAATCAGAATATACGTTTCTTGATTTTGAATCCATTGTTCTTTCTGCAATGTAATCTGTAATACGAGCTCCCAGAGAAAAATTTCTATAGATCTGAATATCTGTAGCTCACAGCCCAGTTTTAAATACCTATGACTATTTAAATAACATTGAGAAGAAAATGATAAATAAGGCTAGCTGAATCCCAGGGCATAGGAGAGAAGTAGCCTGTGGCTCTCTCCCCACACACCTTGTGCCATCAGAAATTCAAGTTCCCTGAGTTTTGAAGAAGGGTATTGCACACCTAAGCCAAAAGCATTAGTATGCGCGTGGTGGTACATTTAGGAGGATAGAACTGAATATTTTGAGAACCTTGTAAGATACTGAATCTCTTTAGAGGCCATTCTACTCTTCATTACTTGTGTTAAATAGGGCCATATACATAATATAAATAAATGAAATCCATGGATTATCCCCAGACCTTTTCTGGTCAGCCTTTTGGTGAAGGCAACAACCAGACTACCACACTTGAGTTTCTTTTTCTCCACCTCTCTCTGCCTTTGCTTAGCCCCTTCTGGTGGCATAAGCAACAGAATAGGTAAGGATCAAAGAGCAAGAGAGACAAAATTAGAAGCAGGGAGTTGGATAGCCTCCCTGCTGGCTTTGCCCCTGGTTCCTCTACTCCCCTGGTGCCTCCCCTCACCAGAGACTGAAGGCAGGCTGTTTGTCCATTGCAGAATGTGAGCATTTGATCCGCCATATGTTGGTGTTAGATCCCAATAAGCGCCTCTCCATGGAGCAGATCTGCAAGCACAAGTGGATGAAGCTAGGGGACGCCGATCCCAACTTTGACAGGGTGAGCTGGGAACCGCTGCTGCAGGGGACTCCTCTGAAAGCTGCTGCAGCCTCCTTTGCATGTGATTGTAATCAGGCCATAACCTGAAAGGCGGACACTGGGAACAAACTATTATGTAACACTAAAGCAGCACGTGAAGCAAGCAAGAAGGAATGTAAAACCAGTTAAACTGCTGGAGAATAGTGATCATGGTTCCCTACCATGTGTCCCCAAATTATCGTCTGTTTTTGGCTTTTGAGATAGCACAGCCTGCAGTTCTGCAGCTTACCTACCATGGGGATGTCGCCTTCCTCTTGTCTTAGTGTGCTCAATTCAGTGGCTTCTGTAGCATGCTTTTATTTAAACCACTATGGCCATGCCAGGTATGCCAGGGAGCTCAGGAAACAGTGAGTTGTTGTCTGTTTACAGCTGATCACTCAGGGCTCTCTTCCTTAGACTTTGTCTGAGGCCAAAAATATCCCAAGCCAGAGGGCATGGAACAGGTTGGTCATTATATATGCTGTGCCACATTTGATGTGGTTAATTGGGGGGTTGACAGCTTCCTCCTTTTTATGTTACAGTTAATAGCTGAATGCCAACAACTAAAGGAAGAAAGACAGGTGGACCCCCTGAATGAGGATGTCCTCTTGGCCATGGAGGACATGGGACTGGACAAAGAACAGACACTGCAGGTATCTCCGAAGGAGTGGAGAACAAAGTGGGATGTAGCAGTTCCTCTAACCTGCTTTTTCCATTTTTCGCCTTCTCGGGAACTTGGGCCTTTTTTTTCCTCCTGTTTTTCTTCCTCTGCCCCTTCCTGGGCCTTGGAAAGAAGGAAAGAAGGTGCTTTGGCTAATGTTATTACTGAAAGGGTTCTGGTCATCAACATGCCATTTCACCAGGGTTTTGTACTCTTTTCCCTTCTCTCTTGGTAGTCATTAAGATCAGATGCCTATGATCACTATAGTGCAATCTACAGCCTGCTGTGTGATCGACATAAGAGACATAAAACCCTGCGTCTCGGAGCACTTCCTAGCATGCCCCGAGCCCTGGCCTTTCAAGCACCAGTCAATATCCAGGTGGGCAATAACTCCAGTGACCTAGTTCAGGACAAGTAACACCAGGGGGGTAAAGGTTAGCTGTTGCTCACTAACCCTAAGTCGAGAGTTTCTTGCTCTTCCTTACCTCTGTCTCCTCCCATTTGTCATCTCTTCCTTTGTCAGAGGCCAATCAAAGATCTGAACCTTTTTTGATGGAGAGGAGGGATGAGCAACAATAGTTGTGCCTTTTGTTTTTTTGAAGAAATAGCAAATCATGAGGCGATGCTATCCTCTTCACAGGATGCTTCCTTGTTGTGACTTCTAAGGGCCGATGAACCAAAAACTTTAGTAATCAGGGAAACATAGACTTTAGCAATCAAGACTACTTGGAAAGACTCATTATTTCTCTCTAGTGTTAAAGGTATGCGTGTATATGTATGTACTGCTTTCCAGGCGGAGCAGGCAGGTACTGCTATGAACATCAGCGTTCCCCAGGTGCAGCTGATCAACCCAGAGAACCAAATTGTGGAGGCAAGTAGCAACCTGTGGGAGCTGTCAGCTGAAACCACTTTCTTTGCCATATCCTTGCTTCCCTTCCTTCTGATTTCTAACTCGATGGTGTTTCCCTCCACCTCAGCCGGATGGGACACTGAATTTGGACAGTGATGAGGGTGAAGAGCCTTCCCCTGAAGCATTGGTGCGCTATTTGTCAATGAGGAGGCACACAGTGGGTGTGGCTGACCCACGGTGAGTATCCGGCCAACAGCCCTCACTAACACTGGGGCAAAGAATTGTCACCTGACTTTCAGTGTCTACCATGGCACATTTCCTACTACATTGTATCCCCAGAGGAGATCTAATCCAGTGGCCAAGTGGACAAATGATATGATGTAACTTATGTATGTAGACAATTAAAATTTAAATGAATAAGGATCCAAAATCCAATAACAACAGTTTCCCAAAGTGTTTTCCCAAAATAGTCTTTCATGATGTTCCCTGCTGCCTGCACACTGGAAAAAATGGACTGAAGGCCAGCTCGCCCCATTTTTGTTCCACGGTTGAAGACTCTCAACATTAAAATAGCCTTACCTCTTTTCTGGATTTTTTCTTTGCTGAGTAGGAAGAGAAGGTTGTGGGAAGAATTCTCCTGAGAGGTCAAATCAGGGCAAAGCTGGTTTTCTTATAAATATCTCTTTTCTTCCAGTGAATTTCCAAAAAAGACTCCCATGCCTGCTGATGTGCTTGCTTTATGTCTCTTGTTCTCAGCCTATGATCAAATAGGCAATAGGGGAACATTCTGGCTCCACAGACTGAGATAGCTTTAAAGGGGTGGAGCCCTGAGTCGCTCTGTTAGTGGAAAGATGTCTTACTTTAAAGTATGCTGTAAAACCTATCATTGTAGCAAGATAGCCCTGTACATCTAGTACTTATCTGTCCTATCAGCACTGACAAGAGTAATTGCATTCTTTCCCTGGTGAATCAGTTGCTACTTCAGGCAGCCATTATCTTAGTGGATGGCCCATGTTCTCCAGAAACTTGGTGTTCACCTCCAGGATTTGAAAACCTGAACTGGACTGGTGCCACTATTTCCTCTTGGCTCAGAGCTGTTGGTTTTACATGAATGGCCAATAAAGAATAGCAATCCTTCGTCCCAAATAGTAAAGGAGCAGAGAGTTAAATTCCACACTTTAGGCTTTTGCTTTGCTTTAGGATCTTAAAGAGAAACATAAATTCAGGAAGAAAATAAAATAAGTTGTACTGAACATAGCAATGCCATCAGTTTTGGGATATAAGCACTTTTGAGTAAGAATGTTAACTAAACTTCTCTGTCATTCTGTTTTGTATCAGCACGGAAGTTATGGAAGATCTGCAGAAGCTCCTACCTGGCTTTCCTGGAGTCAACCCCCAGGCTCCATTCCTGCAGGTGGCCCCTAATGTGAACTTCATGCACAACCTGTTGCCTATGCAAAACTTGCAACCAACCGGGCAACTTGAGTACAAGGTACCTAGACATGGAAGAGGGCTGGCTCCAGAAGAAACAAACTTGAGCTTCCTTTGAGAGGCTATGAGGCACCTTCCCTAGGACTTAAGGGTTTACTTATAGAGAAAGATGATTTATCTTGCAAAGTAGCTCGGGTGAGCGGGAAGCGTCCTCTAGTCTCTGTCATGACCCATGGCTCCCTTAATTTCCATAGATGAGTGGCTTGCCCCTTTCTCCCCGCCTTCCCCTCATCTCATGGTCCGTCCTCCCCACTCTGTTCCTGGCAGGAGCAGTCTCTCCTACAGCCGCCCACGCTACAGCTGTTGAATGGAATGGGCCCCCTTGGCCGGAGGGCATCAGATGGAGGAGCCAACATCCAACTGCATGCCCAGCAGCTGCTGAAGCGCCCACGGGGACCCTCTCCGCTTGTCACCATGACACCAGTGAGTAGCAGCACAGAGCCCAATTCACTGTCTCAGAGGCTTTTGATAAAAAGGTTGTGAGCCTGGGGTTGGGAACCCAGGGCCAACCTACATGTCTGAATTTCCTTTTTCTCCAAACTTAGGATGCTCCAGCCCATTTTCTTCAGGCCAGTAGAGTTTTCCACACTTTATTTTTGGCGAACTTACTTACTTAGCCAAGTTATTTCTACATTGAACTCCACTCCTGGAGAGCTTTTTCCTCAATGGGCGCTCACAGGTACCCTGGTTAAGTCCAGCTGCACTCCTGCCAGCTTGGGGCAGGTAGCAGCCTAACTCAGAGCCTTCTCCCAGGCAACCTTTCCCTGCCAGAAGGCCAAAGTGCCCTTAAATTAATTGGTTTCTAGACTGGCTTCCAAAATTGCCTTTTCACTAATGCTTTCTCCATTGATAAACACACCTCACATGTTTGGCATAACCTGGATCACTTGATGATTTGCTCCCACAGCTTTAGCCGAGTCAGTTATCTTAGTCACATGTCCTTCATATGATAGTCACATTCAGAGATTTTTTTTCTCCCTTGGGTTCTGTTTATTTTCCTGTCATAGGTCATTCATTCATTCATTTATTCATTCAATCTCATAGTACCATAAGATTGGGTAGTAAATATATCCATCACCCTTGGAGATGTTGTAAGGGCAGTGCTGCTTTGAGGACCCTTTTCCCTCCTTTAATCCATCATGGGTTAATCCCTTGTAAAATATAGTAAAAGTGAAACATTAGAACAGTGAAAATTTAAACACATATAAAATACAAGGCATTTTTTATTGAGTTCAACAGACAAAATTACTCTGTTAAATTGCTAAAAGTGTCTCTTTATTTATTTTTTTAAATTGCTAAAAGTTTCTGAAAGCCTTTTGTTGATTTCTGTACTTACCTTATCATGAATTGGTAACAAAACAGTTTGTGGGCATGGGTCCATGGGCCACACTTTCAGTAATGAAAGAATTATATATCATAGCCCTTGCCATCACTGACAAGATCAACATATGTGAAGTATTTGACTAATAGTACAAGATCATATGTGATTAAGTACCACAGTAATAACATGGAAAATTAGGTGGCAGAGGCATTCAGAGATGGGCAAGACAGGTTTGGAAGGATCATGGTCAGCTTTATGGGACGTGGGGTGACTTACTGTGTCTACTGTAACTGTTTTTGCCAAGGTCGCTAACAAGTTCTTGTTGATAAATTCAGTGGACATTTTTAACCTTTTATCTTTTTGGACGTCCCAACTGTATTAATCACTGTTGACTTCTTTTTTCCTTGAAATATTTTCTGTTCTTGGTGTCTGTGGCACCACATTCCCTGTGTTTTCCCCCACCTCTCCTTTTCACATTTCCTTTCTGCTTGTTCCTTGAGGTTGGCAAAACCCAGAGTTTTATCCTAGGCCCTATTCCCATGTCCTTTGATGTACTCTCTCTGGATGAGTTTGTCCACTCCTGTAATTTCAGTTACTCTCTGATTCTCCAGCCCAGAATGCTCCTCTGAGTTCTACACATACGTGTACATGACTGCCTATGGGATAGATTTAGTTGGTTATTCCACAAGTATTCACAACTTTAATTCAGCATGTCCCAAATGAACTTACCATGACTCTGTAAAACCTGCTCCTCCTCTTGGGTGACAGTGAATGGCACTGTCATTCTCCGGGTTACACAAGCTAGGGATGTGAATTTTATCTTTAACTCTTGTCTTTCTTATTTGCCATATCAAGTCAGTTGTCCAGTGCCTGTGAATGAAACATCCTCTCCACTTTCCTTTCCTTAACTCAGGTCACTGTCATCCATTGTGTAGATGAACACCACGGCATCCTAACTGACTTCTTTGCTTCCAGTCATGTCCCCTGATCCCTGCCACCAGCCCTTTTCACACTGCAGCTAGAGTAAGCTGGCTTTTGCAAATATAAATCTTTATAACATCATGCCCCTGCTTAAAATCCTTTAGTGATTCACCACTGTTCTTCCTCAAACTTCTTAGTGTGTTATTCAAGACCATTTGTCACTGGCCACAGCGTTCCTCTCCTGCCTCATCTACAGCCACTTCCTGCCTCACCCTGTTCACTCCACCCTTGTAGAACTGTGGGAAGGGATCCAGGAACCCTGGGAGCTTTCCGACAAAATTATTCCAGGAGTGTTTTGTTTTGTTTTGTTTTGTAATTAGCCATTTTGTAAAATACTCTTTTATAATAATTGAAGTGTGATTTTTGTTCTAGTGACTGGGGCATGGTGATGATGTGGGCACCCAGGCTATGGGTAGCTAGCAAGGATGCAGATGGGAAAGTCACAGTGATACAAGCATTGTGGTGGTTCTCATTTCACTCACATGTTTTGGCGAGTAACAACTATTTTAAAGCAGTGAATTGATACTACACAATTGTATCTTATGTACCAAAATGTAATTTCAGTAATTCACTATGCTTTCCTGGAGTTAAGACATTTAAACTCCGGAAATCACATTAATATGAAACAACAGGTCAAGTCCTAGACATTTCAGGTAAACAATCTTCTACTGTATTTTCGGGTCCTCAAACACCTACAGGCCTTCTCTTTTCTTCTGCCTGGAAACCTGTAACTCCTGTCCCTCTTTGCCTGACCAGCTCCTGTGCATCCTTCAGGTTCCTGCTAGGTGCTACCTCCTCCAGGATGCCTTCCTTAATTCCCAAACACCCCCATTAGAAGACTTGATCATGCTATTTTGTAATTGTTTACTTGTCTCTATCCTCTACTAGACTGTAAAATGAGGGCAAGGTCTATGTCTGTAAATTCACATTTTATCCTGTAACAGTAAGCATTTGGCTATTTGTTAGATTAATAAATGAATGAATGAAGATAAATAAGAGGAAGAAATTCTAATTAGTATTACCTAAGCAAGGTAAAAATGGAAAAATAGGTATATGAAAATCCTGTATAACCCAGGAGTCTAGAAAAGTTCTGTAAATAAGAAAGTTAACAGAAAGTCCTGCCCCAAGCCCAGTTACTAGAGTAAGAGGCATGACAGAATAAGCTGCCACCTTGAGCTTTTCCTTCCTGTCTCTCTTCAGGCAGTGCCAGCAGTTACCCCTGTGGACGAGGAGAGCTCAGACGGGGAGCCAGACCAGGAAGCTGTGCAGAGGTAATGTGACATCTGGCAGTGCTTGCAGAAGCCCCTGGGCAGGCTCCCCTGCAACCAGCGAAAGGTCACCTCTGCCCAAGGAGGTGGTAGAGTGCAGCTTCAACATTTGTGTGGTCTCTTTGCTCAAGCCAGATGGCATGTTCCACCCCACATGGAAGTAACAGAAGACTACCCAGAAAATGTCATTTCTGTAAGCACCATTGGAAGTCCCCTAAGTGACAGCAATAACCATAAGAACTTTTTCTTTCCTCCCTCCTTCTTCCTTGTCCCCTGCCTTCATATTGCAACTCTGATAGTATTCACAAGGCACAAAGCCTGCTCGTACCTGCCAAGAACTGTTTACTGAAAAGGAATTGGAGATGTGGGATGACAGTGATCCTAGCTAGTCTGGCCATGGACCTCTGGCATGGACTTTTCCTTTCCAGGAGAATGAATACCTCTTGTACTGTTTGCTGTGTGCTTCTTCCACCCCCTTGTACCAACAAAGAGATATTGAAAAAGAGAATATGGGATTCGGGCCAGGGACAGATGCAAATATCCATTGTTTACAGAACCTTGTTGAGAGATGCCTAACTCACAGAGAACGGCAGTGACCATCAGGCATGCTGTACTGTTCATTTGGCCTCAGTTCCGTTAGCCCTGGTCCTTAGCTCCATGCATGCCCCCTTGTGGGAGTTGATTTTCTTATTATCCGGGGAGGGGGTTTCACCAGAATCCAGCATGTATTTTCCCAGAAATACAGGTGTTCTTCAAGATTATATGTTTTTTCCTTTGAGGGAAGTTGAAATAAAATGGTTTTCATGGGCTTTTGGGGAACTTTGGGTGTCTTTATCCAATGGTTATTAAAACATTAATGGCTTACTCTTTGGCAAGTTCACATAACACTGATTACTCTACAGTCTGTTAACTGATTTTAGCTGAAAGGGGCAAGATAGT